>NC_000002.12:233853254-234156284 GCF_000001405.40 Homo sapiens | reverse complement strand
CCTAAGTTAGAAGACAGAGTGATTTTGAAGAAGAAAAAGAAAGAGGAGGGGAAGAAAAAGAAAGAGGAGGGGGAGGAGGGAGAAAAGGTCATCCCAATTTTGTTTAGGGAAAGACTCGGAATAGCATTGGTTGAATCACCCAACTGATGTTTATTTGTTTACTTGTTTGATTCTACCCAGCTTTGTTTTCTGTTGTGATTGGTGTTAATTCCTCCCAGGTCATGGCATTAAGACTTTTGTTGGTTGTTACCACTTCATGTTGCAATGAGTTTTACTATTTTCCTATTTTCTTAGCTGTGTTAGTGAGAAATTAGAAGAGACACTGTATTATTTTAAACTGGAGATCTGATAACATTTCTGAGCGATTCTTTGAGCTGTTTAGATTTCGATCTAGAAAGACATCAAGTGTTGCATCGAAAGGTCCTACACAGTTGATTAAAATACATATAGTACATTATTTCTCGTGCCTTAAAATTATCTGAAGCTTGCAATGCATGTTCAGGAAAAGGATGAAATGACTGTGATTCAACAGTAACCAAGTAAAAACTTTTCAGGTAATAATATTCTATTTTAAGAACAATCTGAGAGCTGATAATACATATTGCAATTTTAATGAGTTAAAAATTATTGTATCATATATGAAGTGAACCATATGCAACTGTCATTTTTGTGAGTCAGAAAAAGAGTTGTATATTGACAATTTCATATGGTCCATCCTAGGAGTTGGATTTTTTACCAAACATTTATTGAACACCTACTATATATAGGACTCTGCTGTGGGGCTCATAAAATTGAGGAAGACATTGCCCTCGCTCTCCAAAGAGGTGTGGACAACATCCTTGAGGAAGCTGCAGGGCAAGGTGGCTGTCCCGAGAGAAAACTCACCAGAGAATCGTTTGAGCTACTCGTAGAGGTGATAGTGACAGGTGGACAAGTGAGATGCAGAGGCATGTGGACATGCATTATTGAAGCTCAAGGACCCTACAAAAGGTGCTGAAGATAACAGGTACCCTACTTCACAGAGAACAGCCATGACTGCCACGGGAAGCAATTGCTGGCAGTTGTGTGCTCCGTATGGCAAAGTCACTGGATAACAGCTGCTGACCAAACTGTGATTGGTGGGGCAGCTGGGAGGATTCACCGTCAATTGGCAGCAGGTGGGCTCCACAGCCCACATCATAACCTGGCTCTGGTGGAGGGTGGTGACATCAAGGAGTGCTGCAAAGGCCACCATCATTGGCCATGGCCAAAGGAACCAGCACTGGAAAAAGGGAGAATATCCTCCTGGGAAGATGGGGCTCCACTCGCCCCACAGCAGTCCACCCCAGGCTTCCAGAGGAAGCAAGAAAATGATGTTCTTTCATTATAATCCTTCACTCTGAAAAAAAGATAAACAATTTTTCAAAAAAAAAAAAAAAACCTACTGAGTTTGAAAACCCAAAATCTTAGGGTGAAGGCTCAGATCAGCCATGGAGTTTCATCTTTAGCAACCTTAGGATTCCCAGTGGAGACTATGGCCACTGTACAATGTATACATCCAATGGCTGTAGGAGCTTCCATCTGATATAAACCTGCTCAAAGGAAAGACAGGCATTTGAAATTGCTTGAATTTTCTCAGTGAGTATGTGCACTTTAATTTACCCTTAATTGTTTTGTGTTTGGCAAAAGGAAGCCATTAAGGAGAGTCAACAAACATCAAATCTTTTAAAATGTTTACCTGCCTGGGCAACATATGGAGACCCTGTCTCTACAAAAAGATTTTAAAAGTTAGCTGGGTGTGGAGGTACATGCCTGTAGTCCTAGTTATTTGAGAGGCTGAGGTGGGAGCATTGCCTGAGCCCAGAGGTTAAGGCTGCAGTGAGCAGTGATCGTGCCACTGCACTCCAGCCTGAGTGACAGAATGAGATTCTGTCTCAAAAAAAAAATACTAAACAAAACAAAAACACCTTTAAAAATGTTTAAATATCAAAGCAAGGATGAGTAAAATGAATTGTAATACAATTAGGCATAAAACAAGATTAATTAAATACAATTTACATAAATATATGGTAATCTAAGCTAACTAAAAGGGAAGAGGAGATTCTCTTTATTCAGCCATAAAATTATCAATGAAGATTCATGAGCATCTGTTGAGATGTTCAATATTAAGCCAGATACACAAATTGAAAATATTATATCTTGTAGTTACAGGGAGGAGGATTCCAAACTGAGATGTTGAAAATCCTGAGATAATACAATCATTACTTTCTTACTAAAGAAAATGAGTAATATGGCTTGGCTGTGCCCCCACCTAAATCTCATCTTGAATTGTAGCTCCCATAATTCCCACATGTTGTGGGTGGGACCCAGTGGGAGATAATTGAATCATGGGGACAGTTTCCCCCATACTGTTCTCATGGCAGTGAATAATTCTCACAAGATCTGATTTTTTTTTTAAGGGGAAAAACCTTTCGCTTGGCTCTCATTCTCTTCTCTTGTCTGCCACCATATGAGACATGTCTTTTGCCTTCTTCCATGATTGTGAAGCCTCGCCAGCCACATGGAACTGTGAATCCATTAAACCTCTTTCTTCTGTAAATTGCCCAGTCTCAGGTATGTCTTTATCAGCAGCATGAAAACGGACTAATACAGTAAATTGGTACCAGTAGAGTGTACTGCTGATGAAAAGATACCTGAAAATGTGGAAGAGACCTTGTAACTGGGTAACAGGCAGAGGTTGGAACAGTTTGGAGTGCTCAGAAGAAGACAGGAAAATGTGGGAAACTTTGGAACTCCCTAGAGACTTGTTGAATGGTTTTGACCAAACTGCTAATAATGATATGGACAATGAAATCCAGGCTGAGGTGGTTTCAGAGGGAGATGAGGAACTTGTTGGGAACTGGAACAAAGGTGACTCTTGTTATGTTTTAGCAAAGAGACTGGCAGCCTTTTGTCCCTGCCCTAGAGATTTGTGGAACTTTGAACTCAAGAGAGATGATTTAGGGTATCAGACAGAATAAATTTCTAAGCAGCAAAGCATTCAAGAGGTGACTTGGGTGCTGATAAAGGCATTCAGTTTTAAAAGAGAAACAGAGCATAAAAGTTTGGAAAATTTGCAGCCTGACAGTGTGATGAAAAGAAACACCCATTTTCTGAGGAGAAATTCAAGCCAGCTGCAGAAATTTGCATAAATAACAAGGAGCCAACTGTTAATCACCAAGACAATGGGGAAAATGTCTCCAGGGCATGCCAGAGACCTTTGTGGCAGCCTTCCCATCACAGGCCCTGAGGCCTAGGAGGAAAAAATAGTTTCCTGAGCCACGCCCAGGTCCCTCTGCTGTGTGCAGTCTAGGGATTTGGTGCCCTATGTTTCAGCGGCTCCAGCCATGACTAAAAGGGGCCAAAGTACAGCTTGGGCCATGGCTTCAGAGGGTCCAAGCCCCAAGCCTTGGCAACTTCCACATGGTGTGGAGCTTGTGAGTGCACAGGAGTCAAAAATTAGGGTTTGGGAACCTCCGCCTAGATTTCAGAGGATGTATGGAAATGCTTGGATCTCCAGAGAGAAGTTTGCTGCAGGGGTGGGGCCCTCATGGAGAACCTCTACTAGGGCAGTGTGGAAGGGAAATATGGGGTTGGAGTCCCCACACATCTACTGGGGCACTGCCTAGTGGAGCTATGAGAAGAGGGCCACCATCCTCCAGACCCCAGAATGGTAGATCCACTGACAGCTTGCACCATGAGCCTGGAAAAGCTGCTGACACTCAAAACCAGCTTGTGAAAGCAGGCAGGAGGGAGGCTGTACCCTACAAAGCCACAGGGGCAGAGCTGCCCAAGACCATGGGAACCCACCCCTTGCATCAGCATGACCTGCTTGTGAGACATGGAGTCAAAGGAGATCATTTTGGAATTTGAAGATTTGACTGCCCCGCTGGATTTCAGAATTGCATGGGGCCTGTAGCCCCTTTGTTTTGGCCAATTTCTCTCATTTGGAATGGCTGTATTTACCCAATGTCTGTACCCCCATTATATCTGGGAAGTAACTAACTTGCTTTTGATTTTACAGGCTAAATAGGCAGAAGGGACTTGCCTTGTCTCAGATGAGACTTTGGACTGTGGACATTTCAGTTAATGCTGAAATGAGTTAAGACTTTGGGGGACTGTTGGGAAGGCATAATTATGTGAAGACATGAGATTTGGGAGGGTCTAGGGGCAGAATAATATGGTTTGGCTGTGTCCCCACCCAAATCTCATCTTGAATTGTAGCTCCCATAATCCCCTTGTGTTGTAGGAAAGAACTAGTGGAAGATAATTGAATCCAGGGGGCAGTTCCCCCTTACTGTTCTCATGGTAGTGAATAAGTCTCACAAGATCTGATGGTTTTTTAAGAGGAAACTCCTTTCACTTGGCTCTCATTCTCTTCTCTTGTTGTCACCATGTGAGACATTCCTTTTGCCTTCCACCATGATTGTGAGGCCTCCCAAGCCACATGAAACTGTAAGTCCATTAAACCTCTTTGTTTTGTAAATTGCTCAGTCTCAGGTATGTCTCTATCAGCAGCATGAAAATGGACCAATATAATGAGATTTTTCAAATATGTGGAAATGTAATCAGTTCATGGATAGCTGCCATGAAGTCCCTTTTATAATCCAGGGGTAAGGTAAGAGGACTGTTTTGCAGGTAATATTAGTATATCTCTCAAATGTAATCAAGGAAACCAGTGTACTTCTAAAATTCACCAAAAAAAAAAAAAAGAGGCTTCACTGAAATTGACCATGGAAGAATTGATCATTGATGAATACATATAGACAGATAGATAGATGTAGATATAGACACATATATAGACACACATAATACACACACACACACACACACACACACAGATATATATATCTGTGTGTGTGTGTGTGTATATATATACATATATCCATGTATGTGATGCAAAAATAAAGTCATAATTGAATCTGTTAGAAAATTTTTGCCACAAAGTAACATGATTCAGATGAGAGGCATAAAAATGAATGGGTAGAAGAAATCCTGTTTCTGATGGCCACTAATAGTCTGGTCTCAAACTGACTCAACCGAGGAACAAAGGCTCGTTAAACTCATCATAACAGGCAAAACTGTATGTCCTATACCAAAATCTACAAAGTAGGCATTCAACAAACATTTGCTATTATTAACAAACGTTAGCTATTATTAACAAACGTTAGCTATTATTAACGAATGTTAGCTATTATTAACGAACGTTAGCTGTTATTAACAATTATGTTTTAAAAGCGCTCATCAGCTCCTGTCGTGCAGCTTATGCTCACTGACATCTACTTGGTGACTCCATTTCTTAGGTTCTTTGCCATCTGGAGGGAATACAGCCATGGACATGCTAGTGGTTAGAAAGGTTAATGCCAATATTTCCAGTCCCTTTCCTTCCAGGCACTGTTTTTCCCTGCTCCCTGGAGATTTGATGTGGCTGCATGCTTTGTTTTGGCCCATGAGCTGTGAGTGGAGGTGGCTGTGTTACTTCAGGGGAGAATGTAAGTAGCAGCGGGAGACCCTCCAGCATGCCCTCTCTCCCTCTGTCATCAATCATAACAACATGGTTGATGTGGAGGTGCAACACCAAGCCATTGCTTGGAGGACAGCTGCCCCAGCCTGCTGTGGCCTTTGCATCAATGAGAACGAAAGCTTTGTTGCTTTGAGCCCCTGAGTTAGAGCTATCATGGTGGCATAGCCAGGCCTATCCTGATCGATACAAACTCTAACAGTAACCAAATTTTAACTCGGATTGTAATTCGATCTCTTCTAAGTGTAGTTAATATAAATAGGTTTCCCAAGGCCTTATAAATTTTTGGAGCAGTTGAGAACATGAAATGTCTAAATCTTCCAAGCCAAAAAAGAGGTCCTGAAACTGCAGAGACCCTGCTGGGGTACAAATTGCAGGAAGAATCAGCCTTGTCTTGTCAACATTCCCCAAATGGAGGATCAGGACGGGGCTGCGGACCTCAGCTCAGGAAAAGTTCTTCACCACAAATAGAGGGAACCAAACATTCCCTCTGTCCAGAGCAACTATGCACAATGCAAAGCAGTGTCAATCCAGCCCCAGGCTGCGTGCTCTGGGCAGAACTTGACCTCAAATCAGAAAACGGTTAAAGTCTCCATCATCCATGATAGCTGTGACATAGCCCACAAAGTACCATAAACTCAGTGTGTGTGTGTGTGTGTGTGTGTGTGTGTGTGTACGATCCTGTGCACTAATTTTTATGCAGCCTGAAGTCTGAAAACCACAGGAAGGAAACATGGGAACTTTTATATGCACATGTCTGGTTCTTAACTCATTTTGTCCCTAGGAAATAATCACATCTCCAGCAGTAGACCTGGGCTCTTTGAAAAGCTGTAGCAAAGGACTGTGCCACCTCTTCTCATCCCTCCATGTCAGTATTGCCTGCAGTGGTCTCAGGACTACCTTTCCCTCCTGGGCTTCTGATAACTGCTGTCATAAACCCAAGAGTGGAGCTGTATGTTACATGGAGATAAGAATCTAAGTCCATTCATAACTGACATGCACAGATATAACTGCAGGACAACTGTTGGGTTATTTGCCAATCTCTCACTCTGTACTGTCTTAGTCCATTTTCTGTTGCTGTAATAATATCATAGACTAAGCAATATGTAAAGAGCAGAAGTTCATTTGGCTCAGTTTTGGAGGCTGGGAAGTCCAAGAGCATGGCTCCAGAATCTGGTAAGGCCCTCTCTGCTGTGTCATAACATGATTGAGGGCATTGCATGGTGAGAGGGCAAGAGCATTCCAGCTCAGGCCTCTCTCTTCTTATAAAGCCACCAGTCCCACCATGTGGATCACACCCTGATACCCTTATCGAATCCTAATTACTTGCCAAAGGTGTCAACTTCAAATACCATCTACATATGAATTTATGGATTAAGTTCCCAACACATGAAATTTGAGGGATGTATTCAAAGCACAGCATGTACCATGGCCCTGAATGAGAAGAGGAGTATTTGGCCTTATTTTTGGCCTGAATTTTCTTCCTTCTTGGAGTTGATCCTGTCAGCCCCATAAATCTGTTTCTGTGCAATGTGTTGGCCCACAGATGATGCTCATCTATCTTAGCCCATGACACACAGTTTCTTCTTTTATTAGAATATACTAATTGCAAAAAGACTTTGCCTGAAATCTCTTTCAACAGCCCCAAGGCTTTACCTGCGTTCTTAATGAGGTAGGACTTTCCTTCAACTACAATAAACTCTGTATATTGGGGATGCTGAGAAGGTCTAACTGACGTAGCAGAAAAGAATACTGTCCTAAATAAACCACTGGAAGGCCCTCTGTGCAGAAATGATTCTGGCTCCTCTGAGCCATTGAAAAGAGGCTGTTTTCCACTGCAAGTGAAGTTCATGACCAGTGCATTCTGCCAGACCAAAGCCAGACAAGGTCTGCCACCTATCTGCTTTGGAAATCAGCCTCAAGGTGTAAGAAAATGTTTTTCTGTTTTTGGCCAGCTAGTCCATTTCCATTTTAAATTTCTCCACTCCTGCAAAACAGCATGGAAGCCCCAAATGAGCATGTTGAGGAAGGAAAGGAGACTTGTCCCTGACTTGTACCCAGTATGCTGGAGCTCAGACTCAGCAGGGAGCAGGCTTTTCTTTATTTCCCTTCATTTTATATTGTTTTCACTTCTCAGGATGCCACCCTGGGACCCCAGGGAAGTCATACAGCTTGGACAGCAAAGAGAGAACAGCTCCTCAAGTTGTGGGGAGAATTGGATGAGACTGCACTGTATTGGGAGTTTGAGTAAAGGCTCTAACGTAGTCTACTGCTTGTTTGAAGAAAAGGAGATACTCAGAAGGTAAGAGAATGCCACTACTAAATGTCCTTGAGTAGGAGTCAGCTCTTCTCCTCCCATGTCTTGTCCTCCCAACGCTACATACCTGGGAAGGAATCCCAGAAACTTGGACAAGTGAGGTTCAGAGTTGGCCTCAGCACAGCTAGGTCAGCTCCTGCCTCCTCAGAAGGACGGGAGGAAACGCATTCAGATCTCTTTCCTCTGTGAACTTGCCCTTGTGAGGGGTCAGCTGTGGAATAAGCTCCCTTGGGGTAGAGTCTTCATGGCTGAGAACCTCCTGAAGAGGCTACTCTGAAACCTAGAGGGAGAGAAAGAGGAAGACCCTGGAACTGCATTGGGAGTAAATTATAGAACTATGAAACACCATCATCACGTAACTCAAGGAAGATGGGCTTGAGTTCAGTGCTGGGGAAGCCATGGGGCTAATTTTCAGATTAAGTTTATCTAAAAATTGCTTAGTTTAATGATTAATCTGACAGCTGAGATGCACTTCAGCTTCCAGAGAGAGAATAAACAGCCTTATTCTAAACAAATATTCCTCACACTTGATTGTCCAGACTTGATCATGAAGGGCAGACTCCACCCTCTTGCTGATCACTCTATAATTAAACTTTCTGTGCCCATCAGGGCAGAAACACTGTGAAAAGCATTTTGAAGAGTAAGATGATTCTAACCTGACTTGTCTGAAAAGCGATGTCAGGAGTTATGACTTCCTGTGCCTTTGATCTCCTTATCTGAGTCTATTATCTAAGGGTGCCAATTAACATTTACAGTTTGTGGTTAGATGCCTTGGAAATGCTTCACTGAGTGTCTCCAGGAGCCCATGTCAATTATTTACTGGTCTTAATAAGTTTCTCTTCAGCATTTTGGTCCTTAGGGGTCAATGCCAACTCGGAGCCCCTGGGTCTGGATTACACCACTTGTTCCCACAGAACTAAACTTGGAAGAAGGAATCATGAATGCTTTGACAGTCATTCCCTAAGACCTGTGCTTCACCTAGTTTGTTTGATAAATGAACCTGCAGCACAATTCCCTCATGCCTTCCCCAGGCATGGGTGAAAATTGTTCCCCGTTTATTCATGGCAGTAGCTCCACAAGCATTCTCACTGGTGAGGCACTGCATCCTCTAGTCACAGTCAGCCCCCAGCAGGACGGAGTCCGAGCTCCTGCAGGATTTGTTTTTTTTTTTTAGATGGAGTCTCACTCTGTCACCCAGGCTGGGGTGCAGTGGCGCCATCTCAGCTCACTGCAACCTCTGTCTCCGGGGTTCAAGCAATTCTCCTGCCTCAGCCTCCCAAGTAGCTGGGATTACAGGCATGCACCACTACACCCAGCTAATTTTTTTGTATTTTTAGTAGAGACAGGGGTTTCACCATGCTGGCCAGGCTGGTCTTGAACTCCTGACCTCGTGATCTGCCCTCCTCAGCCTCCCAAAGTGCTGGGATTACAGGTGTGAGCCACTGTACTTGGCCTAGGAAAATTTTTAAAGACATGCCAGAGCATGAAAAAGCAGCTTTATAAATAACAATTATGCTGCTTGATATTTTATAAGTGCATTCTCTCCTATGATTCCTTTCTTCCCCCAGTGGTTCTATGAAACAATCAGTACAGCCCTTAGAGACCCATTGAGGAAACTCACTGCTCATTCTCCCTGGTAAAGGTGAAGATAAATGACCCCATGTGAGCCCAGGCTAACATTTGGGGCCATCTGGTGGCTCCATCCCACAGGCAGCATGATCCTTACTCTTCCTTCAACATTGACTTTCTGGATGACCTTTGCTGACCTTGGGGCAGCACACACTCGTGAATGTTAGAAAGTCTCCCTCGGTGTCTGTGAATATGATTAATGTCTGCAGCACTCTCTGAACACACACAGCTTCCTGTTAATGAGAAGCAGAAATGGGAGACAGGATGTGGTCTTCCCTATCCTGAGTCAAATTCCGGGCCCTAGTCATTTGGCCCGTTCCTGCTACTCTCTTGTCAGAGACCAGGACATGGAAAACACATTGATAGTTTCATTTTATAAGTTCAGCACAGGGCCTAGCACAGCACTTTGCAGTTTAGTAGCAAATAATTCTATGTTTACTGAATGAATCCAGTGTATAAATTTTTAAAATTGATGGCCTGGTAAATAGTTAGACCTTTATTTATTTATTTATTTATTTATTTATTTATTTATTTATTTTTTGAGATGAATCTCACTCTGTCGGCCAGGCTAGAGTGCAGTGGCGTGATCTGGGCTCACTGCAACCTCTGCCTCCCGGGTTCAAGCGATTCTCCTGCCTCAGCCTCCTGAGTAGCTGAAATTACAGGTGTGCACCACCATGCCCAGCTAGTTTTTGTATTTTTAGTAAAGACAGGGTTTCACCATGTTGGTCAGGCTGGTCTTGAACTCCTGACCTCATGATCCACCTGCCTCAGCCTCCCAAAGATCTGGGATTATAGGCGTGAGCCACCATGCCCAGCCAATAGTTAGACCTCTTAAGAAGAAAGTTAAATAAGAATTGTTATAACATGTTTTATTGATTCTATATGTTTTTGAGTTTCAGTCAACAGTGGGTTTGACAGGAGAAGATGGAGCTCCTGCTAGTAAATGCAGTAGAACCCTTGCTATCATTGGCTTAACCATTCTGAATTTCCACAGACTGCCAAGACACTTTCTCATTCCATTCTCCTCCATGCAGAAAATCAACCTAATCTACTGTCACCAGGACCACACTGTAACTGCCCAGCAAGTTCTCTTCCCCACTGCCCAGATGGAACCAATTTATCAAGACAGGGGAATTGGACTACAGAAATAGTTTAATTCACATAGAGCCAGCTAAATGGGAGACCAGAGTTTTATTATTACTCAAATCAGCCTCCCCCAGAATTTGGAGGGTAGGGTTTTTCAAAAATAGTTCGGCGGGCATGGGGCTGAGGAATAGGTGCTACTGATTAGTTGGGCATGCAATCATAGGGGTGTGGAAAATGGTCCTCATGCACTAAGTCCACTTCTGGGTGAGGACCACAGTACCAGTTAAGTCAAGAGTCATGGATCCAAGTGGTGCCATCCAACCCTCAAAAGTGCAAAACCTGAAAAGACATCTCAAAAGACCAATCTTGGGTTATACAATAGTAATGTAATTTACAGGAGTAATAGGGAAAGTTGTAAATCTTATGACCTCTGGAATAATGGCTAGTAATTGTTTAACTATGCCTACATCTTAGTGGAATTCAGGCCCCTCTCATTCTCCCAACCTAGTGACTTTTCATTAGTGTTACAGAGGCAGTTGAGTTTTAGGAAGGACTACTGTCATTTGAACTATAAATTACTCCCAAAGTTAGCTTGGCCCATGCTTAGGAATGACCAAGGGCAGTTTGGAGGTTAAAGGCAAGATGGAGTTGGTCAGATCAGATTTCTTTCAGTGTCATAATTTTCTCAATGTTATAATTTTTGCAATGGCAGTTTCAATACTATGATTTTTGTGAGTCCTTTTGCCTTTGTGGGTCCCTCTCATAATAATAGATTTTTGTAGACCCTGATATGGGCTAAATTGTGTTTCCCAAAATTTCATATGTTGAAGCCCTAATCTCCAGTACTTCAGAATGTGACTGCATTTGGTGATAGGGTCTTTAAAGAGGGGACTGAGTTAAAAAGAGGCCATTCAGGAGAGTCACTTAAACCCGGGAGGCAAAGGTTGTGATAAGCCAAGATCGCGCCATTGCACTCCAGCCCGGGCAAGAAGCACGAAACTCCATCTCAGAAAAAAAAAAAAAAGAGGTCATTAGGGTGAACCCTGATTCAAAGACTGGTGTCTTTATAAAAAGAGGAAATTTTGATACAAAAAGATACACAAAGGGTACATGTGCACAGAGGATGACTTTGGGAAGAAGCAGCAAGTGAACACCATCTATAAGTCACGGAGAGATGTCCCAGGGAGTCAACCGTCCTGACACCTGGGTCTTGAACTTCCAGCCTCCAGAATCCTGAGAAAATACATTTCTGCTGTTTAAGCCACCTAGTCTGTGGTCTTTTGTTCTGGTAGCCCCAGCAAACTAATGTAGTTTCTAACATTTATCATTTATTTTTGATGAGAGAAAAAAATTGAAACATTTTTCACCCTAAAAGTTCATTTTTTTCTTCTGGTTTTAGAAGAAATTGAAACATTTTTGTGGGCTCCTAAAAGTATCATGGCCTTTCAGCCATGAGCCTCCTGTCCTGATGGAAAAGTTGGCCCCGATGATCATAGGACCACAGAGAATGACTGAACAGTTTTATGATGAAACTCATTTTCCATCCCTATATTCCTCACGAGTCTCTTTAAACACCAGCTCACATTTTATTATGGCCTAAAGCTAGACCACTGAAATAAAAGAGCTTGGCCATTTTACAACCCAGCCTCCTTAGAGAATCTTTGAGGAGTGAGATAATTTAGAAATGCTTTGATAAACACCAATTTAAAAATCAGCCACATAAGTCTCAGATAACTGTTCGTAGTCTGAACAATGTCACCTCCAGGTGTCTGTGCCCCAGCAGTGGGTCATCATGCAAGCCCTTCATTAAACTCACTTATGCATTTGAAATCAAAATAGGAAATCAGAGGTGGAAATGATTAGCAAGAGGTCACAAATAGTGCTTTATCTTGCATGGAACAATTACATAAATTTTATGTGAAACTTTGCTGAGACAGAGGGTTTATTAATTGGATCAAGAATCTACTTGAGCTCTTGCTTTTACCACGACAATGGCTCCTGTTTGACAGGGCCTGGGCAAAATTGGGCCCAAGCAAGAGAAATTCCGTGGTGGGATATGGGTTCTTCCAGGATGCGGAGGGGTGGGCGAGAGCATGTCACAGGGAGGAGAGAGTGCCTACAAGGAAACAGGGACATGGACAGGGCTAAGTAAGGAGTACGAGAAGGGGAGTCAGGACTCAAAGGCAGAAAAGTGCTCAGGGAGGGCTTTTGATGCCACCAAGTAAAGGAGCATGAACTTTATCCTTGGGGCAAACTAGAGCCATTAAAGGATCTTAAGGAGGAGGAAAAGAGAATTAGTTTACATCTGGGAAAGAATATTCTGGGACAGGGTAGAGAATAGACTTAATGTGGTGAATGAGAATAGAACAGAGAGCTTATCCGGAGGCCTGTTAAGATGGGCCTTGGAGGGAGATGATGGAAGCTATGGCAATCGGTTGGTGATGGTTTTGAGTTTTATTCTTTCTGTCTCTCTTTGTGTACAGCTCACCTGATACAAGTTTAGCTCAAATGCCTGTTTAGATAATGCACAGTCAGACTAAGCCAGAACCCAGGTAAAGGGCTTCTTTAGCTCTTCAGAAGATGTTAATGCCAACAGACCCAGCAAGCCCCTTCTTCCTTTTTGAAGAAAACAAATTGGCCAAACTGAGATGTTGGGACAGGGGAATGTAAAGACGTATAGGAGTTGGAAAACCCCTGCAATTTTTGGATGTTTTTATGGTGTGAGTGGCCTGTGACCACGTGCCTGAGACCTAGTCTGGCATCACACAAATGCCCAGGCTGCATGGATCACAGCAAAGAGGTACTTTTTGTTTTTTTTCCTGGAAGTGAAATAAAGGTGTAACTGTGGAGAGGCTAGGAAAATAAACAAGAGTATTATTGTAACCCACCCAGCTCCTAGAACATGGCAGGAGCATTCTCCAAGCTGATAGGCACTACAAAGCACTCCAACTTTCCTAAACATTCCAAAAAGGCATTTATTTGTCTTAGTCAGCTAGGCTGCCCTAACAAAATACCACAGAGACTAGGTGGCCTAAACAACAGAAGTTTATCTTCTCACAGCTCTGGAGGCTGTAAGTCCAAGATCAAGGCGTTGGCAGTGTTGGTGTCTGGTGAGGGCTCTCCTCTTAGACTGCAGACGGCCGCCTTCTCACCATGTGCCCACATGCCCTCATGACATTTTCTTTGTGCACAGGCAGAAGAGAAGGAGAGGGAGCTTTCTGGTGTCTCTTACAAGGACATTAATCCCATTGGATCAGGACCCCAACCTTATGACCTCATTTAACCTTAATTACTCCCTTATTCGAAATACAGTCACATTGGGGGTTAGGGCTTCAATATATGAGTTTGAGGGGGATACCACTGAGTCATAACGATGTCTCTATGTGTCACATCTCACAACTATAGTCCATCCAAGCCATCCTGTAGGTCAGGAATTGTCAGTGCTAGACAAGCCAAGTTTCTAAAATCTCTTCTTCCCTGCAATGAAAACTTCAAGGCTCATGCAGGCTATGGGGGCCACATTATACCTGCTCTATCCCCCACTTATCATGTGAATTCAGGGCTGATCTTCACAGATCCCAGTTCCCAGGAGGTCCTGATGTTTCCCAGAACATAACATGTGAACCTGTGTAAAGTGGGCTGACTAATGGCTCCCCAAAGACGTTTACATCCTGATCTCTAAAGCTTGTGAATGTGCTACCTTACGTGGCAAACAAGGAACTTTGTTCATAGTGATTAAGGATCTTGAGATGAAGAAATTAACGTGTGTTATTGGGGTGGGCTCATGTGATCACAAAGTCCTTATAAGAGAGAGGTGGGAAGGTCAGAGTCAGAAGAGGAGATGTGAAAATCAGACACAGAGGTGAGGGGCAGGAGGGAATTTGAAGATGCAATGGTACTGGCTTTGAAGATGCAGGAAGGGCTCTTCTGCCTAAGAATGCAAGTGGCCTCTGGAAGCTGGAAAGGCAGGGAAGTGGATTCTCCTCTAGAGCCTCCTGAAGGAATATAGCACTGATATCCTATTTTAGACTTTTGCCCTTCATGACTATAATATAATAAACGTTGTTGTCTTAATTCACAGAATTTGTGATAATTTCTTATAGAAGCAATAGGAAACTAACACACTGTGTAGGAAATTGCATTTCATCTATTCCTGGGCTGTAGAGCTGTCCTTTCTGGTGGTGTGATCCTTCTGCTCGAGGGACTCCACATCCAGCCAGCCCATGAGTAAACTGCCATACTCATAACTTCTTCATCTTCGACAGGAAATTGAGTAGTTCATTGGGAGAGACTGTATCTGGGGATGCTAGCTCAATGCAATTTTTAAACCACAAGTACATTACTACTGCAGTTTGATAGATTTTTAATAATATTCAAAACAAGAATAGTTGCCATGGCAAAATATCATAAATATCACTTAAGCAACTCTCAGAGATGCTGTTGCCTAAATAATTAATTGCAGTATTGCTGTTTTTGCTGCCCTTAGGTAAACACTGGCTGTATGTGATCTTTTATAAGATGGTTGAATCTACATAATGGATCACAGTTGTATTTACTTTTGGTCCTTTTAAGCTTCCAAGGAAATGCATGTAGCTTTAAGTAAGCTCTATATTCTTAATTTGATCAAGTAATTGATGTTGCCCCAGAGTGACAGGTGAGAACTTAAAAGAGATGACCATTTTCAGCTCTATACATAGACGAATGTTCTATGAATGACAGCTGGGGAATGAGAACCATAGAGAGAACCATTATGTGAATTACACAGGATGGTGTGATATACTGGTGAGATCTTTCCTTGTCCTGCAAGAGTTACTGGATGATGCAGCATCTTCCCTGAAGATGGACACTCCTACAAATGGCCACCACTCCCCAGCACTACTGTCAGAGAAGACCTGATTCTCAGCAAGGGCGGGACTCCCTGTGTCCCATGGAAAAGAGAAGCCAAACTGGTTAGAGGCTTTGGACATTGAGAGAAGCTCTAGAAGAGCAAAGGCTGATTGCTTTTTGTGCAGCCGACACTGAGTTTAAAGAACCAAAATCCATACATTCCCCCTCATCTCTCCATGGGACCTCCACTTAAACGTCCTTTCCTTTAAGATCCAGGATACCATCGCTAAGTCAGAGAATGGTGACTTCCTATACTCCAAATTCAAGGAAGGGAAGAACAGATTGTTCTTTGGTGGTAGCAACAAGTAACCGCCATGATCAGTTTTAAAGCCATTCCAATCAATCAACAGCATCTTCACATCAGTAGCTGCACCTCTAAAAACCAGCCAATCAGTAACAGTTAAATCCCAGTAGCCACAATTTCACAGCTACAGGACAACTCACCTTGCCTCCAAAAGTCCTCCAATCCCTGAAGATCATAGTTCTCAAACCCTATATAAGTCAGCAGTTTGTTTCTTTAGAGACTCACGTGTCCAACTGCATAGACCTCCCTTGCTTACAGGGCAATATACTCAACTTTTGGTTCCAGATACCAAGTAATACCCTCTTTCTTCGACAGTAGTGGTTGTTTCTTGTTTGAAAGTAGCCGAGCCACTCACCCCACAGAAAAAGTCCACTGACTTTTCTGTGCTAATACATTTTTAATAACCAGTTCTCTGGGTAGAAGACAACAATCCTGGTGTACAGCTCTTGCCAATTCCTGTGGTGTAAATACTCCCAGCAGGACATATTTCAAACTACCAAGGAAACATCAATCTGCTCACAAAATTCCTAAAAATCTAATCATCAGCTCCTATGAGCTGGTCCAAGCTGGCTCCCGCATACCACTGACTAAGGGAGAGAGTGCCAGGGTAGAAAAGACCCATTGTTATCCCGGGTAGAGTGGCCTTAATTGGCCAGAGCTCCCATGCCCACACACTGTTCCCACATAAGAGCCCGAGCAGGATGCCTGCTGCAAAAGGAAATGCATGGCTGCTTTGTGCGGACAGAAAATCCACCTCGGTCACAAGAACAGCACCTTGTCGCCACCGAGGGGGGATTGCCATGGAAGGGAGCAATGGTTCCCCTCAACCCAAAGGGGATAGTCAATTGCCACATAGAGAAGGGGATAGATTTTCCTCTTTCCTTCTTTAATGCCCCAGCCTCAGGCCAGGAAGAAGGAGGCCAGACACAGCACCCTTCATTCCACACCATGACAGCCACAAGCGTGGCCAGCCCAGAGAGCTTTAGATCAAATATGAGACTGAAACTTTTAAATTGAACAAGATTGAATTGTAACAAAATGAGACTCTGCTTTAGTAACTGGACATGCCTAGAAGGTTGTGGAGTCCACCCGAGATTGTGGGAAGGGAGCTTGCTGTCTGGTGGAAAAGGCAGATGGGGCTTGACAGAGCCCAGATACAATCAGATCCTGTACATGAAGGAGTGAGGCCCCTGTCACAGCACTGCCCTGGGAGAGGCCTGAAAAGATGAGTCTTTGAAACACCTTCCCAGTAACTGCCAGACCCCTGCCTCTCCGTCTAACTCCATCCTCAGCTTCACCCTGCTTTACCATGGCCTCTTAGATACCGCCCCGGCCCCAATCCGGTGCAAGTTTAGGCTGGTGTACGTTTTGGTGCCATGCAAAGCCCTGCTTCACGCCATTGCCCAGGGATTCAGGATGCTGGCAGCTATGCCACCTTCACCATGTGGCTTCCAAAGTCAAGGTCTTCTTGGACATTAACCTCCAGCCGGCAGACGGCCAAAGAATATAGAGGTTGGGACATGGGGAGTGTCAGCAGGTCAAGCCTGGAGATGGTCTACATTAGCTCTGCCCAGAAGCCATTGACAAGGTGCAGCTATGACCACACCTACCTGCAAGCGAGGCTGGGAAATGTGACCTGGCTGGGGCTCAGGGAGAGGAGGAAATGGCGGGACACTCAGTTGGGAGTTTCTGCCTCAGCTGCTCCCCTTCAGAAGTCATTGCTCCTGACATTAACAGTTTTTACTTCCAACTGTTTCTTTCTTATGCACATTTCTGTATTTTTCATGGAATCATTGACTGCTTTATAAAACTGCTTATTTCACAAGGCGTCTTATGAACATCTTTCTTAGTCAACCGATACTTCCGAATTTTAATGACTGCCTCAGCCTCCCAAAGTGCTGAGATTACAGGCGTGAGCCACCGTGCCCAGCTGAAAAATGTTTTAGATAAAATAGGCCATTGGGTGTACATGCCATCCTGTAGTTAATTAATCAGGCTAACATGTGACAGGACCTCACTTTTTCCTTAATTTTCCCCTTTTTTAATTGAACGTCTCATTTATTTTCATTTTTTTTTAAGTAATTCACATGCTTGATGTTTTGAGGCATATCCTGACCACTCTGGTTGTTAAAAACACAAGCATGGAGCTTAGTGTATTTGAGGTTGGGGGAAGGAGTTGGGGACAGCCACACATCAAATAATCACATATATTAGTATATAATTACTAATTAAGATGTTACGATGAAGGAAGGACGGTGGTGCTGGAGGGCATTTCAGAAGGTCTTGACTGAATGACGGAGGGATCGGGAAGGCATGGCCACAAAAGGCTTCCCTAAGAAAGTGACATTTTAGCTAAAATCTGAGAATAGTTCCAAGCCCTTCTAATCACTGTAGTTTTCACACTATCTTGCCAGTAGTTTAAAATTCGATGCTTTAAAACTTAATTTGAAAGAGACGATATTTTGTATCCAAATAACACCAACAGCAAAAGACATGAATTTAATTTCTACTTGCAAGCCAGAGTCTCCCGGCACAGGAGGCTGCCCATGCCGCCTCATGCCTGCCATCCCTGGAGAGGACCAGATAGATGGTGCAGAGCCCCACTGTGCCAACCAGGGACCTTTGGGACAAGGAGCCAGGCTGAACCCAGAACGTCCCAGCTGGGGGCCAAGTGCTTCTGGGTGGAGTGATTTTGCCATTGTGCTGGCGCCAGAGGGCTGTGAAGACTTACGTTCACATGCCCCTTTGAGGGGGTTTTACCAGAATTAAAGGGCTTTCATGGCTTGACCTAATTGTCCTGGGCTGTGGAATTCTTTTTGGTTCCTAGTCAGTGTTCTCACCAAGACCCAACTAGTATAACAAACTTGCTATCGTTGCAGGAAAAAGAACCCATCTCAATGAAATGAGTCACTGGTTGGAAATGTAACCTGCAGGCATTGGAGGCTGTTCTAATTTCTCAAAGAACAAAGGCAGGCAATTTGACAGCTTTTGTTGACTGTCATAGAAATTTCCTGTGAGAGGGAGTCAGTTGCTTCATCTCAAGGAGGTCTGAAGAGGTAATAAGTTGTTTTTTTTGTTTTTTTTTTTTTCAATTGAACAAAATTTATCTAAAACATTTTTCAGCTGGGCACGGTGGCTCACGCCTGTAATCTCAGCACTTTGGGAGGCTGAGGCAGGCGGATCACCTGAGATCAGGAGTTCAAGACCAGCCTGGCCAACATGGGGAAAATCCATCTCTACTAAAAAAAACAAAAATTAGCCGGGCTTTGTGGCGTGCACCTGTAATCCCAGCTACTTGGGAGGCTGAGACAGGAGAATTGTTTGAACCCTGGAGGTGGGGTTGCAGTGAGCCGAGATTGCGCCACTGCACTCCGGCCTAGGTGGCAGAGTGAAACTGTCTCAAAAAATAGCATAATCCCATCTCTGTCACCTACTTGTTGAATGTGTTGATGAAAAGAGTCAAGTTCTGTAAAATCTTTGAAGAGATTTATTCTGAGCCAAATATGAGTGACCAATGGCCCATGACACAGCCCTCAGGAGATCCTGAGAACATGTGCCCAACGTGATCAGGGACAGTTTAGTTTTATACATTTTAGGTAGACATAGGCATCAATCAAATTCATGTAAGATGAACATTGGTTCTGTCCGGAAAGGTGGGTCAACTGGAAGCTGCAGGGCTTGGAGTGGAGGAGGATTCCAGATCATCAGCAGATTCAAAGATTTTCTGACTGGCAATTGGTTGAAAGAGTTAAGTTATTGTCAGAGGACTTAGGAATGTCTGGGTTAAGATAAAGGGTTGTGAAGACCAAGATTTAATCATGCATGTGAAACCTCCAGGTGGCAGGCTTCAGAGAGAATACACTGTAAATGTTCTATCAGTAATTCCAAAAGGGAGGAGGGCATAATGAGGCATGTCTGACCTCTGACCCCTGCCTCCCATCATGGCCTGAACTAGTTTTTCAGGTTAGCTTTGGAATGTCCTTGCAGAGAGGAGGGGTCCATTTAGATGGTTGAAGGGCTCAGAATTTTTCTTTCTTTTCTTTTTTGGTCTACAAATGACTTTGAACAAACTTTGTAATTTCCTTGTGCCTCAGTTTCCTCATCTATAGAATGACAATGATGGTAGTACCCAGCCCATTGTGCTTGTGTGAGGATTAAATACATTGATCTGTGGAAAGTGCTCAAAATGGTGCTTGGCCAGTGGTAAGAGTGACATGGGTGTTATTAGAGGCATCCTGAAAACCATCCTGGGGGCTGCAGGGTAGGCCTGGGCAGCAGGCTTAGAGCACAGCCCCTTCTCGGCCTTCAAGAGCTCTTCCTCCCTGAGGCCCGTGGGGCAGGGTCCAGCGGCCACAGAGACCCGTTCCGTGGTCCCTGGCTGCACTGCACACAACACTCCCACCACTGCTGACCTCCTGGTCTCTCTCACGGGCTGTGCCCCACATCCTCGGCTGCGGTCACTGCACATGAATGTAAAACCTGCTGCACAGGAAGGGTTGAAGGAGGGTGTGATCCTTGGGTGAAGTTCTAATCCCCACCGCCAGCCTCACTGGTCTCCCACAGACAATCAAGATGACAATGGCCACTTCCCAGGGTGGCGGCCAGGGTTGGAGGAGCCAATCCCAGGTCCCAGGTCCGAGGCGGTTGTTGGGCCTTATTGATGCCTGATCGCCATCTAGTGCCCGATAAGAGTCACTGAATCTCTCCCATTACAAACAGCTGGTAACGGTGAATGCAAGACTGGAAGATTCCACTGAAGTCGTTTAGGCTTGGGGCCACCCATTTTAGGAATCCCTTCTAAAGAATCCCCGATCCAGTTTCTGTTTAGAGTTTGATACCGGACTCTGTTGCATTTTTTAAAAACTCTAGGTGTGAAAATCCTATTCCTCAGCTGGAGTCTTATTCCTTACATTTTAACATGCAGTTTTACCCCAAAGGTCCCCAAAATGAATAGCAATAGAGAGGAGAAAGTGTCAAAGTGGGGGAGGCCTGACTCTTGTTGTATACTTGGCTGATATGCGATCACTGTTTCTAAGCATTCAATTCCTTTTCATTTCTTTCTGTCAATTAAGCAGCGCCTGCATTTCAGCTAAGATCCGGGAATAGAAAGGTAACAAAAAATGCACAGACTTTGCTCTCACCAGGCTGAGGCAAGGCCAGCTAAGAGAAAGCTACAGTCAACTGGATGGGACGTGAGGAGAATGAGACCCACGTCCTCAGTCCCCACTGCACCCAGCAATCACCAGGGATCACCCAGGAACCTTTAAACTGATGGCCAGGCTGCCTCCCAGATGCTCACATCTGACTCTGCAGGCCAGGCATTGACCTTTGAAGCCCCCTGTCATGCAGGTGCCCCATGGAGGGTGGGATTAACCGCCATCCAAAATTGGTTAGGCTGCCCAGACTGGTCCCTTCCATTGTTAGGTTGTGAAAAGGGTCACATAATGTGACTTTCTTGGGAGATCAAGTTGGGCTCCATACAGTCCAGGGGGCTTGAGAAAATAAAGTAGGTGCAATGGCAGTAGCATTGGTTCTTACTGTGGTTAAAAGTGAGCCAGCCAGGTTGAGGGTTCCTGCACAGAGGCCAGGATTTGAACTCCCCACGGGCACTCAGGCACCCAGGGAGAAGGCATCAATGTTCTCATCAACTTGCCTGGATGTGGTTCCAGCGGGAGGGAAAGATAACGGATTGAAAGCCATCAGTGGTCAAACATAAAAAATGGAGTCTTTCTCTTTGTTATCTTCCCCCAGGTCATCGCAGACAAGCCTGAGAACCACCCGATCAGATAGTCCATGTTTCCCCAGCCACCGAGGAGAAGAATTACCCTAGGGAACTTACTCAGCACTGATTCCCATGCCTCAACCCACAACCACTGATGAGCATTTCCAAGGATGAGGCTGGTCATGTGAGCATCTGTCCAAGGGGTTCTTATCATCTGGCAGGTTTGAGGAGTGCCGGGCTTGATTCTGGCTGCAGGAATGCACAGGTCACTTCCACTGAGAGCCCCTTTACAGGTGACAAGGGTTTTTCACACACCATGTGACTGACCTTCACACTGTGAGGCAGAAAGGGGAATGTTCGCCCTCATTTTCAGATGGGGAGCCAGGAGCTCAGGGACATCAGAGGAACTCCGGAAACAACAGTGCTGGGAGCCTTGAGGCTCAGCTTCTGGGTCATGCTCCCCATCAGACCTGGCGGGTTTTGCAGTCACTCCTCCACACTTACTTTTTCCTTCACTGTGCATATTGGGTCCTGCAAGAACAATCCCAAGAGAACAGGCCCCGGTCTGGAACAAGGAATCGGCCATCAAGATGGCCGGGGCTCACTGCCGGGATACAAGTGTCTCAGCTGCACGTAACCCAGGAGGGGCGGTGCTGCCCAGCTGGTCTCCTCTTCTCTAAAGGCAACACAAGCAAAAGGCTTTCTTGGTGCAGACTCTAGTCCTCTGGGTCTAGACTCCTGGGGGCACCCAGAAGGATTCCCTTTGGCCTTCTGAGCTCATAACTCCCACCACGTGTGCCATGTTTCTGTGTTTTGGGTCTCACCATTTTCAAGCCGATAGTGGCAAAGACTCTCTGCTTGACTGAACACTAGTCAGCCTTCTAAAACCTCTAGGCCCATCTGAGCACTTTCTTGTAAAACCCAGTTTGAGCAGAGAACCCACTAAATCAGTTGGCAAAAATGCTACACCTTCAATACCTGATCGCCCTTGATATCTAATCAGGTTTCTCATCCTCCACCCCCCCGGGTGCTGTCTGATCACCCTGGCCTGTTTTCAGCTAGAATCCTGGTAGGTTGGTTTAGCCAGAATCCCTTTTAACCCTGAGGATTTCCCTTAGTGGTTTCCATCCACTGCCCCCACCGTGCTCCTTGGCTGTAAATTCCCACTTGCATATGTCATGTTCAGAGTTGAACCTAATCTCTCCCCATCTGCAAAACCCCATTGCCGTGGTCCCAATGCCTATCTTGAGGGCTCCTTATGTGCTTTCACAAGTGTCATTGAATAATTTTTTCTTTAACAATAGATGTAACTGCAAAAAAGTTGCAGAATCTCCTATCATAGTGGAGCAAAAGAAAGAAGTGAACACTCCCAATGAGCCTCCCAGCCCCACTGTCCTCCTTGTGGTCCCCAACGAGTCATGTGAGGGATCAGTTGGATTTGGAGAGCTTGTAATTCAGCCACTCTTCAGGGAGAGTGCATCAGACACTAAATCAATTACTTCGACACATGCTCTTGTAGAGCACAAACATCTCTGACAGGACCACACTTGCTCAGCCCAGGAAACAAGCTACATGTTTCTAGGGAGTGTGTTAATCCAGCTGGTTGGTAGGAATGTGAGTTTCTCCAAACCTACCGCATGGCCTTGGGCTCTGTAGGGAGGCAGGAGTGAGTAATGGCAGTGAGGGAGCTGATCGTAAAATAAGACCCATGGCACACTTCATATCTGGAAGGAATTAAAAATCCAGCTGGGTTGGCATAGTCACTTTTGAAAACAGTTTGGCAGTTCATTAAAAAGTTATGTACATACTTGTGATATAACCCAGTAATTTCGCTCCTAGGTATCTATCCAAGAGAAATGAAAACATACATCCACAAAAAGGTTTCAACATGGATGTTCATAGCAATGTCATTCATAGGAGCCAAAAAGCAGAAATAACACAAATGTAGATATACTGATGAATGGATAAACAAAATGGGGTACATCCCTACGATGGAAATTGCTCAACAATTAAAAAGGAACAAACTACTAATACATGCAACAACGTGCTAAAACATTGTGTTAAGGGAAAGAAGCCAGACAGGCCAGACTACATGTTGTATTATTTCATTTCAGTGAAATTCTAGAAAAGGCAAAACTATGGCAGCAGAAAGCCATAGATCCATGGTTGCCTGGATGGGGATGGGAGTGGAGATTGACTGCAATTTTGAGAGGTGATGGAAGTCTTCTAACAGTGGGTTGTGATGATGGTTACACAACTGTAACCATTTACATTTCCTAAAAGTCATTGAACTGTAGATTTTAAAAAGTTATGTAAGTTATACCTTAATGAAGCTGTTCTAAAAATCTAATTGAGTAAAGTGTAATACAACTCACCCAGCAATTAGCAACACCATGGATGTCTTTGGTTTTTAAAGTATTGCTTGATTTTGAACCTCACCTTTGTATTCTCCAGGGCAGATTACACGTGTCCAGGAGCTTCACGACTGTGTCCAGAAGCTTCACGACTATGTGTGGAATCACGAATGAATGAGTGTGCCGGCCCGCATGCTTACGTGGTGCCAGGCACCATTCTAAACACACACATGTTATCACCTCATTTAATCCCCAAGGTAAACCTAGGAGGATGGCATTTGATTATTATTATACCCCAGTTGAAGAAACTGGGGACAGAGAAGTTGCTTAGCTTGTCCCAAAGTATTTCACACTTTGAATTGGTAATCCCCACTACTTCAGAATGTGACTGTGAAGACAGGGCCTCTAAAGAGGTACTTAAGTTAAAAGAAGTTGTTAGAGTGGACCCCAAAACCAATATGACTGGGGTCCTTATAAGAAGAGATGAGGACACAGACACACACACAGGTTCTCTGGAAAAAACCCACACAAAACCTTTTGTGGTTAATAAACCACCCCTATTGTAAAATGCTTCAGCAACTGTTCCTTTTCCATCCTTGCCTCAACAGAAGTCTGGCCACGCTCTGAAGGAGGTGCTCCCCAGTAGTTTTCTAGTGTGTCTGGCCATTCTCCTACACCCCCGAATCTCTCCTCTTCCTGCTGCCTTGAGCCTGTTACTCCTCCCTCTTTGTAGCCAGTTGCCTACCAGACATGTCCACTTGGCATCACAGCTTGATATAGACAAACTTCACCATGATCCTCATCTCAATGAATGACTCATCATCAAGCCAGTTGTCAAATACAGAACCCATATATGGGGTCTTCATTCTGTCGCTCAGACTGGAGTGCAGCAGTGCAATCATAGCTCACTGCAGCCTCAAACTCATGGGCTCAAGAGATTCTCTCACCTCAGCCTCCTGTAGCCCATTCTTGATCCCTCTCTCCCCCTTACATGTAATCAATTGCCAATCCCATTGGTTCTACTCCCCAGCTGTCTCCAGAATCTTCTCCCAGTCTCTAGTCATCCCTAGAATCACTGCCCTAGTTCAGGGCCCTGTTGCCTTTCTCCCAGTTAGCTAAAACAATTCTGTATTTTCTGTCCCTGCCTCCCACTTCCCTCACAATCTATTCTCCACACTGGAGCCAAGGACTTCTAAAATGCAAATCTGAGATGTCATTTCTCTGCTTAAAACATTTTAATCACTCCCCATTGCCCAGAGTAATATTCAAAATCTTTACCACAGCTTATAAGGTCATTCATAATGGAACAGGGATAAAATAAAATCTGCTGGGTAAGTATTTACATTCCTTCTCTCCTGTGAGCCCTCCCACTGCCCTCCACACACATGAGTACCCTCTAATGAAGGAGAGTACTGTGATCTGAGCTTTAATTTTTCCTTGCTCAGGGCAGTGAGTGAGCTGCCCAGCTGGAAGAAGCCCGGAATGCCTAGACTGATTTGCTTCAAAACGAACAAAAGCAAGTTGCTAAAGAACTCACAGACCTGGCTCCCAGTCCCCGAAGTGAAACTAGGTTTGGACCTCTTAGCCACCTAGTAACTGCAGAAGCCTTGCCACAGGGAGCCATTGGTCCAGGGGCAGTGCCCAGAGAGAGGCAATGTTCCAATGGAACCTATTACCACAAGTATCAAAAACAAATCAAAGCCACTGCCTGGAGAGCTTGCATAATTATTTCAGATGTGAAAGAAGGCATACGTGTGGAGCTTAAAGTTTTAAAAGACATATTTCCTTGAAAAGTATATCTATATACTCATCTTATTATTATACTCATCTCTTGGAAATAATAAAAATAGCTAAAATTTCTCAAGTATTTATTATGTGATGTGCATTTTACAAACCGTCTATCTTTAATCTTCTTACCCTTATTACATCCATTTTGCTGGTAGAGAAACTGTGACTTTGAGAGATTTAGTAACAGTTGTACATAGCTAGTAAGTGGCAGAGCCAGGAAACAAACCTAGACTTCCCTGGTACTGAAGCCCAGGCAGGTGATTGTTGCGCTAGAGCATCTGACAGTTCTGTTGAGACAAGGTGGATGTCTCAGGTCAGGTCAGATTCCCTGGAAGCACAGCCCAAGTCAGGGATTCAGGTCAACATGATCTATAGGGAGGGGTCTCTTTCGGAGACACCTGTAAGGGAGGGAGGAAGCAGGAAAGGGGAGAGAAAGGAGGAAAACAAGAAGGTGGCCTCAGGTAAAGTCTAACCTTGGCTTAACCCATGGAGCAGGTGTGTGGTGGTGGTAGGGTGTTTGGTACATAAAATGCGCCTTAGAATTATACCACCTGGAGGCAAGGGAAATGGGCTTTTATACTCCCTATATCAGCCAGCACTCATATAGATGAAGGATGAGTACCCCAAGAGGTAAAAAGAATCTAGCAAATTCTACTACTCCAAAAATACATGAATAATTAAGCAAGCAAGCAGTGAAGTTTCTCAAAATCTCTAAATCTAAGTTGGGATAAAAATGTCATTCTTTCCTGCCCATTAGAACACACCTGAAATCTCTTAGATTTCCCTAACTCATGAGGCCATAATCACAAAAAATGTGGCCAATGGCAGGCAGAAGTCTAATATGGCCCAGGATCCCTGCCCACAGTGTTCATGCCCTGAGTCTCCCTGTACCCTTTGGGTGCTGGCAGGACCACCACTTCTTCTCATCAATAGAATATGGCAGAATTGATGAAATAGGGACTGTTACTTCCTTGATTAGATTACATTATTTCAGACTCTACCTTATTCTGTGGCTTCTCCTCCTCTTTCCAACCTTTGAATACTGCATTCCTAAGGTTTGGGTCATGGTCCTTTCTCTTTTTAAAAATGATATTTTTCTTGGGCTTTTCTTGTATTTCTATTCCACCTATTTTTCTCTTCCTAGGTGATTTTTAAATGTTCTCATGGATTTAAATACCATTTTTATGCTGAAACACACCAGATTTATACCTCTAGGTAGGATCACTCTTCTGAGGTCTAGACTCACATATCCACAGTTGATATTTCTAGTTGAATGTCGCACAGTCATTTAAATTTAACATATATAAAACAGAACTCTTATTTCCCCCAACTGACCATACCCCCAAATGGATCCCCTCACATTTTAATTTAAAGCAGCACCATGCAGGCAGGGCTCATGTCAGAAGCAAAGAAAGAAAGAGAGTGAGAGAGAGAGGAAGGGAGGAAGAAAGAGAGAGAGGGAGGGAGGGAGAGAGAAAGGAAGAAAGAAAGAGAAAGAAAGAAAGAGAGAGAGAGAAAGGAAGGAAGGAAGGAAGGAGGGAGGGGAGAAATGAAAGAAAGAAAGAAGGAAGGAAAGAGAAAGAAAGAAAGAAAGAAAGAAAGAAAGAAAGAAAGAAAGAAAGAAAGAAAGAAAGAAAGGAAAGAAAGAAAGAGAAAGAAAGAAAGAAAGAAAAAGGAAGGAAGGAAGGAAAGAAGGAGGGAAGGAAGGAAGGAAGGAAGGAAGAGACTGTATCTCAGCAAAGAGATTCTCCTGCTGGCCTTGAAGAAGTACCAGCCATGCTGTGGGAGGCCTCTGGAGAGAGCCACATGGCAGGAAACTTCCAGTGCCCTCTTGGAGATCCTGAGAGCAGCCCCTGCTCGTAGCCAGCAGCAAAACAGAAACCAACTTCAGCCCTAGGGGCACAAGATCAAATCTGTCAACAATGGGAGAGGGCATGGAACCAGACTCTTCCCCAGTCAAGGACCCAGATGAGAACACAGACCAGTTAGCATCTGGACTGTAGGCTTGTGAGACCCTGAGCAGTGAATTCAGCTAAGCCATGGCCAGACTGCTGACCCATGGAGACTGTGAGATGCTTTAAACTGTTAAGTTTGCTCAGTTTGATAGGCAGCAATAAAACACTAATATAGGGTGATGTTGAGTAATGGACTGAATTTGTGATTCATGTGACGATTAACATTTATATAAGCTTAAATATACTCCAGAAATACAAAGACTATTATTATACCTGTAGGAAAAGGAATTAGAAAACTCTCATGGAGTATAGCATAATGAATTCACTCAACAACATGTAATTAAATGCAGCAAAGTTCATTTTGGGACTCTTTACAAGACTTCATACCTAACATTTTAAGCAGACATCAGCACACAACAAATCATAATTTATCAAGCTACAAAGACACTTCAAGTATCTAATTTGTTAATAAAATCTCACATTTTACATCTCAAATAATTGTCCCAAATTATTACGATATAATTACTCTATATTTTAGTAATAGGAAGGTACTCATTTTATTTTCTTTTAAAGAAAGATGTTTTGTATTCTTTTATGGTTATTCAGGTGTGGCCACCAAAGGGGACAGAGGAGACAAAAATAACCTGTGAATATAATATTCACAGGTTCGAGAGACAGGAAGCACAGCACATCACATAAGGCCACATGGGAAAGACACCAGGATGGTCAGAGGCAGAAGACATGAGGTTTAGGCCACTGTCTTTGTTTGGGTTTCTGAAGGAAAAGCAGGGTAGGGCAGGGCAGCAAGAACAGTTTAGTGTGTAGTTTAGTTTAGGATTGGCTAGTCTGAATAATTGTAGCAGACTTTGCACTATCGGGTCTCTAATTGCCTAGTACCTGGTCCTAGGATGATTAAGGCAGAAGAATATTGACTCCGGGGATATTTGGGAGTATAGATAGGTAGTCTCAGCAAGGGTTAGGTGCATATCAGAGGCATGCTCCTGGCTGGGCTGCTTAGTATCTTTAAGAATTGGCTACCTTGGCTGGGCGCGGTGGCTCACGCCTGTAATCCCAGCACTTTGGGAGGCCGAGGAGGGTGGATCACTAGGTCAGGAGTTTGAGACCAGCCCTACCAACATGGTGAAACTCCATCCCTACTAAAAAAAAAAATACAAAAATTAGCCAGGCATGGTGGCACGTGCCCATAATGTCAGCTACCCAGGAGGCTGAGGCCGGAGAGTTGCTTGAACTCGGGAGCAGAGGTTGCCATGAGCTGAGATCGCACCATTGCACTCCAGCCTGGGCAACAGAGGGAGTCTCCATCTCAGAAAAAAAAAAAAAAGAATTGGCTACCCCAGGAGGGGCAGTCTCACCCAGCCAGAGAAGTTTTTATATACAGAAAATTTAAAAATATTTGCAATACCAGAGAAATAACGCTTAAATATTGGGGTTAGAATAACAAAGGAAAACTAGCTTATATTTGCAATGGCTTCATTGCACCTCTCACTTTAAAAATCTATAAAGATAGTCAAATACAAAAAGGAAGAGCCAGAAGTCAATATCAAGGTAAAATTTCTGCCATGGTATAAACTCTGCAGATGGGTTGAGAAACACATACTCCATCGTCTGAAGTGGAAAAAAAGAAATCTAATTCTCTACAATTTTCTGCTGCTGTTTTTTTTAAAAACAATAAAAACAAACAAGAAGCCAAAACAGCCAGGTGGCCACCTGTCAGTCAGCTCTGCAGACGATTTCTTCTCAGTTAGGAAGGCCCAAAGTTCATCACTCTCCCCTAGCCCTCCCAACGTGGGCTGGTCTCTCCACACCTACTTTCATAGACTGTAATTCTCCGCAGGCCACAGGGTGGGCAGGGCAGGGAATGCACCAACGTGGCTGCTTTTGGGGTATCTCTAACAATAAGCAGAGGTAGCATAAAGCCAGGAGCCCTGAGTACAGAGGAATCCCGGCCTGACACTCACCCCTCTAGGCAAAGACTCACACCCTTCATTGAACTCACTACCAGTTTAGTCAGGACAAATGAAATGGCTGTTGGTTCAGGACAGGAGTCAACATCTATCTTGCACTAGCAGGAACAAGAATCTATCTTTGCTGATGCTCTAGGCCTGCTGCGGTGCAGATCTTCACAGCAACCTTAGAAGGAACACCCTGTATTAAGGGTTTCTCTGTACATAGTGGACTGTAACCTAATTGGACATATAAACAGGCTATAACCTATTCCTGTGCCAATCACGGAGTTTCAGCCCATCACAGGCCGCCCACTGTTCACACTGTGTTCCAATAAGGCAACGCGGAGCTACAGCCAACCTGGCCGTTTTCTGTCCCTCACTTCTGTTTTCCATAAGTCACTGGCCTTTTTCTGTCCATAAATGTTAACCAACCATGTGGCAGCCACAGAGTTGCTCAGAATTTATTTTAGTTCTGGGGGGTGTCCGATGCATCAGTTGTTCTTTGCTCAATTAAACTCTGTCAGATTTAATTTGTCTAAAGTTTTTTTTTTCTTCTTCTTCTTTTTTAAACACTCCATTCTGTAGATCTCAGAGCTAGTAAGTGGCTGAGTTGGGGTCTGAATCCAGGGCCTGGGCTTTTAACCACTGGGCCATATGGATTCCCAGAATTGGAAGTGCCTAAAAATTCTTGCAAATTGGCCATATATATATCTCCATTTATATCCATTTCCCAATTATATATATACACACACATATATCTGTAGTTGTCTTTATGTTTAGATCTGAGAGCTGGAAGCTGCCAGACTCTAAAAAGAGAGGGGCAAAATCTGTTCCAGCTGTCCTGTGCATTGACAAGCACTCAGCCTAGGTAGAATTCTTTATTCTCCATTTCTGAATGAACAGGAACAAAAAAAAAAAAGAAAGAAAGAGAAAGAAAGAAAAAAACCTACTCCTGGGCCCTCGTAGCTTCTGCCTCAAGATGGTATGCAAATGACGATGCAAGTAATTAGCATTAGTAATTAGGAAATGTGTTAGAGACACTGACGACCTCTCCCACAGATGCCGTTTGCATCCCCAGCAGCAGAAAGATTTGTTTGCAAATTACTTTCCACCAAGTCTATTAGAATTTCGTTTCTGGCCTATTTATTTATTTATTTATGCCACACACAATATTCAGGAATCAATTTATTGCTGTCTGGAGATGACTTTCACTGATGAGGACAAAGTCGTTTCCCGTCACTCTTAATACTGTCATTAGCATGAATCCTGTAGTCTCACTAGCTCCCCAGGAGCTGCTGTTTTTGACTCCTCATTGAGTGATTTGCAAATTTAACCTTTGCTATCTGAGATCTCACCAGGTCTCTCCAGGAGGGACCTGGGTGTCTCCCTAGGAAACTCTGATACTGACATGCCCCTGCCCCCACCCCACCCTGCCCCTGGACACCATCCCTGCGCCATCACGCCCCTCTCACCTCAGCTAACAGCTCAGGGTTTTTCTTTCCTCGATTCTAAACCTGCCTTCTTCAAACTCATGCCTTGGACTCCTGGTTCCAGGCCTACACAGAATATGCCCAGGGGATCACCTGGAGTAGTGGAGAGAGAATACATTTTTGATTCAGAAGCCAATCAAGTTATTTGATACAAAACATGTCCTCCCTGAGCCCTTTTTTAAGAAAATCCTTAAAAACATTTGTCTAGTTTATATCACAACCATCTTAGTAAACGCCATCTCCCAATATTACATAAATGCAACTCCTTCTAAAAGAGTTTACTTGCATTGTTCTTATTATGCTATTTCTTTTAAGTGTCCAAACAGAAAGAAGATGTAAATTTGTTACGCTTAATGCCTTTATCTACTCCACAATCAAGACAAATTGACAAAATGATTAGAGAAAGCCCCGGGAGAAGAGCTGGACTGGCACACCCTGGAGGCTGGTGGTGAGGGGCAGGGACAGCAGCAAGAGGCTGGCAGCTTGGACAGCCACCACAACCCCCAGGGACCCCAAGCCCACTAGGGGGTGTGTGGTGGGTGGTGAATACCCCCAGGTTCAATCAGGGGGCCCATGAGAACCACCCTCTCCTCCCACTGAGGACTCCAAAAAGGAGCAATTGGGCAAGAAGACACCAGGAAAAGATGGCACTGCCCACTAATCAGGCAGTGGGGGGCTCAGGACATAGATGTGGCATCATCAGAAAGGAGGCATGTCTCGTTCATTGATGGGTGTGTTAGGGAAGCAGGAGCATAGGAGAGCCAGAGAGACACCATTTTGAAATCAAGGCACATTCCTTGCTAGTCATGACCCATGGTCATTACATGTTTAAGGCTGAGGAAGCAGCTTAATAACACCTGCAAGGACACACTCCTCCGACAGCGGACTGTTTGGCTGGCCCAATATAGTTACGCGCTAAATGCATTTACGCAGTAAACGCCAGGAATCATTTCCTTTAAATCAGCAAAGTAATAAATGTTGTCATGCTGTCAGCCCGCCCAGATGCAGATATAGCTTAGCTTTTACATAGATAAGACCCCTATATAAGAAAAACTTAAAACAAAGAGGAGGCTTTCCTCCTCCTGCCTTCTGAGAATGCCCTACTCTGAGCAGCTTTCCATAAACTCTCTGTCTTCTCACTGCACCCTGTGACTCACCTTGAATTCTTTCCTGCGCGAGATCCACGAACCCTCTCTTGCCGTCTAGATAGGGACCCCTTCTTCTGGCAACAGGTGCAGCTAGGAGACCAAAGGTCTCCCCTCCTTACTAATCATGCTTAGTTTCCAAAAAGTAGTTCTTTAAGGATGGAAAAGTCAGTTTTGATACCTAATGACCATTATTTTATATAATAATCCTACTCATACTTGTATTTAAAGCCTTTTAAAAATAATATTAATACCATTATTATTATTCATTTTTCCTTCTCTCCTAACTAAATGGAAAAGGGCTGTCTTCATTCCAATTTCTCAGTTAATGTTTAACAGATAAATATGTTCTTTCATAAAAGTCCAGACTTTCAATTAAAAATATGAAATTCATTTAGTTCAAATTATTCTTTTGGGCTGGGTGCGGTGGCTCACACCTGTAATCCCATCACTTTGGGAGGCTGAGGAGGGCAGATCACCTGAGGTGAGGAATTTGAGACCAGCCTGGCCAATATGGTGAAACCCTGTCTATACTAAAAATACAAAAATTAGCTGGGTGTGGTGGTGTGTGCTACAAGCTACTCGGGAGGCTGAGGCAGAAGAAGCTCTTGAACCTGGAAAGCTGAGTTTGCAGTGAGCACCACTGCACTCCAGCCTGGGCATTGCAACAAGACTCCAACTCAAAAAAAAAAAAAAATCTATAGGACTTTGATTTCATCAAATTTGGCTACAGAAATCTGCATCTTCCAATTAGGAAACTAAAGAAATAAAATTAGGGTAGGGTTCAGAGGGATGCTTTAAAATGTCTCCTTCTTCTTTTCTGGTAAAAGTAGGAAAAGTCCCAGATTCTCTTTGTTTATTATTGTTATCATTATTGTAGTAGTCAGATACAATCAACCAAACTGTACCGAGAGTGATTCTGTAAGATGAGGAATGGACAACACATTGTCGGCCCCATCACATGGGGCCTCCCTCTCAATGCAGGACGAGCTTTCAGGGGCTACAGGCCCAATCATTTTCCCATTTTCCAGCTGCCCGGCTTATTACCTCATACTTTCTCCAGAGATTCCCTATATGATTCTAGGATATCTTTGCATTATTATTATGTGGTGATGTGTTTGCAATGTTTACAATACATTACAGGAGATGGGCTCTAGGAGATGTCTATAATCAGAGCTGTGAATTTTGATCTTTTGGTTCCAGACAAATGGTCACGGATATGTGTTCATCCCTGTAAATTGATAGGGGTGTATCTATATATCTTTTACTTCATTATATTGGTTCAGTGAATTAAGTCATTCCGTATAAAGTACTTATGCTTTCAGCATTAGATATTAATGTTACAGAAAGTAATACATATCTCCATCTTTTTAATATTCGAAGCAAATTTAGGCTGGGCGTGGTAGCTCATGCCTGTAATGCTAGCACTTTGGGAGGCCGAGGTGGGTGGATTGCCAGAGTTCAGGAGTTCGAGACCAGCCTGGGCAACATGGTAAAACCCCATCTCTACTAAAATATAAAAAATCAGCCAGGCGTGGTGGTGCACACCTGTAATCTCAGCTACTCGGGAGGCTGAGGTGGAAAGATTGCTTGAGCCCAGGAAGTGGAGGTTGCAGTGAGCCAAGATCACACCACTGCACTCCAGCCTGGGCAACACAGTGAGACTCTGTCTCCAAAAAGAAAAAAAAAAAAAAAAAGCAAATCTAGTATGGAGTACTTTTCAACTTTTAGATATAAGCCAAAAAGTTGAGATGAAAGCAGAAGGGTAAGAATAAGACATAAGACAGAACTTGCTTTATTGGTCACCCTCTGTTGAGGGCTGTGCATTTGGACAGTGAGCCAGGGGCTGGGCTCACAGTGCTTAGCGTCCACTTCTCCAATGGCTCTGTCCAAACATGCAGGTTGTAGGTCAGGCTGTCTCTTACACAATCACATACCCATTATTTGCAGAAAGGAGTAGGGTGAGGGAGGACAAGGAGAGAGAGAGGGAGAAATAAGGCATATCTCAGAATCACCCTTCAGAAAAAAACCTTACTCAACTCCAGAAGACCCAGGGCCAGATTAACCTCCTTTAAAGTGCAAGGGGAGAGGGCAGACTCATCTCCCGGGAGGACTATGGAATCAGCATTGACTTCTTCCCAAAGCCTCAGGACCAAACACTGGAAGGTTAATGGGTGGCTAAGCTGGTGAAGGTCAGACCCCTTACCTGGTTCACGTAAGGCAATTATAAAACACGTTCTAGATTATTCCATAACTTGGTTGACATGAGGGCCTTTTTTCAGGCGTGCATGAGTATGTTATGGATATTATTAAAAGTCCCTAAAGCTAGCCAAGTGATATCATTGAATTAGTAGAAAACAGTACCTCCTAGATAAACATAGCAGTCTCTGGATGATCTAAAGTTAAAATAATGAAAAATAATGGCAGCTCTCACTTATAAACCCCTTTCCTAATTCTGGATATTGACCTAAGTGCTTTGCTGATATTAACCTAAATTATCCTCAGAACAATTCTATTAGGTGGGCAGGGGAGAGCAGAGGAGAGGATAGCTATGCCAGCTATCACTCACCACAACCTGAAGGCACATCCAGAGTTAATTGGATGATAAGAATAATTGCTTTCATCTCTTGAGCACATCTCACGTACTCCACGTTACCCAGGAAGCAACTGTGACCCAGAGACCCTAAGCAATTCCCCTGAGGCCATGCAGACACTAAAGACCAGAGCAGATGCCATCCCAGGGCATCAGACTCCTATGCCCAACCTCCTAAGGAACATGGGGCCCATTTCAAGGTGGATCCTCAGAAAGGTTCCGACTCCCATGCTGGGCACAAACAGGCTCCACCACCTACAAAAAAGAGAACCAAGGGCACTGTTCATTTTGAAGAAAGCCAAATTCTTCCATTTGAAGAGCACTTCTTTATTCTGATAGTGTCCTTTCTAACCTTTTCTTTCTAGTAGAATGTCCTTTCTTTGGTAAATTGGTGGTGCTAAGAAAAGGTAGTTTGTTTATCTTAACATCATTTTTAAAGCAAAATTTTGTCAACATATATGGTCTCCCAAATATATATATCTGTACAAATTATTGTGAGCCACATTATCCTAGGGTCTGTGAGTGACCTATCTAGCATCTGTGTCCCACCTATGTGTTGGCAAAGGAAGGATGGTGACAAGGGCCCAGCACCAGGGGAGGGGGAGAAGATGCCCCCTGTGTCCTGGCCACAGGGCAGTTCTCACCTGGTCTTTCTCCATTAGTGCTTGGTCAGGGAGTAAGGCTTATGCTTTACATCCCCACTCTTGGGACTTGGTGCCCAGGTTCCTACTCTTTGCTCAGAAGCAAGTGGCCACACCTGTTGGACAGCAGATGTCCCCAGAAGATGTGTCAGTGGAGTCTATACTCTGGAAAGCTAAGTACTGAGCTGTCCCTCTGTCCCTATTGCTCTCTTGGGACAACCTGAAGGTCATTCTTGCTTTGGGGCTGGGAGTATTTTGCCTTTTTCCTCTTTCCAGCAGCCTCCCCCTTCCTTTGCTCGCTCTCTAGTCTTTGACAATGGAAAATGGCTTCTGCAAGAATCTTTTCACTTTATGCCCAGGTGTCTTCCTTCAGAGGTTTCTTTGGGTCTTTGCCTCAAGTTTGAGACCGGGGTGGCCTGGGGGACCCAGGGGAGAGCAGAGGAGAAGATAGCTATGCCAGCTATCACCCACAACAACCTAAATGCACATCTAGAGTTAATTGGATGATAAGAATAATTGCCTTCATCTCTTGAGCACTCACCCATTATGGGGTGAAGGGCTGGGCGGAAGTCACATAGTCCCAACAACCCTTCGAGGGAAGTTTTATTATTCTGCTTTTATAGAATGAGAAGACTGAGATATAGTGAGTCTGAGTAAATTTTTCCAAAGCATCATAGTTGGTGAATTAGGATCTGTCTAACTCCAGATCCATCTAACTCCAAAGCCAGTGGGTCTCATTCTATGTGTACCGCCACCATCACCAGTGAGCAACCCTCCTCCTTCCACCTGGAGACAGGTCCCTTATGCACAACAAGCTGCAGCTCTTCAAGGGTCTCTGAGCAAGATCAGCTCTGCCCCTGTTACCACAGAGCTCTTCCACAGAGAGGATTTCCATGGTGAGAAAAATCACAGACCCTGTGCCAAATTCCAGATGCTTCAATGGGCAAGAAGTATCCAAAGGAAAGAGACCTCCCTTGGCTTCCATCCATCTGCACGGTGAACCTGGCCTTGTAAAAGCCTCTCTGCATTCTAAAAATCCTTGCCATATGTCACCAAAGAATCACAGACTTTGGGATTTCTTGCTGTCAGAATAGACACCACTTACCCGCTCTGTCCACCTGCCTTCAGGCCCCTCAGTGGAGAGCTTACTTTTTACCTGAGACTTGAATGCAGTTTTCGGCTCATGTCACCTGTGATTCCTTCCATAGGACCTGCCGGGGGCCTTCACATAGGCATGGAATAAACTAGAAAGATCGAGCCTCCCATCCAGGCAGTCTGAAAGTATCACCTGGATCCTGGGAGCCTGTACGTTAGAGCGAGGCGCAGACTCCACCTTCCTAGCCAGGGGTCTATGGGGATTAAATCCAGAGCACAGACCCCAAATCTACACCTCAGAACATGTGGAGATAGGGTATTTGGGCCATGGGTAACAATTAAATCAGAACATAGAAAACAATTAAAGGCCAATTGTAAGATGTCAAAGAACTTTGAATTTCAGATTTTCAATAGGTTGAATATAGTTATCAAGGATGCATCGTTTTAACATTCCTTCATGTCTACCATTACGTCAATAAGAAAATCAGTTGTGTAAAAAATCTACTTAATGATACAAGGAGTTTCTATCTGGAAAAACAATTCTAAAAATTTTCAGGAAATTAGAAATAAAATGCCTGAAATAACTGAAATAATAATAATTTTGGACTACAGCTCTTTAAAATAAAACTGTAGCTAATAAATTATTATCTACTCACTCAAAATAAGTTTCAAGAAAGGATAAAATATACCTGAAAATTAGAGTTGAAAATATTTATTTCTTGTAAACCTGTGATTGCCAGTAATAAGTTTTTGTTTTCCCAAAAAAAGAAAAAAACAAACCTTTTGTGAATTATTAGAAATTTACCAAAGGTTAAAGGAGAAGAAAGAGCTCTAATGATGAGCTCAATTTGACTTCTATGAAAATATCCAAAGTTCTATAATCAATCATAGCATATCTATTTATTTACTAATGCTGTGTAGCAAATTACCACAAAACACAGTGGCTTAAAGTAACCACAGTCATTTTTTATCTCTCTTGGATTCTGTGGGCCATCAATTCAAGAGCAGCTTGATTTTATGATTCTGGCTCTGAGTTTCTCACGGAGCTGAGTCAGATTTCAACTGGAGCTGCCATCATCCGAAGGCTTGATGGGGGCTGGAGAATCCAATTCCAAGATGGCTCACTCATATGCCTGGCAGGCCAGTTTTGGCAAGTCTTCTTCTCCCCATGTGGACTTCACCATAGGGTTATTTGAGTGTCCTCACAACCTGATGCTAGCCTCCCCCAGGGCAAGTGACCCCAGAGAGCAAGGTGAAACCTGAAATACCTCCTATGTCCCAGCCCCAGAGTTCACACATTGTCACTTCTGCCACATACTATGAGGCGCAAAAAACCAGCACCAATTCAGTGTGGGTGGGGATACAAAATGGCATAAGAAATGAGAATCATTAAGGGCCATCTTGTAGCTAGTTATTACAGAACACTATGGACTAAGATATCATGGGTGGGATCATCATTATCTAAGCATATAAGATAACACACAATAATATATCTTTTAGTGCAATGAATTAACAGCAGCCAATCTAGTACTTTATATTTTCTATGGCTGTTTTACTAAAATCAGTGTTGCTATTTTTTCATTAATAAATAGGTAAACAAAATAATGATAAAAGTATTTTTGCCAATCATAAAAGTATTTCTACAAAAAATCAAAATTCATTTTAATAAAATGTGGCATGGCCTGTGATAGAACGGGCAAAAGACCAGGCTATGCAAATACAAAGGAGTCTTAGCAAACTTCCTGAAATAAATGCCAATCACTGTATGCATATGATCACCATGCACATGTGTATGTGTATACATAAATATATGTACCTACACCTATAATATATCTGTATATTTTTATGCATATAGTTTGAGGTTTTTGAGGATTTGAATTATTTACAAAATGATATCACTATTGTTGTATTACTTAGGATTAGTTTATGTTATACATAACAAAAAAATAGACTGGGCGCCGTGGCTTACGCCTGTAATCCCAGGACTTTAGGAAGCCAAGGTGGGTGGATCACCTGAGATCAGGAGTTCAAGATCAGCCTGGCCAACATGGCAAAACCTCATCTCTACTAAAAATACAAAAAAATTACCTGGGCGTGGTGGCAGGCACCTGTAATCCCAGCTGCTCAGAAGGCTGAGGCAGGAAAATCACTTGAACCTGGGAGACGGAGGTTGCAGTGAGCCGAGATCATGACACTGCACTCCAGCCTGGGCAACAAGAATGAAACTCCATCTCTCTCTCTCTCTCTCTCTCTCTCTCTCTCTCTCTCTCTATATATATATATATATATATATATATGTGTGTGCGTGTGTGTGTGTGTGTGCGCGCGCGTATATATATATATATATGTTTTAGCCAGTATATTATATGTGTGTATATATGTCTATATATGTGTGTACATATATACATATACACACATGTATATATATAGAGACGCATATATATGTGTGTATATATGTGTATGTGTGTGTATATGTATGTGTGTGTATATATACATATATACATATATACTCACATACACACATATATGTATATGTATATATACATATATGTGTGTATACCTACATATATATATACACACACATATATATAATATAGTGGCTAAAACAAAATAGAAGATTTTCTCTCTTCCTTAAGAGAAAGCAAGAGGTCAGCACAAGGTTGATAAAGTAGCTCCATAGTCGTCAAGGACCCAAGCTCTTTCTCTCTTTCTAACCTTCAAATGTATGGTTTCCATTCTCATGTTTGTTTCATCGTGCAAGCTGGCTACTGGAGCTCCGTCAATCTGAATTCTAGGCTATGAGGAAGAAGGAGAAAGAAGAGAAGCCAAAAGAGGACACAGCTCCCAGTGAGGCCAGTTGACTTTAAGGAGTTTCTCAAAAGTCCCACACGATGCTTCTGCTTATGTCGCATTGACTGGGACTTAATCACATAGTCTTACCCACATGCAAGGGCAGTTGGGAAATGTAGTCTTTATTCCAACCAGCTAACATTAGGGTTATTTCTCTGGTTCTCTTAAAAAGGGACAAGAAAATGGATCTTGCATAGGAAAATAGCAATCACTCCCAAATTGTCAATTTTTATAAGACATGATTTACATTGCAGTAGGTATTGAGTAGATTTTTAAGTATTTGAAATACTGGAAGTTTGTGAAACAAATGTACTAAACAATTCCTCAATGATACGAGTTTATAGACATTTGTCTAAATTTAAATTATCATATTTTTACCAAGTGAGTGTTACACACTTTTAAAAATACGCTTCAAAGTGAAATGAGGGATTTTCTTTTTCAAAGGAAACAAAAATACTGTTGTTATAATTTCAGAGAAATGATGAAAGTTTCAAAGAAGCTTGGAAGGAGTAAAGGGGTTATGCCAAAATTAATTTCTGACGGGTTTTGAAACAAAAATAACCTTCCCAGTTGAAGAGTTGAAATATCAGAATGGAAGATACCGGGACAAGAATGACTTAATCTTAAATGTTAATCTGCCGTGTCACTTCTAACTAACCCCAAGTCTGGGAATGCCTCCAAAATGTTGTTGATAAATTACTCTTTATGCAGGAACACCTATTCACCGTAAGTTTTCTTCCAAACAACCCTTGATGTTGTTGCAGAAATCATAGGCTGTGATACCTTAGCTACCTACACATTCCTTCCAGAGCACATATCCTTTTTCCCCAAACACAATCCCTGGGTCTAGGGGGTTATGGTGTGGCAATCTACCTGTCTTGTGGCCACCCAAGACCACACTTCTAACTCTAAGTTCTCCCACTGAATCATCCCATACTGACAAACAGGATTTGTCTACCTTTCCCTTTGGTCTCTCAGCTCCTTCAGCATTTTGGGGGGTTACTTTGCATATATGGCTGTTTTACAAAACAGAAGTATTTCATAGGAATGATGATTGCAGTGATGTGGTTGGTGTGTTAAGAGAACAGTAAAAATCAGTGTACAGAACCAACATTTGTGTATATAAAACAAAATTTTAATTTTTATGGTAACTTAGAGAAAAAGATAAAAATTAGAGCCATATTTAAATGAAAGGAGTCATTATATGTAATATAAAAAATCAAATATGTGTGAGAATTTTACAGATTCATTGCAAAACCTCATCCCAGAAGTTCAATATACTTGAAGCTCTCAAATTGTTTTTCTGTTGCTATCTAGCTAAGTAATCTTGGCTGTTTGTTAGATGGTCTTCGAAAGAAAGTTATTGGGTCATCAGCACTATTAGATATTGGGCTGACCTAGCCCATCACTAGAGTGAGGGTAAGGGGCTCATTTCCAATTCTCATTTACCTAGAAATATACTTACATATCTCAAGGGGAAAAATAGACTCGAGGCTCAGTGGCCTGAGACAGGTTCCTATCAAGCAGAATTTGTAACCAAATTCATGGAGCCTGAAGGACTCTATTGGTGTACAAAATTTGACTGCTAAAACTGTGAAAGGGTAATGGTTTATTAACGTAATTACCCTATGAGAATTTTACACTTCAATTGCTGTGTTAAAGTTAGAAATGTAAGACGTAACTCTAAGGTTTATCCTGTGTTTATAATTGGGTCTCTTTCCTTCTTTCTATGATGTTAAATTTTAAATATTAAAAGGTTGTTTTAAGACAATATTCTATTTTGTTCAAAACAAATACATGGACATTTCTGCTTCTGGCCAAGATGGAGTAACAGAGACCTTCCTGTCTTAAACAACTAGAGAATGGTAAAAACAATGTTTTCTATAAACTGGGTGATTTAAAAAGTTCAGGGGCCTGTAGAGAAGATAAGTAAATAATTCCCTAACGTTTCTCCAGCTCACTGTCTAGAAGAAGTTTTCAAGATTCAGCAAAGGGAAGAGAATCCAAACAGGGCCTGGTAGTCTCCCTGAGTTGAGAAAAAGAAATTGAAGTTTGGTCAAGATGGCAAGAATTTTCACGGCAAAATACTGGAGAGGAGAGAGCTACAAAGAGAGACTGAGAGTTCTGGAGATTGCCAGAGAAGAGCCTTCAAATCTTTGGCTGAGAGTTCATCTGTGAATACAGGAGAGGCAGTTATCTGAGTCTGGCACAAAGTCACCAGAAAGTAGAATGCAGAACAATTCTCTGAGCTCACCCAGAGCTGGAAATAGTCTGTGTTCCCACCATCCAGAAAGACTTTGTGATACGTGAGGCATTGGGCAAAACCCTCAGATAATTGCTTTCCTCGTGGGGCTAGGAACTAGACCTAGATTAAAAGTTGCGGCCGGGCGCGGTGGCTCCCGCCTGTAATCCCAGCACTTTGGGAGGCCGAGGCGGGCGGATCACGAGGTCAGGAGATCGAGACCATCCCAGCTAAAAAACGGTGAAACCCCGTCTCTACTAAAAATACAAAAAATTAGCCGGGCGTGGTGGCGGGCGCCTGTAGTCCCAGCTACTCGGGAGGCTGAGGCAGGAGAATGGCGTGAACCCGGGAGGCGGAGCTTGCAGTGAGCCGAGATCCCGCCACTGCACTCCAGCCTGGGCGACAGAGCGAGACTCCGTCTCAAAAAAAAAAAAAAAAAAAAAAGTTGCACTGAACAAGTCCTAACAAAGCTTAAAAGCAAGCCTTAAAACATCTGACTCCAAGTAACTTAACTAAGTGATAAAACAAAATTAAACACCAGTAAAGAATTCAAAAAATCTAGCACTTGAGAACAAAAAATTTACAATGTTCTGTGTCCAACAAAAGTTACCATACAAAGAAGCATGAAAAAAATTTACTCATTAGCCACTGAGCCAGAAATGATAGACATGATGAAACCAGCAGAAGAGGATGTTAAAAACAGTTATAAATAGCCCACATATGTTCATGAATGTATAGGAAAACATAAATATGATGAGGTGAAAGATGTAACATATGAAAAGACCCGAATAGAACTTCTAGAGACGAAAAGTAAAATATATCTGAAGAGCCATTAACAGCAAATTAGACACTGCAGAAAAAGATATCAGTGAAAGGGAATATAAAGCAATAAAAAACTATTCAAAATAAAACAGAAAAAAGATGGGCGGAATTAACAAGAGTATCCATGACTATGTATACCATTAAATGTTCTAACACACTGTATGGAGTTCTAGGAGAGGAAGGGCAGATACAGGAAAAACATTTGAAGAAATAATGGCCACATCTGATGTTTTACAAATCTTTATGAAAACTGTAAGTCCTCAGATCCAAGAAGGTCAGTAAAATAAACTTTCAAACCATTTCAAGCCACATCATAACCAGATTTCTAAAACCTAGTGACCAAAAAAGGAACACTAAAACTTGTTCCTAAAAATGACACTTTAGGGCCGGGAGTGGTGGCTCATGCCTGTAATCCCAGCAGTCTGGGAGACCGAGACAGGAGGATGACGAGGTCAGGAGTTCGAGACCAATATGACCAACATGGTGAAACCCTGTCTCTACTAAAAATACAAAAATTAGCTGAGCGTGGTGGCATGCACCTGTAATCCCAGCTGCTCAGGAGGCTGAGGCAGGAGAATTGCTTGAACCCGGGAGGCAGAGGTTGCAGTGAGCTGAGATCGTGCCACTGCACTCCAGCCTGGGTGACAGAGTGAGGCTCCGTCTCAAAAACAAAACAAAACAAACAAACAAAAAAAAACAGACACTTTAAACAGAGGCAACAAAGACAAGGAAAACAGGAAACATGAAAAGTTATGCACAGCAGAATACAGTAAAGCCATGTTTTTAAAGTGCTGAAAGAAAAAAAATCAACCTAGAATTCATCACTCAGTGAAAAAATTATACTGGAAATCCCTTAGAAACCATTAAAAAAGTAACATGAAGAGGAATAACTACCATAAAAAGTGCTCAATGCAAAAGATGTCAGGGAATACAGAAAAATTACAAGGGAAACAGGAAATAAATATAAAATAAATCTCAGCATGGTAAATTTAAACCCAACTCTATTAATAATTACATTTAATGTAAATGGCTTGTAATCAACCTCACTGTGATGGCCTAATGATGTGTTGGCTTCTGTGGGCTACAGTTCACAATATCTTAATCAAACATGAATCTAGGTGTTGCTATGAAGTTATTTTGTAGACATGATTAAAGTCTATAATCAGTTGACTTTAAGTAAAGGAAATTATCCTAGATAATCGGGGTGAGCCTTATTCAGTCAGTTGAAAGAGCTAAGAGCAGAGCTGAAGCCTCTCCGATGAAGAAGAAATCCTGCCTGTGGACAGCAGCATCCATCAAGCCTGAGTTCCGGTTCACCCTTCCCAGTGACCTGCCCTGTGATTTCCAACTTGCCTAGCCAGTTACCACAATCACATAAGCCAATTTCTTACAGTAAATCTCTTACTATGTATCTCCTACTGGTTTTGCTTCTCTGGTTGAAATCCAACATGTATCCACCAATTAAAAACCTTTTCTGAATCAATAAAGCAATAAAATTTGACGGCATGTTGTTTAAGAGAAACACATTTTAAATATAAAGGCACAGACAGGCTGAAAGTAGCATGATAGAAATACACACACACACACGTGTGATATATATATATTTGCATTATATATATTTGCACGGAAGTTATATATGTATATATATAATGCAAATATCGATCAAAAAACCTGGAGTGCTTAATTAATATAGACGAAGAATTTTAGAATTTTAGAACAAGCAATATTAAAAGGGATTTAGAGGAAGCATTTTATCATGATAAATGAGTGAACTGATTAAAAAGACATAATAATCTACATGCATGTGTGTCTAGTAACAGCTTCAAAATACATAAACAAAACAATGATAGAAATGAAAAGAAATTGGCAAATTTGTAATTATAGTCTGGGATTTCAATCCTACTCTTTCAGTAAGCTATAGAGCAAATAGACAAAAATCATTAAAGCTATGGAAAACTTGAACAAGACACAAAGATGGGCATTGAAATTCCTTTTATGACTTATCCTTAGTCACACACTGGCACCTCTGCCATATTCTACGGGGCACACAGGGCCAACTGTGACTCAGTGTAGAGGGCCCTTCACAAGGGCATAAATACCAGAAGGTGAGATCACAGACAGTCATCTCAGAGACCAGCTATTACTGGCCTCTGAGGTAATAATAAGAACAGAAATGTCATGGGTGGGGTTATCATTATTTAAGATCATAGAGTACCATAGAGTAATATACTTTCTAATGCAATGCAAGAACAATAGCAGTCTGACAGTTGACATTTTCCATAGGCATCTTAAAGCAATGTTGTTCTTGCCTGCTTTTATTCAGGAATAAAGAGACAACTGGAATCAATGCACACCAGTTATAAAAACATTTCTACAACACATCAACATTGATTTTGATTAGATGGTGGCATGCCTCGTGATGGTACTACCAGTAGGAAGTGGGTCCATACAACTGGAAATGCAGCTTAACAAGAGAGTTGCTGACGAATATGTGAATCAATACATATGTGTAATTAATGTGTGCGTATGTATATGTATTTTTTCATTCCCATCATTTGAGGCTTTGTGCTGAGATGCCCAGCAAGAGTCAGCCCAGAGGTTCACCACAGCTAGAAGCTGATGCCATCATTACAGAGGGACAGTGCTGGCATAGAGACAATTCACTGGCAGATGATAATAAAAGTGACAACCTGCCCCACTTTTGAGCTTATAGAGACCAAATGGTTTTAAGCATATTGAGATTGTAATCTTCCACTTATTCTTTCCCTTCCAAAACTACAAAAGCTTGCTTTTCCTATGTTGTATTTGCCAAAAAGCAAAAGAACACTCCTAAAATACTGTCATCTGAGACATTTAGAACCTTTCATCAAAAGACATGTGTCACAACAGGCATACCGAGACTTGCTGACAGAGGAGGATCTCAGCTTGTGAAGCCTGTGCTTGTCTTCAGCCCGTCTCCACTCATCATCCCCTTAACTCTGAGTCCAGGTACCTGTGATCCAGCATCACACCTCCGCCAGCCCCCAACCACAATCCTCACAAAGCACTGCCCAGATATGCAACTCAGTGGCAAGTCCCCAACTGAAAAGGACCCCCAAACCATCAACAGTTCCTCTACTGAGGTCAGTTTTGCTGTCCAGGTACAACTGGAAGACCATAGTCCAAAAAAGGTCCCTGGCATCTTATTCGTTAATCAGGGCCAAGCATATGATAGGTTCCCACTGGAAACAAAAGAAACAGTTAATGGCTACTCTTCAGACAGCAGGGGAAATCTATGGTTGCTTACTACTATTTGCATTTTTGGTTTATACCAGGAGTGGCCATGAGAAGCCAGAATGTAAGACTTCAAAGAACCATGGCTGTTTAGAGAAACCCTAGAATATAAACTGCAGGAAGCAAGGAACTCATGATTTTCTTGCCATTCACTCCTCAGCACCTAGGACAGTGCCTGGCACCTAGTGGGCACTTCAATACTTATGTAATGATATTTAATTTCAGTGAAAAGAAAACTTTTGCTGAGACTTTACTCCACAGCTCTTTGGACTAAGGATCTGGAGGCTTTACTTATTGTTAAGACCTATTCTTTCTTTTCCCAAATTATTTATATAGGAAAGTTCAAACACAAGAAAAAGTTGAAAGAAGAATAAAATAAACAATCACACACTCACTATCTAGGTTTAATAATTGTTAACAATTTATTTGATTTCTTTTAACATTTCAAATACATTTACATATGTTTCTGTTTGTACATATAAGCATAAATATATAAATGTTTATACAAAAATAAAATGTATATATTATATAAACATGAATATATATAATATATATGAATATATATACATATAATATGCATACATAAATATGTTCTTATTTGTATATGCAGGTAGGCTTGTGTATCAGCTGGGTTCAATCAGAAAAGCAGAGTCACTGTTTATCTGTATTTCTTCATATCTGCAAGGCTGTTCTTCATGTTTTATGCTGGAGCTTAAGGCTCACAAAGCAAGAGTCAAGAAAGCAAGATGGATGTGGAATGGGGGAGACCAAGAGCAGGCTGGAACCCACTAGTGTGAGCTGGGCCTTCACCTGGATGGACAGATGACTGGTCTTCAGGGAGCAGGTAAGTCTACCATTGGTAGACTCCCGTCATTCTTGTCGCTTCCAACCCTGATGAAGTCGGTGGCCTAATGAAGCCAGGGGTCCCTCCCTATGAAGATAAATGCACACAACTGTCCCAGGAGCTGGAACAGCTGGAGGAGGATTCCAGAGAAGGCGGAATGCTTGCAGGCCCCGCTGACTCACACCAACAGGTGAGGGGAAGGGGGAAGACACGGGTCCCTCCTTATGAAGCTAAAAGCACACACATGACCCAGGAGCTGGAGCAGCTGGAGGAGGTCCCGGGGAAGGCAGAATGCTTGCCAACAGGTGAGGGGGAGAGGGGAGCCAGGTACTCCTTGATGATGCACTAGAACTGCCAAATGGCTGTGGCTTCCCCTCTGCCCTCAAAATCTCCCGTTTGTCTTTTGTGGTCCAACCTAATGAGAAACATACAGAAGAGGGAATCCTGGGAACATAGTTCAGCTTAGTCAAGTTGACACATTATAAAGCCATGATTTCAAAATAGGTTTCAAAAAATGTTGGCCCTTTACCTCTAAATTCTTCAGCCTTCATGCCCAAGGCCCACTCTTACATGACAGAAGAGAACAGTAGACCAAGGAACGTACAACGGCAAATGCTCAGCTCTCATGAGTGGCATGGATGTAAGTGTTTGCAGCAAGGCCATGCATGATTGCAGTTTGATGCTGCTCTCATTTAATACAATACCTTCTTTTTAAAAAAAAGATTTTGTTAGATTCATCTGGTCTGGTATGGAGATGATTTTTATTTTCCTCTACTAAATGTAGGATGAAACCATCAAAATTGTTTTGACACATAACGAAACTTTAAAAAATTTCTTCAGGAAAAAGCAGCACAAAACTTGTGGTGGGGACACTGCTTTCCAACTAGTAGCTTAAGCTTTAGGATTAGCCTATTGACAAATATTTTTTTCTCCTGTTCTCAAGCTATTACAGCAAAATTTCCATTCTGGAAAAGGCAAACCATTCCAAATCTTTCTTCTTAAGATCAGTACTAGAGACCGGACGCGGTGGCTCAAGCCTGTAAACCCAGCACTTTGGGAGGCTGAGGCAGGCGGATCACGAGGTCAGGAGATTGAGACCATCCTGGCTAACACGGTGAAACCCCGTCTCTACTAAAAATACAAAAAAATTAGCCGGGCGTGGTGGCGGGCGCCTGTAGTCCCAGCTACTCGGGAGGCTGAGGCAGGAGAATGGCGTGAACCCGGGAGGCGGAGCTTGCAGTGAGCCGAGATCGCACCACTGCACTCCAGCCTGGGCAACAGAGTGAGACTCCGTCTCAAAAAAAAAAAAAAAAAAAAAAAAAAAAAAAAGATCAGTACTAGAGCTCTTATGAAATATCACTCTACCCTGTTCTGCTTTCTTCTCTTGGTACTGCTTGCATAGCCATTGCTAGAAGAAAGACTAAAACTATTAAAAAATTTATGTATTTTCTCTCATTAGAGTCAAAATATCCCTTTAGCCACAGAAACTTGAGCTGAATTAGAAACAGCAGATGAAGAATTTGTAACCAAGCAAAACTCCATAGCAACAAGTAATTAAAGTTGATTATAATTGCAAGACATTTATTAAGGATTTCTTTAATTCCTAAGGAAAATTCAACATGAAAGGACATGTCTCAGGATTTCAAGGCACGTAAGTTGGCAACAAGTAAAAATCATTCATGTTAGATTCAGTCATTCAAAAAGGGGTGCATATTTTAAGCTTGAGAAAAAGCTTTGCTGTGAGAAATCCAGCAAAGTCCACTGTCCCATTTAAGCCCAGGTTGAATTCTGCATATAAGCTGGTTGCAACCTTGAGTAGATTCTTCCTCAGTGACAACTTCATTCCTGGTGGTATGATTTCCAGACAGTGAGCAAAAGCTTATTTAACCCACAAATACCCAAATTACAGCTCTAATCATACTATTTTTACTACATCTAGCTGCACTGTTTTGTGAAAAATACATTGTGACTTCCAAGTTGCAATGTCAAAAACATCTTTCCAGAACCCAAGAGCCTGAAAGGTAACTGTGGTGGAAAGGGGACATGTTGGTCAAAGAGTAAAGAGTACAGAGTGAAGAGCGCAGCTAGACAGGAGGAATAAGCTTTAGTGACCTGTTGCACAAAATGGGGACTATAATGAATCATAATGCATTGTCTATTTCAAAAAGATAATCATGTGTTGTGTATTTCTAAGAGTAGATTTTAAATGTTTTCACAGCAAAAAAAGTATATGAGGTGATGGATTGCTTAATTAACCTGATTTAATCATTCCATACTGTAAACATATATCAAAACATCACACTGTACCTCATAAATATACACAATTATTATTTGCCAATTAAAAACAATTTTTTAAAAAATTTTACTTTAAGTTCTGGGGTATACATCCAGAACCTGCAGGTTTGTTATATGGTATACATGTGCCATGGTGGTTTGCTGCACCTATCAACCTGTCATCTAGGTTTTAAGCCCCACATGCATTAGGCATTTGTCCTAATTCTCTCCCTCCCCTTGACCCCCACCCCGCAACAGGCCCCAGTGTGTGATGTTCTCCTTACTGTGTCCAGGTGTTCTCATTATTCAACTTGTGAGTGAGAACATGCGCTGTTTGGTTTTCTCTTCCTGTGTTAGTTTGCTGAGAGTGATGGCTTCCAGCTTTATCCATGTCCCTGCAAAGGACATGAATTCATTCTTTTTTATGGCTGCATAGTATTCCGTGGTGTATATGTGCCATATTTTTTTACCCAGTCTATCATTGATGGGCATTTGGGTTTGTTCCAAGTCTTTGCTACTGTAAATAGTGCTGCAATATGCATATGTGTGCATGTGTCTTTATAGTAGAATAATTTAGAATTTGGGGGGGGGGTATATACCCAGTAATGGGATTGCTAGGTCAAATGGTATTTCTGGTTGTAGATCCTTGAGAAATCTCCACACTGTCTTCCACAATGGTTGAACTAATTTGCACTCCTACCAACAGTGTAAAAGCGTTCCTATTTCTCCACAGCCTCACCAGCATCTGTTGTTTCCTGACTTTTTAATAATCGCCATTCTGACTGGTGTGAGATGGTTATCTCATTGTGGTTTTGATTAGCAAAAATAAATTTCTTAAAAAAATCTTTCTCTCTCCAATTAAAGTGATATGATACAGATTCCTTGCTACTCAAACTGTGGTCTATATATCCAGGAGTGCCTGATATCATCATCTAGAAGCTCATTAGATGTGTAGACTATCACCAGCTCTAATGAACTAGAATTTACATTTTAATAAGAACCCAGATCATTCATAGGGACATTAAAATTGAGGTGCACTCTTATGGATAATTGAGTTAAATAATCAGGCAAAAGAATTGATGAGTCCACGTTCCAACAGAAGGAGAGGGATGTTAGAGCTTGGCAAGAAACCTACCCATTCAAGTCAAAGGTCATGAAGTTAATTTGGTCCACACTGGGACGTCAGGTAGCCAAACGCCACTCAACAATAACAATAAGCCTAATGTAAAAATAGAACTGGACATTGCAAAAGAAGGTGGAAGGGTCCCACTGAGGAGGCTTTGACACAATGAGGACAGGGTTCAGTCTATCATTGTCCAACAGAGCTTTCTAAGGTATGGTAGGGTCTTGCTACTGGGCTGGGATTCAAGGAAAAGGCCACATTCTCTTGGGGGAGAAGCTGGGAGGAGTAGGAGAAAGCCAAACAAAGCAAAGCAGAATCCCAGGCCAGGAAACTGAGGCCCAGAGAGATGAATGAGACTACAACATGGAAAACGGGTGGCTCTGAAGATGAGAAGGCATCCAGGACTGAACCACCAGAGACCAGCTGCTGAGGCTTAGATGCCATCTGAACCACTCTGGAACCAAGGTTAGGGCAGAACTTGGGGAAGGAAGCCATGGGGATCTAGTGAGGCTCACAGGAATGAAAAGCCACAGGCTCACTATGGACATCATTTGATATGAAACGTCAGCCCAATAACCTCTTCCTTTCACAAATGCACACCAACGTAACAAGGTGTCCTTGTAGAAGGATGACTCGAATGCTGGTTGCCGGGAAAATGCCAACCCTAAGAAAGAATGCTCCCTTTCCTTTCCTTTTTCTTCTTATCCTTTTTCCTGACTGTGTGAGAGAACAACTCCTCTCCACCCCAATTTGTTGTGGTTGAGATAATACAGAACTGTACATATCTTTTCGTTTCTAGCTGACAGACAGTGAAGCTTCAACTGTTGGCTCATCCTTTTCATGTTGTTTTTAAATACATTATTTATTTCTTGAATAGATAATAAGTGTCTGTGGGCCAAAATTCAGAAAATAGCAAATATTAAACAAGGGAAAACACCTGCCTCCTTTACCTTCTCCAGTACACAGTTTCCTTGTCTCCTGGTTTTCATCAGCTGCATAATTTCGACATGCCAGTAACCAGATCACTTTGGTCTTAACCCTACACCTTAATGGAGTCAGTCAGTGCTCCCTGGTGGTCTTTTTACCATATTTTTTTTTCCAGTAAAAAATTGCCTGAATGTCATCCTTTAGTAGTTTCTTCGAAAGTGACTCATGGGAACCACACTCCCTAAGCGCTTGCAGGTTCAAAGATGTTTTCTGCTGTCTTATTTATGATGCATGGTACAGACTGCTATAAAATACACGTTTTCTCTTTAGGACTTTGTAGACTTTGCTCTACTGACTTCAAGGGTCGATTGAGGCTGTGAGCCAGGCTGGTATTTTCCCGTTAAGAGGTAATTTGGTCTCTTGATCTACCTGTCCAAAAGATTCTTTCTTTCTCTCTGATGTTCAGTAACTTCACTCAGATGAGGCTCCATATCAATGGTTCTGTAAATATTTCCCTCTAAGACATACTGTTATGATCTTTCAAGCTGAAGAGCCAAGTCTTTCTTTATTTTTAGTAATTGTACTTGGATTATATCTTTATTTTTTATTTTTGGTAGGAAGGTTGAATTTATTTATGTTTTAATGACAGATAAAATTGTACATATTTACTGTGTATGACATATGGTTGAAGTATGTACACATTGTGGAGTGACTGACTCTAGCTAATGAATCTATGCATTACCACACATAGTTTTATCATGTTTATGTTGAGAACACTTGACATCCACTCTCAGCATTTTTAAAAAATATAATATATTGCTAACTATAGTCACCATTGTATATCTAGTGTATAATACAATAGATCTCTTGAACTACTCCTCTAATGAACAAGAATTCTGCATCCTTTGAACAACATCTCCCCAATTTCTACCCCCAACCTTCTTAAAATATGTAATAACATATTTGGTTATCTTCTTTGGAGGCATCAATTATGGGTGGTTTGAACTTCTTTGTCTGTCTTGCTTATTTCTCACTTTCTCTGCAATCCTCTTATGACTCTTGGCTCATATGAATTTTTTTTCCCATCTTTCTCCATCTTATCATCCATTACCTTTGACAGTTTCAACATCAGCTCTTCCCTTCTGCACTGCTTCCCATCTGGCTTTCCTTCCTATAGTCGTTTTATTTCTCATCCACCCCTTTCAAGACCTCTCTCAATTCATGCTTTATCTCATTCTCTTATCTGACCATGTCATCCCTGAGCCCCTATCTTTGGGCTCTGGTTTTCTAAAGAATTCTATTTTTTTATTCAGGCAAGGTCTTGCTCTGTTGCCCAGGATGGAGTGCAGTGGTGCAGTCATAGCTCACTGCAGCCTTGACCTCCTGGGCTCAAGCGATCCTCCTGCCTCAGCCTCCCAAGTAGCTAGGACTACAGGCACACACTACCATGCCTGCATATTTCTGTATTTTTTTTGTAGAGATGGGGTTTTGCCATTTTGCCCAGGCTAGTCTTGAACTCCTGAGCTCAAGCAATCTGTCCACCTCAGCCTCCCAAAGTGCTGGAATTACAGGTGTGAGCCACTGTGCCTGGCTTATTTTTTTATAAAACTCTGTTTCTTCACTAAGATTTTAGAAAATTCTCAGCAATTGGTTTAATCACAATGTTCATCTGACCCATGGTAACGTTTTTTCTGTGGGGCTTGCTTATCTGCTGTATATGTTTGCTATTTCTTTTCTCATTTTTTATATATTGCTGTTGTATAGATTCTGTACTGATTCCTTCTTTATTCAGACTCATTGTTAGTGAGCTAAGCTCCTGGACAAACTATAGGGAGAGGCTGCTGGGGCCTATGGACCAGGGCCTTCTCCCAGCCTAAAAGACTTTTTCCTGGTGTCCAGTGAAGTTACTCATGACACAGGTTTATGTGTGAGTTTTTTGTTTTGTTTTAGGTTTAGGTTTCCAATTTCCTTAGTCAAGAGAGATCAGCAGTTGCAGAGGAGGTCTCCATTCAGTCTTTGAACACACCTGGACATACACCTAGACTGATTTCTACACACATCATGTGCCTATGTGGGCCTCTGTCAGTCACTTGGTTCCAGACTGGCTTTAGGGACGATCATGTTGCTTCCCTGCATATTCCTTTCCACATTTCCAAACAGAAGTTTAGGATTTTGCCTTTTATTGATTTAAGAGGGAAGTGTGGATGGAATGAGGATAGGAAGGCTATCCTCAAAACCAGGGGTAAAGCCAGGATTGGTGCATTTTGTCTGTGAATGAGTTAGTTCATTTATTATTCTTTTCCCTGGAACTATGAGAACAGTTACACTTGACTGATTTTTTTTTCTTTCTACACTGTAATTCCTTCCTGCTATTCAGAAGAGTTTGCCAAACCCTGATAGGTAGGAAGATGGATAGATGAATGGATAGAGAGAGAGAGAGAGAGAGAGAGAGAGAGAGAGAGAGAGAGAGAGAGATTCTGAAGTTACTGGTTTATTGGGAAAATTCAGGGAAGAGGCAGGAAAGTGAAGGGTAGCCTTTTTTCCACCAGAGCTCCAGGAGGAAACCAGCAAGAGAGGAAGCAGTGGCCCAGGCCCTATCTGAGAGAGGCAGAGGAGACCTTGGAAAGTATTTGCTGCCCATCCTTTTCCCAGAAAGGGCAATGAGACTCTTGTTTCTTACTTATATTTTGGTAGCTTGAATAATACCTCCCCAGCCCTATACTATGAATGTGTACTATAAAGTACACTTATGGTATAAAGCCATATAAATGGCCAAGGTCCCCTGCAGGTGGGATTAACTTAAAGTGGAGGAAGGTAACTCTGGACAGCAACAGGGAGAGCTGATGCTGGGGTTGCGTAGACACCAAAATCAAAATAGCGCTATTTATGGAGCACATTTTTAGAAATTCTCCCATGTGATTTTCTCAAAAACGCTATGAGGTAATAAAGGCTCAGAGAAGTCAAATTTTTTGCTCAGAGAAATCCAGCTAAAAAGTAGCTGAACTGTAATTGAAATGTATGCCTGACTGTACACAAGGTCTCTCCTAGTAACTCAGCCATTTCACATCAGAGGTGGCTGACAGGAAGCAACCACCTGCAATACTCTCTTTAATACAAAGGAGTCTCTGTAGTCCCGTGGTTTGGTGTGCACAGAACTCACCTGACCTGCTTCTCCCTCCTGGAGTCTGCAGGATGACAACGACCTGTGTAGGGCATTGGGCACTCCTGCCTCCACCTTCCAACCTCTGTGTGACTTCCTGACACTGATACCTCCAAGTCTATGGTCCCATTCTCTCTTCTCACCCCATCCCTTCACAAGTCATGGAAAACTCCAAAGTGCAATAAACTTGGTGCCAAAAGAACCTCTTACTCTTTCCCCTACCTCCACCAAACCTTTGCAAAACTTCTGAAGAAATTTGAGCTTACTCTTTCTCAGAATGGAAGGAATATTAGAAGGAAACAATAAGAATGGAAAGGGGATGGAAAAACCAGCCTTGAAGGGGGAGAAGAGGAAGCCAACATTCGCTGAACACCTGCTACATATCACACATGTCATGGTTGGCGTGTGTTCATTCTTAATCCTCCCAACCCACTACGGTAGGTAGAAACATCCCATCCTACAGGTAGGCAAACTGAGGTTCAGTGAAGATAAGTAACACACCTGAAGTCAAAAGACCCTGAAATAGCAAAATCACTTTCAACTCTCAATCTCCCTGGCCCACGCTCTTTGCCCCAGAGCCGGCTAGCCAGTGGCCCTGTAGGCGAACCAAGCAGAAGGCCCTCTCCTCAAAAATATCCCACAGAGAGCCACATCTCTGATGAGGTGTTAACCAGGAGCAGGATTGCTAACAGTCCCCCATGTTGGCCATGCCCACCATCCCTGCTCCCTGGAGGATAAAAGGGAAGAGACTTTGAACAAGACTCTGTGTGTGTGTGTGTGTGTGTGTGTGTGTGTGTGTGTGTGTGTGTGTCTGCCTTTCTCTCTTCTTCTGTCTCCCTCTTTCCCTCTGTCTCTTTCTGTCTCTGTCCCTTTCTCTTTCTGTCTGCCTGTCCCTCTGTCTCTGTCTCTCCATCTCTCATCACTCTCCCCCAACCTACAGACCACAAAGGTTTTCCCCACCACTTTACCATGGGCAGAAGCATTCACGGGGTCTCCACTATACATCCATGGAGAAGTAGGAAGTCAATTTTGGACTTTGAATCGCACTGTAGTTTCTAATCCATCAGTCACAAAGCAGTTTTTATTCATACTTGATACTTATGTTTCTGTGTGACACAATTTAGCACTCTGAGGACAAGGGATTTAATTATTTATCCCTTTAAATCTTAACCACAAAGCTTGTCTTGTTATCTGCCATATCTCCAGTGACAAGCATAGTCCCCGGCATATAGTGCAGGCTCAATATATATGTAAAATGGTAGATATATGTCTTAACATGCATGTTCTAGGAAAGTAATTGAGTATGTAAATGCAAGCATTGGGCACACAATTTTATGTGAAATGTCAGCTGTGCTGTTGTTGTTTTTGCTTTCACCTACAGTCCCAACATTTCAGAGGACTGAGGTCTTACCACGGATTTCGCTAAAATACCACAAAAGGAAATGACAAGAAGCCTTCATTTCTTCAGTTGTCGATCTATCTTATTTTGACATGGCCAAAAATATTACATTTCCAAAAATATGTCAACTACAGAAAAGATACCCAAACATGTAGTCTTAGTTTAAGCCACAGTTTACCTACATTAAATATACTCTGTTCTTTTGTCCCTACAGATTTTTTTTTTTTTTTTTTTGAGACAGAGTCTCACTCTGTCACCCAGGCTGGAGTGCAGCGGCCTGATCTTGCCTCACTGCAACCTCTGCCTCGTGGGTTCAAGCAATTCTCCCTGCTTGAGTCTTCTGAGTAGCTGGGATTACAGGCACCTGCCTCCATGCCCGGCTAATTTTTGTATTTTTAGTGGAGACAGGGTTTCACCATGTTGACCAGGCTGATCTCAAACTCCTGACCTCAGGTGATCCGCCTACCTCGGCCTCCCAAAGTTCTTGGATTACAGACGTGAGCCTCCATGCCCAGCCGTCCCTACAGATTTTAACCTATTAGATTAAGACAAGCTATCCTTTCTCTTAGTATCTGAAGATAGATGAGCCTCTGTTGCTGATTTTAAGAGCCTACCCAACGGCCCCCTCTGTCACCTGCACACTAACTACAGCTAGGACCAGGCCCCACCACCAGTGTATAACGGACTCTATCCCAATTGAGCCTTCAGGTGAGACACCTGGCCAACACTTTGACTGTAGACTATGTGAGACTTTGAAACAGAAGATGGTAAGTTATGCTCAGGTCCCTGACCTATAGAAATTGTGAAATGGGTGTTGTTTTAAGTGACTAAGTTTGTAGTGATTTGTTATATAGCAATAGATAGCTAAATACAGCACCATTTGGAAAACCTCCTTTTCTCAAACTTCTTCTATACTGTATTAGTCTCAGAGAGCTTCTATAACAAAGTATCCCCAGCCCTCCATATCTGTGGGTTCTGTATCTATGGATCTGACCAACTATGGATCGAAAATATTTGAAAGAAAAGAATGAATGCCTGTATCTGTGCTGAAGCATGTACATAGTTTTTTCTTGTCATTATTCCCTGGGCAATACAGTAGAACAACTCTTTACACAGCATTTTCATTGTGTTAGGTACTATTACAAGTAACCTGGAGATGATTTAAAGTATATGAGAAGATGTACCTAGGTCATATGCAAATATTACATTACTTTATATAAAAGACTTGAACATGTGTGGATGTTGGTATCCATGCGGGGACCTGGAACTAATCCTCCAGGGATACTGAGGGATGTCTGTGCCACAAACTGGGTGGCTTAAAACAACAGAGATGTATTGCTTCACAGTTTTGGAAGCTAGAAATCTGAAATGAATGCATTGGCAGGGCCGTGCTTCCTCTGAAACCTGTAGAGGAGAATACTTCCCTTTTCTGTGGTTGCTTCAATCCTTGACATTTATTGGCTTACAGCTGCATTAACTCTAATCTTGCCCCTGTTGTCACACGGTTTTTCCCTGTGTAGCTCTGTCTTCACAGACCCTCTTTCCATAAAGACACCAGTCATATTGGATTAGGGGCCCACCTTAGTCCCGAATGACCTCCTCTCAGTTTAAGCAGTCACATCTGCAATGACCCTGTTTCCAGACAAAACAACATTCTGAAGTACTAAAGATTAGAACCTTAGATATCTCTTTTTTTAGTGGGGTGGTGGGAGGCAGTGAAAAATTCAATTCATAGCCTATACCAAGTGCTTTTTACTAGCATGCTACCATAGCCTGAGTTAAACATGCTTAATCTGTTTTGACTACAGTGTTTTCACAGGGAGTAAAGGTTTGTGTTTTTCCTGATCCATGTGAGACTGATTAAATAAAAAATGAAAAGTGAGAAGTGGCAGGGACATCCATCACTTAAAATATTTAGCCAGCACTCTCAAAACCCAGTGGTGCACAACTGCAGAGTGAACGCTTCACCGGATGACCTTTCTGATATTGCCGGTCGACATGGTTATTGTTCAGTGGAGGAAGGTGACAGAGCATGAAAAAGATGGCATTTTGTTTTTCTCTCTAATGTGAGTAATAGAAGAGCCGGGAAGTTTATGGAGGTGGACGAGGACCAGTAGTTGAAGAAGAAATAAAATGTTGTATATAGTTTCCAGATGAGTGTTTTATTAATGGTAACGAGACTTTACATTTAGATAATGCTCCACAATTTACATTGATATTTCCTCCCTAGCAATGTGTCTTTTACATAGTAGTTACCCAAAATGTGTTGGAGAACCGATCACCGCAACGAGGTTGGGGGGCAGAGCAGCTCAGATGAAAAATATGCTGGGCAGATGTTGTTATTTTCATATTCAGATGTGTGAGCAGAACCTGGAGACACTGAGTTACTCTGTTCAAAGTCATTTCCAGATGTTAAAGCAGGTTGTCTGATTTGCCGTCTAGTAACCTTTGTTTTCAATATATTGCCCGGAACAACAACAACAACGACGACAACAACAACAACAACAAAAAGGTGTGTTAATGAGGGAAGGAGAGTGGGGAGGAATAATGTAAGCCACAAAGAGGAGAGAGATAAAAGAGAGTGGATTCACCCACTCTGAAAAGTGTCCCAGCCTGTGGGAGGAAGGGATGTCCACAGGCTTCCCTGGTCCTCTCCTTTTCCCCGGGGAGGCACAGGCTAGAGCAGGCATGTGAGGAAGATGTCCTCAGGAGGCCAAGGCCCTTTCTGAGCATTCCAACAGCAATGGGCAGGAACATTCCAATCAAAAAGCAAGAACTAACTGGAGAACTGGACTCTCAGTTAGCATGCCTGCCCATATCAAAATGCTAAAATGTTATCGGCCAGTCACAGGCAGGCACCTTGGTGCTTCTGCAAGCCTCAAGAAAGGTGTCAGGTTGGGCGAGGGGGCTCAAGCCTATAATCCCAGTGCTTTGGGAGGCAAAGGAGGTAGGATCACTTGAGGCCAGGAGTTTGAGACCAGCCTGGGCAACATAGCAAGACCCTATCTCTACAAAAATTTTTTAAAATTAGGTGGGCATGGTAGCAGGCACCTGTAATTCCATCTACTCTGGAGGCTGAGGTGGGAGGATTGCTTGAACCCAGGAGTTCCAGGCTGTGGTGAACTATAATCGCGCCACAGCATTCTGGTGCCCTGTCTCAAAAAAAAAAAATAAAAAAAAAATAAAAGAAAAACCTCAATAAGTTGGGTTATGAAGATATGATGTCCCAAACAAATGCTGCCTCACTGACCTTATCCACTTTCTCTGACCATTAAAGATCTCTCCGAGAAGCCTGTTTATCCACCAAAGCGCAGCGTGTTTAGAAAGGTAGGTGTGTGGAAGACCTGCTCCAGCTCGTAAGGACTGTGGACTGTGAGATGGAAAGAACGGTAGACTGTTATCAGGAGACTGGGTCCTGGTTTCTGATCTTGCTCTAAACAACCAATGATCCTGGACAAGTCCTTTAGCCTTGGCCTGTTGGACTCTGGTTTCTTGCATAAAATGAAATGTATTGAACATGATAGTATATTACACTTATGACACTTTTGCAATAACAGGCAGCCCAAAATGACTTAAATAGTAATGAATGCATTGGCTCTGGACGTGCAGGATGGGTTTGACGCTTAATTGAACCCTGTGGCTCTGGCTGTCTGATTCTCTCAGCTCTGCCCTCTGCCAGGCGGCAACTTCATCTTCAGCTTTGTAGAGGAAGGAGAGACCCATAAAGCAGGAAAATGTACCCAGCAGGCTCCAGCAGACTTGCTCTTGCTCAACCCCGGCCTGCATAGACTCATGGGCCCATTTCTGAACCAGTCACTGGAAGGAGCTGGTGTTCCCACCACTGGCTGAGACCACATTGGCCCAAACTGTGAAAGAGACAGAAAGGATGTTGGAATAGAATTTGTGCATCTACTGTAGAAGGTCTCTAAAGTTTCATCTAACTCTAAAGAGTCAACAAGTTTTGTAAAGCAATTTAAAAAATTAAAACTTAGAAAAATCAAGGAAACCAAACTAGAGGCATGCTATTAAAGAAACCTAATTCCAAATAATTTAGTTAAATTGTCCCTGGGCCTTCTCGTGATACTGTGTGCAACTTAAGGACGAATGTCTTTTAGCTTTTCATATACTTCAAAAGGGATGTTATATCATCCTCTCCCTGACAATTTTTCTAAGACAGCCTCTCTTCATGCTATGTGGTGGTATTATCTCTTCCTAAAGAAGAGACACTGGGAAAAAAGATGCTAGAAAGAGGAAGGCAAAGAGTTACTGTGCATCTGCTCTGTCCTTTTAGTGTGTGTGCACATGTGCATGTGTTCATATGCATGTGTGTGTGCATGTCTGTACGAACGGGTGCGTGCGGGCATGTGTGTACAAACGGGTGCGTGCGCGCATGTCTGTACGAACGGGTGCGTGCGGGCATGTGTGTACGAACGGGGGCGTGCGCGCAGATGTGTACGAACGGGGGCGTGCGGGCCTGTGTGTACGAACGGGGGCATGCGTGCATGTGTGTACGAACGGGGGCGTGCGGGCATGTGTGTACGAACGGGGGCGTGCGCGCAGGTGTGTACGAACGGGGGTGTGCGCGCAGGTGTGTACGAACGGGTGCGTGCGGGCCTGTGTGTACGAACGGGTGCGTGCGTGCATGTGTGTACGAACGGGGGCGTGCGGGCATGTGTGTACGAACGGGGGCGTGTGCGCATGTGTGTATGAACGGGCGCGTGTGCGCAGGTGTGTATGAACGGGCGCGTGTGTGCATATGTGTATGAACGTGTGTGTGTGCATGTGTGTATGAACGGGTGTGTGTGTGCATGTGTGTATGAATGGGTGTGTGTGTGCATGTGTGTATGAATAGGTGTGTGTGTGCATGTGTGTACGAATGGGTGCGTGTGTGCTTGTGTTTCTTTTTTAGAATGAAGGAGTGTTATTTAATAGTCATTGGCCAAAGTAATAATGTTTTTCTTATTTGATTATACTAATCAACTTCTTTCTAGACTAAATTTTTAATATTATTTTAAAAGTCTGTGTAATTTTGACCCTGAGTTAAAATTACATAGACTTTTTTTTATAAGCTTATGAGAGGCCATAGGGCGCCTATAAACTTGCAATTAGTATTTGTGCCTCAGCACAATAGCTAGTTGGGTAATAATTTCGTGATTTATTATATTGTTTCTAATTATAACCTTGAGTATCAAGATAGTTGTTTATATAACAATCAAATGTTTTATTCAACTGAAAAAAAAAGCAAGCTCAGCTCCTGGTATAATTGCATCTGTTTAATATAATTATGACCTTTATGATGGTTATTTTAGCAAGGGCTTAACTTATGAATACTGTCTTTGAGCAGAGCACATGGAATGACTTGTCCACACGATGTGGTTCAGACATATTTGCCTCAGTACTTGGAGACGGATGTGCAAGTGGCCTTCACGTGGGCCATTTAAACGTCAGCAGGAGGATCACATCTTGGAAGTCTTAGCATTTACCTAGCCCACCGTCCTTGTTGCCCAGAATATGTCACCAACTTTAAGTGACTCACAAACACTCCCAAGGAAAAAATAATTAAAAGTTAGCAAAATACAAGTGGAATCCCAGATCCTTTGACTCTTGATGAACAGTTTTCAGTAGCTCTTCTAGGCCGACTTCTTCAAAACAAAGATGCTCAAAGCCTTCTTGAGCTAACTTTACTGCCACCGCTGGTGGATTTGTTTTATTAGGCATTAAAGAATGAGGAGGGAGCTGACCCAAACCACTTTTGTTCATGGTCCTTAAGAATAGTTTGCTATATTTCAGAATTTGCTTTTAGCGTTGAGACCAGTAAAAGAAAAGCCACAAAGAAGCACATTTTTAAATACACATCTGACACCAAATTTAAGGGATGTGAGCTAATTGTGACTAAAATATATTAAATGGGTAACCCAGACAGCCTAAGTACTGGGTTGTGCCTGGTTTTCAGATGGTCGTTTTTCATGCTCACAAGGACTCATTTGAAATCATTGTTATATAAATGAATCATAGTTATTACATGTCTTCTACCAACTAGCAGAAAATAATATTTATGGAAATTATAGGCTTTGAGCAATAGGCTTCAGGCAAGAGAGGCACATATGGCGCCAATGCAGAGGGTGTATCCCTTGACCCAGTAATTCCATCTCTAGCAAAATTTCCTAAGGAAATGGTCAGATACTCAAAATGTATGTTCAAGTGTAGTTCATTTCTTATTAGTTATTGTAGTTCAATTTTCAAATATTAAATATTTTATGATAAAGAATAGGTTGGCTTCCTCATACTGCAGAATAATGTTCTGCCATTAGGAAAAATGTTTATATATATTTTTTGGATATTAGTTTTCTGTGACTACTAAAACAAAGTACTATGAACTGGATGGCTTAAAACAACAGACATGTATTCTCTCACAATTATGAAGGCCAGAAGTCCAAAATCAAGGTGTTATAGGGACATGCTCCCTCCCGAGACTCTAGGAGAGGATGCTCCGTGTCTACCCCAGCTTCCAGTGGCTCCAGATGTTCCTTGGCTTGTGGTAGTATCACTGCTACCTTTGCTTTTGTGGTCACGTTGCCTTCTTTTCTCTGTGTCTGTGTCTTCCCTTCTTCTAATAAGGACACCTGTTATAGGTTAGGGCTTATCCTAAACCCAGGGTGATCTCATCTCAAGATCCTCGACTGAATTATATCTGCAACGACCCTTTTCCCATCTGAGGTCACATTCACAGGCTCTGTTTGGACATGTTTTTTGGGGAGGGGGAATGAGGGGACCACAAGCCAACCCACTATAACGAGTCAGAAAGGCAGTAGATATTACTATACACGGTCCTCCCTCCAAAGTGGAAGAACATAGAAATGTAACAGGATGCGAGACGGGCCTGGGGAACCAAAATGACCAAAAAGACCCTGCTTCTAAGCCCATATGCAGAATTTTCAAAGGGAATGAAGGAGAACTTGTGGCCCATGGCATGGAGTTCTTGGCAGGACCACAGATTTGCAAAGGGGTCAGAGGGAGGGAGTCTTTGGAGAACAGACTGTGAAGACATCTCTGGAGAGAACAGTTTCCTTGCTGTGGAAGCCCACCCTTGGGGAAAAGGAAGCGGATGCTAGTGCTAAGCCATAGCCTTGGAGGGAGCTTCAAGGGGACCATCTGAAGTTAGTGATACCTGGTGTCCAATCCAAAACTGAGATGGAGAAAATGGACAGAGGACGGGGATCCAACTGCCACCAGGAGATTGAGGGACCAGAGCAGAGCCGTGCAAGCACTTTGGAGGAAGGGCCAGGAGAGGGCTGCGCTAGGAGGATCAGCCTGCCCTCCAGGGTTTATGAGGACAAACGATGCATGGGTGCTTCCTGGGACTACATGTGGGCAAGTGGGGAGCAAGCCAGTGTATTCTCTTCCAGGGACTGCCATAAAACATTATCTCAAATGGAAGGGTTTATACCAACACATATTAATTTTTTCACAGCTCTGGAGGTCGAAAGTCTGAAATCTGGTTGTTGGCAGGATTGCTTCCTTTGGAAGTTCTGAGAGACAAACTGTTCCATGCCTCCCTCCTAGCTCTCAGCAACTCCAACGCCCCTCGGCATTTTCTGACTTGTGGGTGTGCAATTCCAATCCTGCCTCCATCATCACGTGGCCTTCTTTCCTCTGCCTCAGCATCTTTGTTTTCTCTTCTTATAAGGACACCTATTATTGGATTAGAAACCACTCTAATCTAGTATGATTTCATCTTAAACAAATTTAACTAATTTAAACTTAATTAATTTCATCTGCAGAGACCCTATTACCAAATAATGTCACCTTCTGAGGTTCTGCATGCATATGAATTTTGGGGTGACACTATTTAACCCAGGACGAGATGGGGTCATCCTGAGTCAGTTCACATGAAGTGTGGAGGGGTAAGAGACACAGGGAAGGAGGGCAGGTGTGTTGCAGGTTGGCCTGGGGCTGAGCGAGGAGCTGCAGGTAATATTTGGAAAGGAGCTGGGTCCACTCTAAGCCCAGGGGAAAAGAACACCAGGGAGAAGGGAACACAGGGCATTTCTTAGGAGCCCTGAGTGGAAGAACCAGATTACTGTCTGCCAGGGCCAGGGCACCAAGCTACCCAGTCCCCTGCAAACTGTCCAGTCCCCAGCCTGTGCTTGCAGGGTGAGGGTGGATAACAGAACCACCTCCTTTTCCCCTTCGCAGGTTCAATTGCAAATGCAACTGAAAGGAAGAGGCAACAAATGTGATACTTGGCTTAGAGTGTTGACTGTAAGGAGGACATATGCTAATATGTGTGTATTGATATGCACTATGCCCATGTATCCTGCAACATGGCATCATCCTAATTAAAGACGTGGGTCTATTTTAGCACTGGAATTGATCACAGAGCTTTTAATCATCTGAGAGTAGCCACGGTCAGCCAGTATTCCCATTCTTGGTCAGGGGAGGATTTCCACAATAGATTTTAAAGGGAGCACAAGAGACACAAAATGTATGTGGTGGGATTCTTGGTGAATTGATTTCTTTCTTTTTTTTTTTTTTGTAATCTGAAAGATCCTTTTACAATGTAATGCATTTTCTTGAAAATCTGAGTTCTGCCCCCACAGAAGCAAACCAGTGAAGAGTTGAAAATGGAATGTTCCTAACACCAGGTGTGGTTTGGAATGGAAAACAGTGACCTCACCCACCCTCTGAGACACCAGGGTGGTAGACTGGGTGATGTCCCAGCGGGCCCCAGTCCAAGTGAGGGGAAGCAGGCGAGGGGAGATGGCGTGGTGGGAAGAAAGGAGAGGAAGAGCAGGTTGAGAGATGCAGGAAGACGTCAGCAGCTGCAGCAGCCAGGAGAGCTCTATTTTGGAAGAAGCTGCGGCAGCTCCTGCACTTCTGTCCACAGAAGGACATGCATGTTCCAATTTAACTGTGATAATTGACTGGAACCTGGAGAAAATACCAAGCCTTGCTCTCGTCACCACGAGCCTGGGGCCCTGGGAGCCCACGGAGCCATGGTGCTTAACAAACTCTGCCACTGAGTGCCCTCTAGCTCGAAACACCCGGAGCAGCTGGGGAATCAACCTTGGAAACACAGCTTTGTTTCTCTCTCCCTCCTCCTCCAGTTTATTCACAAAGCCATTACCTCCCCCGCATCCTACTTCAGAGAAAAATAATTCTCAGATTTCCTGTCTGTTCATTAATTTTGTTTTCCCTTTTGAGGCAGGTTTTATCTGGCTTTTCAGGATGCCAATTTTCTGTTGAATGGAAGCCAAGGGAGTGTCTATTTGGATGTCAAAAGAAAGAATGCCAGGGTCATGGGCAAAGGGAAACTTGGAATGAACCCCAGCTCCTTGTCTAATTTCATGAACTGAAAACTTCAGGCCTCCAGTCTAGGATTTAGGCAAAAGTGTGAGTGTTAACCGGGTCCTTTAGGGTAAAATAATTCCACACCCGCATCTGCACAGCTTCTGTAGCTGCATCAGACTCAGAGAACCAAGGTCTCTGGATTTCCTTATGAAGCCACTCAATGCACGTTTTTTAGAAAGGCAGGCAGGACTGCAAGGGGGGCTTGCAATCATTCTGTAAGAAGCAAACACTGGGCCAGGTGCGGTGGCTCACACCTGTAATCCCAGCACTTTGGGAGGCTGCGGCGGACATATCACAAGGTCAGGAGATCGAGACCATCCTGGCTAACGTGGTGAAACCCTGTCTCTACAAAAATACAAAATATTAGCTGGGCATGGTGGCGGGCGCCTGTAGTCCCAGCTACTCTGGAGGCTGAGGCAGGAGAATGGCGTGAACCTGGGAGGCAGAGCTTGTGGATCCCACCGCTGCACTCCAGCCTGGGCGAGAGAGTGAGACTCGGTCTCAAAAAAAAATAAAAACAAAAAAAAGTAAAGAAGCAAACACTGACAACATCTGATAGCCAGAGAGGTATATCAGGCCAGCAGTGTGGCTATCATCTCCTTTGCTTCATATCTATCCAGAGAGCTGCAACTCCATTGATTGTTTTTTCTTTTAATACAGGGGAGAAGATAGGAACCAGAGAGCTAAAATGTTAAGTCTTGATTTTGCCTCTTACTAGCAATGCAGCAAGTTTTCTCTAAGTCATCTTTTCCTTATTTGTAAAATTGGGATAGTGATTGTAGCTACCCAGTAGGGTTGTTTTAAGAATTAAATAATATAATACATGTAAGATTCCTGCCTGGCCTGCAACATTCAACACGTGGCAGCCATTTGGATGGTTTGTGGTGGTTGTGGTAGATTGAAAAATGCCTTCCCCACCCACAAAGGTGTTCATATCCTCATCCCCAGAATCTGTGAATATGCTACTTCCATTTTGTTTGGGCTGCCATAACAAAATACAACAGGCTGGGTAGCTTAAGAGTAGAAAAGTATTTTCTTACAGTTCTGGAGGCTGGACGTCTGAGATCAAAGTGTCATCAGGTTTGGATTGTCCTGAGGCCTGTCTCCCTGGCTTGTGGGTGGCTGTCTTCTCCCTGTGTCTTCACATCATTTTTCCTCTGTGTGTCTGTGTCCTAATCTCATCTTCTTATAAGGACGCTACTCATGTTGACCCACCTATATGAACTCACTTTATTTTAATTACCTCTTTAAAGGCCCTCTCTCCAAATACAGCCACATTCTGAGAAACCAGAGATTAGGACTTAAACATACGGGTTTTGGGAGACACAATTCAGTCCATAACAGTTCCCTTACATGGTAAAAGGGGAAGGTCTTATTAGGTTAAGGATCTTGAGATGAGGAGATTATTCTGGATTATCCAGGTGGACCCAATGTAACCACAAGGGCTCTTCGAAGAAGGAGAGAAGAGAGTCAGAGTCTGAGAGAAAGCCGGCCATATGATGATGGAAACCAAGGCTGGAATTTCTCATGGAGAAGACAGAGAAAGGGACCATGAGCCAAGGAATGCAGGTGGCCTCTAGAAGCTGGAAACAACGTGGAAACATTCTCCCCTGGAGCCCCCACAGGAACCGGCCCTGCCAACACCTTGATTTTAGCCCAATGAGACCCATTTCAGATATCTGTCTTCCAAGACTGTAAGGTAATAAATCTGAATTGTTTTAATCTACTAAGTTTGTGGCAATTTGTTTAGCAGCAATAGGAAACTAATACAAGGATAACTACCAACTGCCCCCCCAACCCCAAATGTGTCACATGAATCATGACATTGGGTGACGCTATTTCTTTGAAAATAAATACACTTCAATTTTCAGAGAAGTTTTAGGTTCATGGTCAAACTGAGTAGAAAGGACAGAGTTCCCGTATACTCCCTGCTACCATGCATGCTCAGCCTCTCTCATATGAGATCAACAACCACACACCACAGTGGTGCATTTGTTACAACTGATGAACATGCACTGACACATCATCCCCCCAAATCTATAGTTTCATTAGGATTTACTCTTAATGTTGTGCATTTTGTGGGTTTGGACAAAAGTATAATGACATTTCTCCACCATTGTAGTATCATACAAAAGAGTTTTACCGCCCTAAAAATTCCCAGTGCTCCAACTAGTCACCCTTTCCTCTCCCCAACCCCTCACAACCACCCATCTTTCGACTGTCTCCATAGCTTTGCACTTTCCAAAATATCATATAGTTGGAATTGTACAGCATGTAGTCTTTTCAGATTAGCTTCTTTCACTTAGTAACATACATTTAAGTTTTTTTCCATGTCTTCATGACTTAATAGTTCATTTTTTTTTTGGCACTGAATAATACTCCATTGTCTGGATATGCCACAGTTTATTTACCCATTTATCTATTGAAGGACATCTTGGTTGCTTCCAGGTTTTGGCAATTATAAATAAAGCTGTTGTAAATATCCAAGTGTAAGTTTTCAAATCATTTGGGTAAACACCATGGAGCATGATTGCTTGATCTTAGGGTACAAGCATGTTCAGCTTTGTAAGAAACTATCAAACTGGCTTCCAAAGTGGCTGTACCATTTTGCATTCCCACAGTAATGAATGAGTGTTCTCGTTGCTACACATCCTCAAGAGCATTTGGAATTGTCTGTGTTTTGGTTTTTGGCCATTCTAGTAGATGTGTAGTGGTATTGCATTGTTGTTTTAATTTGCAATTCCTTAATGGCATGTGATGTTTAGCATTTTTTCATATGCGTATTTGCCATTTGTATATCTTTTTTGATGAGTTCTACTTACATCTTAAAGTTGAGTAGTATCAATCTTCTGGCTTTCTTGTCGTTCTTGATTTCTGTATTTGGGGTTTTCAGCATCTTTATATACACTTTAGAATCAGTATTGATATCACAAAATACCTTCCTTGGATCTTTACTGGGATTGTTTTGAATAATTCTAATTATACATTATTATATTTGATTTGTTAATATTTTGTTGAGAATTTTTGCATCTATGTTCAAGAGCGATATTGGTTTATATATTTTTTATTTTCTTGTAACCTCTTTGTTTGGTTTTGGTTTTAAGTTAATGTTGTCCTCATAGAATTAGGAAGCATTTCCTTTGCTTCTGTGTTCTAGAACAGACTGTAGAGAATTGGTATAATTTCTTCCTTAAATGTTTGGTAGAATTCACCAGTGAACCCATCTGGGCTTTGAGCATTCTATTTGGAAGGTTATTCATTATTGATTCTATTTCTTAATAGGTATAGGCTTATTCCAATTGTCTATTTTTTCATGTGTAAGTTTTGGCAAATAGTATCCTTTAAGGAATAGTTTGTTTCACCTAGGTTATTAAATTTGTGGGCTTAGATTTATTCATAGCATTCCTTTATTGTTCTTTTAATATCCATGGGATCTGTAGTGATGTCCCTTCTTTTATTGTGATATTAATGATTTGTGTTATCTCTTTTCTTTCTTTTCTTTTCTTATCTTTCTTTTCTTTTCTTTTCTTTTCTTTCCTTTGTTACCCTGGCTAGAGACTGATACATTTTACTAATCTTTTCAAATAACCAGCTCTTGGTTTTATTGACTTTTCTCTGTCGAGTTCCTATCCTCAATTTCACTGATTTCTGCGCTAATCTTTATTATATTTCTTCTGCTTACTTTGGATTTAATTTTCTCTTCTTTTTCTAGTTTCCTAAAGTGTAAACTTAGACTATTGATTTCAGATATTTTTTCCTCTTTTTCATATGCATTAAAGTTCCCCTTTAATGCATATGAAAGTTTTCCAGCACTCCACAAATTAAGTTGTATTTTCATTTTAATTAGTTCAATTTTTTTTTTGGAATTTCCCTTAAGAGTTTTTCTTTGACCCATTTGTGACTTAAAAGTATGTTGTTTAATCTCCAAGTATTGGGGAATTTTTCAGCTATCTTTCTGTATTAATTTCTAATTTAAATCCACTGTGGTATGAAAGCAGACATTGTATGATTTATATTCTTTTAAATTCGTTAAGGTGTGTTTTATGGCTCAGAATGTGGTACATCTTGGTGAATATTCCATATGAGCTTGAGAAGAATGTGTAATATGCTGTTGTTAGATGAAGTAGTCTGTAGATGTCAATTATATCCAGCCAAGTGATAGTGCTATTGAGTTCAACTATGTCCTTCCTGATTTTCTGCCTGCTGAATCTGTTCATCTCTGATAGAAGAATGTTAAAATCTCCAACCGTAATAGTGGATTCATCTATTTCTCCAAGCAGTTTTATTGGTTTTGGTCTCACATATTTTGATGCTCTTTCATTAGGCACATACACATGAATGATTGTTGTTTTCGTGGAATATTGACTCCTTCATCATTATATAATCACCGTCTTTAACCCAGATAACTTTCCTTGCTCTGAATTCTGCTCTGTCTGAAACTAATACAACGACTCCTGCTTTCTTTTGATTGGTGCTAGTATGATATATCCTTTTCCATAGCTTTACTTTTAACCTATACGTGTCTTTATATATTTAAAGTGGGCTTTTTTTAAACAAGATGTTGGGTCATATTTTGATCCATTCTAACAACCTCTGTCTTTAATTGATGTATTAGGTTGGTGTAAAAGTAACTGCAGTTTTTGCCATTAAAAGTAATAGCAGGCTGGGCGGGGTGGCTCACACCTGTAATCCCAACACTTTGGGAGGCTGAGACGGGCGGATCACGAGGTCAGGAGATCAAGACCATCCTGGCCAACACGGTGAAACCCCGTCTCTACTAAAAATACAAAAATTAGCTGGGCATGGTGGTGCGTGCCTGTAATCCCAGCTACTCGGGAGACTGAGGCAGGAGAATTACTTGAACCCAGGAGTCAGAGGTTGCAGTGAGCTGAGATCGTGCCACTATACTCCAGCCTGGTAACAGAGTGAGATTCCATCTCAAAAAAAAAAAAAAAAGTAATAGCAAAACCCACAATTACTTTTGCACCAATCTAATATTTAGGAAATTGATGTTTAAAGTGATTATTGAGATCATTGGACTAATATCTACCAAATTTGTTACTATTTTCTGTTTGTTGCACTTGTTCTTTGCTCTTATTTTTGTCTTCTACACTGTTTCTGCCTTTTATTTCAACTGAGCATTTTATATGATGCTATTTTCTCTTCTTTCTTAGCATATTATATTTCTTTTTTTTTCTTTCTTTACTCTTTTTAGTGATTACCTCAGAGTTTCCAACACACATAACAACTAATCCAAGTCCACCCTCAAATAACATTTTGCCATTTCATGGGTAATGCAAGTACCTTATAATAACAAAAAATTCCTAATTTCTCCCTCTTCTTCCTTGTGTCATTGTTGCCATTTATTTCATTTATACATAAGCATATTATAGATATATTAGAACACAATGTAGATATTATTATTCTGAACAAACTATTATCTGTTAGATCAAATAAGAATAAGAACAATAAAAGTCTTGCTTTGTCTCCACTTATTCCTTCTCCAATGCTCTTCATTTCTTAGTGTAGATACAAGTTTCTGACCTATAACATTTTCTTTCTCGTCAAACAACTTCTCTTAACATTTCTTTCAAAGGCAGGCGTACTGGCAACAAATTCTCTCAATTTTTGTCTAAGAATGTCCTTATTTCTTCTTCACCTAAGAAGGATAATTATATGCAGAGTAAAGAAGTGGGTTTCTTCTCTCAACATTTCAGATATTTCACTCCACTCCCTCCCTGCTTGCGTGGTTTCTGAGAAAACGTCACATGTCATTGTTATCTTTGCCTTTCTCTAAGTAAGTTGTTTTCTTCTTCTGGCTTCTTTCAAGACATTTTCTTTATCTTTGATTTTTCTGAAGTTTGAATATGATATGCCTGGCCTAGGTGTATTTCTTTTGGGTATTTATCCTGCTTGGTGTTCTCTGGGCTTCCTGGATCTGTAGTTTTGGCCTCTGACATTATTTTGGGGAAACTATCAGTCATTGTTGCTTCAAATATTGCTTTGTTTCTTCCCCTCTTTCTTTGTCTTCTAGTAGCCCCATTACACATACGTTATGCTTTTTGTAGTCATCTCACAGTTCTTGGAAACTCTGCTCTGTTATTTGTTTTGTTTTGTTTTTGGTTGGGGATGGGGAGTGGGGTTGGTCATTTTTTCTTTGCTTTCCAGTTTTGGAAATTTCTATTGACATATCCTCAAACTTGGAGATTCTTTCCTTGTCTGTATCCAATCTACTAATGAGCCCATGAACAGCATTCTTCATTTCTCTTTCAATATTTTTTATCTCTAGCCTATCTCTTTGCTTACATTATCCATCTGCTTTTGGATGTTGTCTATTTTTTTTCATTAAAGCCCTTAGCATATTGATCATAGTTTTGGAGTTCTAAAAATTATTCCTGTACTGAAAATTCCAAAATTCCTGCCATATCTGACTCTGGTTCTGATATTTGTTCAGTCTCTTCAAACTGTAGGGTTTTTTCCCTATTAGTATGTTTTGTAATTTTTTTATTGAAAGGTAAATATGATTCCTCGGGGTATTTTTCTCCAATGTTCACTGTGAGGATGCTAGAGCATCTCAGGGTGAAATACAAATATGTGGAGACTTCTTCTGAGTGTGTCCCCTGGAGTTTTTAAAACTCAGACCTGTCCAACATCCTGATCCATCAGCAATTCATCAATTACAGCTCAGCTTTCCCTACCCTGGCATGGTTTCCCCAGAGGTTTATGCTTGCGGATTTCTGCTCTGGAAAGTTGTGACTCTCTGTATCCACTCATCTATCTCTCCAACTTCACAATCAGAAAGTTCAAGATTTTTATTTTTATAGAAGGGATTTCCTCCCCGTCCAAGGGTTTGGTCAGGGTGAACCTATTAGCAAGTAAAATATTGATTGAGAAACTGATCATTTAATATATTAATATAGTCACATTCAAATAGGACTTTAGAAATGAGTAGACAGCATTTGAAATAAAATGGTCTGCACAACAAATAGCACAAAACAATAATGGACAGTGAAGGGAAATATTCAGCTCACTTTATTACTAACGAGAAAGTTAAGAAAATAAATGCTTGATACTTTGCATAACTTGGATCATAAAAGAATAATAGCCAAAGCAATCTACTACCAAGGAAGGAAAACATGGGGGTCCATCACGGACATCTGGGACCCAAACCACGTCCTACATTATAAGGGCACAAAAATACCAGGAGGAAGATGTAGAAACTTGAGCTGGGCAAGGAAGAGGTCAGCTCTGGGGCCCCACCCAGGAGTGATACAGAATATCCTGGTGAGGTGGAGGGCACAGATGAAGGTGGAATTGAAAGAGGGAACAAGAAAAAGTGTGGTTTGGGGGTATATATGCAAACTCAAACGTGTGCATTTGAGAAATCTGCGGGTCTCAGACTGTGGCTTCTGTCACTGACCTATTGCTGTTCCATGGAAATAAATGTGGTTGGAAAATAAATAAGAATGAGAAGGTTGAGGAGGTTTCTCTTTCTCTGCCTGTTGGTACCTCCAGGAAGACTGGTTCTTACCCTGGGGAGTCCTTTTGCAGGGTGATCTTGGGGGGCTGAACTGGGACTGTAGCAACTGTGAGAGTCCAGAGATGCAGCAGACACACTCCTGGCTGATTTGGGGAATTGGCTAGCACTGGATCGGGAAAGTAGGGGTGAAGTTGGTCAGCCGCCAAGTATGTGACCCTAGCTCTCAGAGCTCCCATGGTCAGTGGAGTGTGTAACTGCTCTGTGTGTCTAATGCTTCATGACTGATATGGACTGAATATTTGTCTCCCCCTCAAAATTCATATGTTGAAGCTCTAATCCGCAATATGATGGTATTTGGAGATGAAGCCTTTGGGGGGCAATTAGGTTTAGATGAAGTCCTGAGGGTGTGGCTCTGTGATGGGATTGGCGGGTATCCTTATAAGAAGAGGAAGAGGGGTCAGAGCTCCTGCTCTCTCCACTGTGAGCACACAGTGAGAAGTCAGCCACCAAGTCAGCCACCAGTCAGAAAAAGGGCATTCATCAGGAACCAAATCTGCTGGCACCTTGATGCTGGATATCCTGGCCTCTAGGACTGTGAGAGCCATAAATGTCTGTTGTTTAAGCATCCCAGTCTATAGCATCTTGTGATTGCCCCCCAAGCAGACTAAGACACTGCCATTGTTCCTTTGTCCCTGTGTGATCCTAGAAGCTCCCTACAGCTCACCCCAGTTAGAGATTTCATCTGTTCCTTGGACCAGTGGCCCCAGCCACTACCATAGCAACTATAGCTGCGCCCCGACTGTGCAACGCCACTTGCAGCCTGTGTTTAGACATCAGGACTCAGCCTGGTCTGCTAAATATCTGGAAGTGCCACTTTCTCACTCAAATTCTTCCTCTTGCCAAGCAGTCTGATCTGACAGGGGTCTTGAGCAAGAAAGAAAGATAGAACTTGTCATCTTTGCAGTACATAACATTCTATAGAGTAATTCATAACTTGCCCCTTTCCCACTTCTCTTACCTACATCCTTTTGTGACCACTAACATTCCAAAATCACTGAGGAAATGAAATAACATATTGTGAAATGCAATATAAAATTATTCTCATGATCAAAATTAAATATCTTGTTGCAACCTGGAAAGAAAAATAACACAGAACAGAATAGCCCTAGGAGGCTGCCTCCAAACTTGAGGAGGGCACCGGCTGATTTTCAGGCTAAGACATCACCAAAGGTGACAAGAACTGACCGTCCAGCTTCTCATACATGTGATAACCTGGGCAAGGGAGGAAAAATCTGGTGTACGTGTTGGCAACAAGTCAGACGACACTGAGACATTCCAGGGATAGAAAACAGGAAAGAACATTAAATATTTGAACTCTGGCAATTTTTAATCCCAGCTGTGAAGGGACAGGAGCGTAAACACAGTCCATTTATAAGGGGTGTGCACATTCCCAGGGGCTCCAAATAATGCAACATTGTTTCACTCGTCCATGCTGCTGATAGTTTCATAGTAAAAAAGTCACTCCAGACAGGTTGGCTCCGGTCACACCTGCCTCTGGAGAGAGGCCAAAATTGTTCTGCTGCAAGCCTCGCGGTGGCACCCAGACATTTTAATAGAGGAGCTTTCCATTGTTTGTATTGTGCCGTGATTTCTACAGAGGTGAGAGCTGAGAGGGAATCCTGGCAGTGCCCACATTCTGCAACTCCACAAGTGGGGACAGGTGTGCTCCACTCAAAAAAGCCACCATTCTCTTTGTTTAACAGAAAATTAATGACACACCTGGATTCCGGCTTGAAGGAAGTAGATCATGTTTGTTTTCAGAAACAGGCTCGGCTGAGGGTGCAGAGTATGTGGGTCCCACAGCCTCCGTCTGCATCTTCCATGACGTCTCTGTTGCTGCCTACAGCCGTGTTCCTTACTACGTGTGTTTCTATTTCTACTGGTCTGCTAATGCCCAAGGAAAGGCAGTGCTCTGAAAAGGCATGGGCTGAGCTGGGGCCTGGTAGCCAGGTTAATGATGGAATTGGCTCCCACCATCCCAAAGGACACATTTCTAAAACACATGAGATAGTTCCAATGCCAGTACCCCTTACACACCCCAGCACTCTCCTGGACCAATGATCGTTGCCAAGCAAAGATCTAATATTCCGATGCCAGTACCCCTTACACACTGCAGCACGATCCTGGGCCAACGACCATTGCTAAGCAAGGATCTAACATTCCAGGCCTAGTATTTGTTTGCTACTATTCTCTCTCTCCGGAAGAAAGTGAAATAAAAATGAAGAATATTATTGCCAACTTTCCAGAAGAAAGTGGAAGGAAAAGCCTTGGAAAAGGATGCTGAATTCAAAGATTAGCAGATTACAAAAATATGTAAATTAATATATATTACTTTATATATAGTTAATATTCTATTCAGACCATAAAGAAAAATCACACCTGCCTTCCGTGGATGTTTAAAGATGGGTCCTTTACAGAGGAAGTCAAATTGTCCCTGTTTGCAGATGACATGATTGTATATCTAGAAAACCCCATCGTCTCAGCCCAAAATCTCCTTAAGCTGATAAGCCATTTCAGAAAAGTCTCAGGATACAAAATCAATGTGCAAAAATCACAAGCATTCTTATACACCAATAACAGACTAACAGAGAGCCAAATCATGAGTGAACTCCCATTCATAATTGCTTCAAAGAGAATAAAATACCTAGGAATCCAACTTACAAGGGATGAGAAGGACCCCTTCAAGGAGAACTACAAACCACTGCTCAATGAAATAAAAAAGGACACAAACAAATGGAAGAACACTCCATACTCATGGATAGGAAGAATCAATATTGTGAAAATGGCCATACTGCCCAAGGTAATTTATAGATTAAATGCCATCCCCATCAAGCTACCAATGACTTTCTTCACAGAATTGGAAAAAACTACTTTAAAGTTCATATGGAACCAAAAAAGAGCCCGCATCGCCAAGTCAATCCTAAGCCAAAAGAACAAAGCTGGAAGCATCACGCTACCTGACTTCAAACTATACTACAAGGCTACAGTAATCAAAACAGCATGGTACTGGTACCAAAAGAGAGATATAGACCAATGGAACAGAACATAGCCCTCAGAAATAATACCACACATCTACAACCATCTGATCTTTGACAAACCTGACAAAAACAAGAAATGGGGAAAGGATTCCCTATTTAACAAATGATGCTGGGAAAACTGGCTAGCCATATGTAGAAAGCTGAAACTGGATCCCTTCCTTACACCTTATACAAATATTAATTCAAGATGGATTAAAGACTTAAATATTAGACCTAAAACCATAAAAACCCTAGAAGAAAACCTAGGCAATACCATTCAGGGCATAGGCATGGGCAAGGACTTCATGTCTAAAACACCAAAAGCAGTGGCAACAAAAGCCAAAATTGACAAATGGGATCTAATTAAACTAAAGAGCTTCTGCACAGCAAAAGAAACTACCATCAGGGTGAACAGGCAACCTACAGAATGGGAGAAAATTTTTTGCAATCTACTCATCTGACAAAGGGCTAATATCCAGAATCTACAAAGAAATCAAACAAATTTACAAGAAAAAAACAAACAACCCCATCAAAAAGTGGGTGAAGGATATGAACAGACACTTCTCAAAAGAAGACATTTACGCAGCCAACAGACACATGAAGAAACACTCATCATCACTGGCCATCAGAGAAATGCAAATCAAAACCACAATGAGATATCATCTCACACCAGTTAGAATGGCAATCATTAAAAAGTCAGGAAACAACAGGTGCTAGAGAGGATGTGGAGAAATAGGAACACTTTTACACTGTTGGTGGGAGTGTAAACTAGTTCAACCATTGTGGAAGACAGTGTGGTGATTCCTCAGGGATCTAGAACTAGAAATACCATTTGACCCAGCCATCCCATTACTGGGTATATACCCAAAGGAATATAAATCATGCTGCTATAAAGACACATGCACACGTATGTTTATTGCGGCTCTATTCACAATAGCAAAGACTTGGAACCAACCCAAATGTCCAACAATGATAGACCGGATTAAGAAAATGTGTCACATATACACCATGGAATACTATGCAGCCATAAAAAATGATGAGTTCATGTCCTTTGTAGGGACATGGATGAAGCTGGAAACCATCATTCTCAGCAAACTATCACAAGGACAAAAAACCAAACACCACATGTTCTCACTCATAGGTGGGCATTGAACAGTGAGAACACTTGGACACAGGAAAGGGTTGTGGGGTGGGGGGAGGGGGGAGGGATAGCATTAGGAGATATACCTAATGTAAATGATGAGTTAATGGGTTTAGCACACCAACATGGCACCTGTATACATATGTAGCAAACCTGCATGTTGTGCACATGTACCCTAGAACTTAAAGTATAATAAAATATATATATGTAAATATATATATATATATATATATAAAATAATAAAGATGGGTCCTTTACTAGACCAGAGTGTTGGAGGTTTTAGGGACAGGAGGCGATGCCGTGGAGAGACTACAGAGATGGAAGGGACTTCACAACCCGGACACCAAAACCAAACAAAGACGGCATAGAATAAACTACAGTCAGTTCTCACTTAGGGAGCTTAATATAAACAACCTGAATGAAACAGTGGCGTATTTACAGAGTAGTAAACCATGACCAAGTGGGGTTGTCCCAAGAAAGCAAAGATGGTTTAATAAGATGATTTGTTAACAATTCATTCTACTTTTTTTAATCAAAGAAGAACAAAATGAGATAATTTCAAGACATTTAATAAAGTTCAATATACATTTATGTTGTAAGCTCTTAATAGTGGAAGAACAGATGCAACTTTAATGTGCTTAAAAATATAGACCCTCGTACACCAAAACAGAAGTCAGCATTGTCCACGGTGAAACACTAAAATGCTTCTTAGAATGGAACGGGACACAGAGGAGTCTATCATCACCCTGTAATTTAGTCCTGTTGGAATAGACTCATCAAAGAAATAGGAAAAAGAAAGAAATAAAGTTTAAAAAAATGAAAAGAAGGCAAAATTAATATTATTTGAAAAAGTTATGGTTGTAATACATGGAATATTCAAGAGTGTCAGCTGAAAATCTATTATTAACACTACGAAAAGTCAGCAGGAAGAGAGGCCAAAATCCTAATATAAGTTAGTCAATTTTATATTATGAAATATAATGACAAAAGATCCCACTTATAATAACAATGAAAAGAATTATAGCAATAAATAAATCTTAAGGGAAATATGCAGAACACATATGAGAAAATTCTTAAACTCCAGAGGGGCATAAAGGAAGACTTTAGTACATGGAAATGTATATTTCAGTCTTATGGAGCAAAACTCAAAAATCCAAAAATGTCATGTTTTTCTAACTTAATTTGTAAATTTGATGTAATTAATTTGATTTGAAATGCTATCAGAGTTTTCTTCATAACCTGACAAGCTGATCCTACAGTTGAAATAAAATAAGCATATGAAAATATTCAGGAAAGTTCTGGAAAAATTATAGAAGAATCAGAGTGAGATAGGGACTAGCTTTATCAGACATTTAAAAGCTGTAACAAGTAAAGCAGTTTGCTATGGAGCAGAATTAAATAGTCACATCTACACCCAGGCACAAATGACTGATAATGACTTAGTGTAATATTCATCCAGGAAATAGTTTTCAAGGGTTCATGATGTCTTCAGACACTGCCATGGTAATGCATGTGGGTTTCAGTCCCCAGCAGGAGACTGTGATTAGTTTGGGAGATTCTCACATCCTCAAATTCTTTCACTGCTCAATCAACCCCAAAGCAGACCCGGCTCCAGGAACGGAACCAATTTGGAGCACATTTCTAAGTGGCTTGGGGAACAGAAGCCCCAGTCCTCTGGATCTCTTCCTGGCAATACCTGCTTTGATAGAAAGCTCGCTTTGCTATAGATTCCCTAGACTGCGAAACCTGGAGGAAAAGCAGCAACAAGGGTATTTTATGGGGACACTGATGACTGTGATACCTCTTACTCCTTAGCCACCAGATAATTCTTTTACTAATAAACTTTATTTTTTAGACCAGTGTTAGGTTTCTTAAAAAGTTGAGCAGAAAATACAGTGAGTTCTCAGATAGCTCCTTCCCCCACCCTAAACCTCACCCCACAGAATTTCCTCTACCATTAACATCTCGCACGAGTGTGGAGTATTAGGGTGTGCGCTCTGTGTCACACATCCTCCGGGTTTTCACAGTGCATAATGTCATGCATCTCCCATTTCAGTATCATACAGAGCAGTTTCACTGTCCTGAAAGTCCCCTGAGCTCCATGGATGATTTTTCAAAATTAAAATCAGAAATAGGCCGGGTGCGGTGGCTCACACCTGTAATCCCAGCACTTTGGGAGGGCGGATCACGAGGTCAGGAGATCGAGACCATCCTGGCTAACACGGTAAAACCCTGTCTCTACTGAAAATACAAAAAAATTAGGCAGGTGTGGTGGCACACGCCTGTAGTCCCAGCTACTCGGGAGGCTGAGGCAGGAGAATGGCATGAACCTGGGAGGCAGAGCTTGCAGTGAGCCGAGATTGCACCATTGCACTCCAGCCTGAGTGACAGAGCGAGACTCCGTCTCAAGAAAACAAACAAAGAAACAAAAATTAGACATAAAGAGAAAAACAGAGCTCTTCTGACACTGAACTGCTTGCTTTTCTAACAACAAGAAATTTACAACCATTTTAAATTGACCTGAAATACGCCAGTCACTTTGAGAGTCCTCAACTCCTAAAATCCTTAGCTAACACCAATCTTATTAGTTTCTCATCAAAAAATTTCATAGTTAATGTTACTTTAAAAACAACAACAACAACAACAACAACCAGGCAACGAAAGAAAAAGTCTTACAGGAAAAATAAGGCATTTATTACAGATTGAAACTGATCAGAAGAAAAATCACAGAATTCACAAAATCATTCTTTGTTGGAACTTTTCTTCCTTCCATTGCATTTTGCTGTTAAGAGAAAAGGAGTGTGAGGGTCAGACCACCGTGGCATGCGTTCACATTCCAGCTTTGGAGGCCAGGGACCCAGGACTCCTGGGAATTATTCAAAACCAGATCCGATGATACCAGACACTAGAGCAGCTATGCAAAGCAGCAGCTCCTTGAACAAACCAAAAGGGCGAGGGACACCTGCAGGAGGAAGAACAGGTAACTGGGTCTGGGGAGCAGATACACAACCCCAGAAAGGAAGCTCAAATCTCTCATAAAGGGAAGAATCAAAGAGACCCCAAGCAGAGGCTGCAGCCAGGTGTTGGGCCCCAGGCAGGTCTATGAAGGTGTTTGTGGTGTGAGGTAAGGAAGGAAGGAACCAAGCAAAAGCAAAAGAGTAGGTTGGCCACAGCTGCCACCGTGTGCGGGTGTGGGGCTGGAGATCAGGATACGCCATCCAGCCATTCATCCATTTATCAGTTCATCTGTTCAATAAACATGTATGCACTGAGCATTTGCTGGGGGTTACAAAGATCAATGAGGCATAGTTTTGACCTCAAAAACCTCCCACAACCTAGTGAAGGGGGTGGAAGTAGTTAGAGTACAGCTTGATAAATGCCAATTCCAGAGACGCCTATGTGCAGGAAACCCGAGGAAAAGGGTTCCTGAAGAGGGCATGTAAGCTGAACTCGGAGGATAAGATGGGGCGGGGATACTGTATCCCAGCAGAGGGGGCCTGAGAGTGGAGGTGAGACCCAGACTGGGACCCCGGGAGAACAGTCAGCTGTGTGAGGTTCTCCCATGTGACTCGGGAGACAGAAGCAGCACTCAAGGCTGGGGACAGTGGGCGCACACTGTCGGGTGTGTGGGCGAGGACTGTTGAGGCTCACACTCTGAGGGAGCTCATCCCCATCCTCCAGCACAGCAAGACCCCAGACTCATTATAAGATGACTCTGATGACAGTGCACAGGTGCCTTTGAGGGAAACAAGACACAGCCACCAGGAAAATGCTGAACATAGCAGGCTAGAGATGCAGCTGGAACTGGAGCCAACAGCTCGAAAAGGACAGAGCTGTGAAACATTTCGGAGCAAGGATTAGCAGACCTCGGTGACCAACTGGGTGAGGTGGGGAGGAGGTCTGAGATGCATCTGCTTCAGGCCTGGGGGACCTTGGAAGATGAGTTGGAGACAGGGGGAAGAGTGAGTCTCCGAGGGAAGAATTGCATTTTGAACGTGGTGTGGAATACCCAGACGGAGGTGTCTGGCAGGCTGCCATTGATTGGAGTCCAGGCTGGAGGGACAGTGTGGAGGAGAGGGGGAAGAATCCCCAGACAGCTGGGTGTCAAAGCCCTGGGGGTGCTTGGCATCACCCAGGAGAGGGAAGGCCATGAGCAGAAGGAGAGCTGAGGCTGGAACCCTGGGTAACATCATGGTTTCAGGGGCAGCAGGAAGAAGCCGGTCTGTGAAGAGTAAGAAGTCTTGGCCTGAGAGGGGACCAAATCTCAGAGGTCAGAGGGTTTCAAGAAAGAAGGAGTGGTCACCCACATCCAACGCGGCCGTGAGGTCCAGGAGGAGAAGGGGTGGACATGGGGATAGGACAGCAGTGAAGTGGCTACAGAGCAGGGCGGTGACGGGTGCAGGAGGAGAGACTGCCTGAGGCCCTGGGGAACTAATGCAGATGGTGTTTTTAAAAAGACAGGATGAGAAGAGATCAACGGAGAGTAATGAGAAGCTAGGGATAAACGAGGGGCCAGGAACCCACTCAGCAGTCAATCCTCATTAGTCACAGATGCTGTATTTGTGAATTCGCCTACTCACTGCTCACTAACAGTTATTTGAAACCCCAAAATCAGTACTCATGGTTCTTTCTCACTCATTCTCAGACAGGCACGGAGCAGCAAAAACTTGGAGTCAACCTACCCACACCTTCCCAGCTGAGGTCAAACAAGGCAACGCTCTGCCTCCATGTCTCAGCTCTCCTGCTGTCAACAAGTGTCCTTTTCACGGTCTATTTAGTGCCCCATTTTTTTTTTTTTTTTTTTTTGCATTTTTGTGCTTTTTGTTGATGACGTCACTGTTTAAAATAGCCCCAAAGTATAGTGCTGTCAAGTGTTTCTAAGTGCAAAAAGGCTGTGATGTGCCTTACAGAGAAAATGTGTGTGTTAGAGAAGCTTCATTCAGGCATGAGTTATAGAGCTGTTGGCCAAGAGTTCATTGTTAATGAGTCAACAGTATCTATTAAATACGGCATCTAAACAGAAACACACATAAAGCAAGGTTATAGACTAATCAGTTGAGGAAAACGTTGGGAACAGAGGCTCAGAGAATTCTAACCCTGCATTGCCTATATGAGCAATAGTTTAGTATTCACTAATTCAATGTTTGAAGCAGCTTTATAGACCATAGCTGCCTCAGATAATAAGAACCAACTCTACTTGGTGCAGCAATTAATACAGTGTCCTGTGAATGTGAATCAGAGTAAGTGTAAATGAATACAACTGCACATAGCCATGTCTCTGCCACTGGAGTCTCGGTTGGATCTTTTCTGTCTTCCGTGGGGCATCTGGCTCTCTTCAGTAGGGGGGCTGTCAAGGGAGACCATGACAAGAAGTTGTCACGAATGAGTCTGACACCTGAAAGTGGAAATCACTCAGAAAGCTGGCGGTGGTGGTGCAGGTTTTAGGGACCGGTCCTTCCACATAGTTGATGATAAGCAGATATGTTGCTAACACTTCCTATCAATTAAAGTCTTTGCCATCTAGTTGGTGACTACATTTCTAGTTTCACCCAACGCATGACAAATGCTTCTTAAACAAATAAGTCTTGAAGTTTTGCCCTCTCATACTATTTTTTTAAATACAGAGATATGAGAAAAACAGGGAGGAAAAGGGAAGAGGCTTTGGAAACAGACAGACATCAAGAGTTCAATTCCAATCCCAACATTATCTCTGAGGGCAGGGGCCTCTAAATGCCTCTGCTTCCTCCTCAATGAAACAGAGAGAATAAAACTTCATTTGATTGTTCCAAGGTTTATGCAAGAGAATGTATGAGATGGGTCCAAACACAGGCCCAGGCATACTTGAGAGCTGTAATATTCATGGGCACAGAGGCCAGGCATAGAGGGGCATTTAATGAACATTTGTTGAATAAATGGATAAAATCATGAGAATGATTCTTTTTACTGTGCCCTTATTGACAAAAGGCCTCAATAAGAACTGCCCCCTTTGCTGCTCTTGGGCATAGTTTAGGAACTTCACACTAATAATCAAGATTGTGACATAAAGAAAAATGCATCACTCATGCAGCTATGGTTTGGGTGCTGAGGGTCTTCTGGCCACTACATAATTGAAAAGTCAGAACTATTCCAGCTACAAAGATAAGAAAGTCTAAGATTCTCAAAGAGATTTTTTCAACATGAGAGTTGGGACCTGATTTTCTACATTTCCTACCTTAGAGCAATAAATAAGAAAAAAATTCAGAGTATTTTATTTAAATATTACATTTCACTATCTACTCATATATTAAATCATTTTCTGGCAACATGAAAGAGTCCTAGAACAGTGTTTAGGGCTCTGGGGATTTCATAACAAATAGCCCAAGTCTCTGCCTTCAAAGAGCTTCCCAGTGGAAAAATGACACTCACAATTTCAAAAGAGTAATTTTGTTTCTGGTCATGCACTCATTCATTCTTCCCTCCCAATCTGATTGATTGTATTCTATACACTGTTCTTAGCCTTATGAAATGGACAAAAGATATTTTTAATAATTTTGTATAGACATATCATTAATAATATTTTTACATGTTGTAAAACTGCAATAATTAACAAGGAGAATGCATCCTCAAGAAGTTTATGGTCGGCCAGGCGTGGTGGCTCATGCCTGTAATCCCAGCACTTCGGGAGGCCAAGGCAGGTGGAGCACTTGAGGTCAGGAGTTTGAGACTAGCCTGGCCAACATGGTGAAACCCCATCTCTACTAAAAATACAAAAATTAGCTGGGCGTGGTGGTGGGCACCTGCAATCCCAGCTACTCACGAGGCTGAGGCAGGAGAATCGCTTGAACCTGGGAGGCGGAGTTTTCAGTGAGCAGAGATTGTGCCACTGCACTCCAGCCTGGGCAACACAGCAACACTCTGTCTCAAAATAAAAAGGAAGCTTATGGTCTAGTATGGACAAGAAAAAGCAAAAAGTAATAATAAACCCTTGAAGGAATTGCACCCTGAGAGGTTAAGGAACTGAATCACCATTACAGATGGGAGAGCAGGCTCAGAACCAGGCCCGTGGATTCCAGATCCCATCGGATTGACCTCCTCACTAGACCCACTATGCCGGCCTTACCAGCCTCATTCTGTGATTTCAGGGAACCCAGCACAGTGTAGAAACCTGCCCTGCTAAAGGTCATGGGAGGGCAGAGACATAACTGGGACTTCAGTCAAATCCAATGTTCAGGTCAGGGCTGCAGCTGTCTTTAAAAATAAATGTTTTGAGTGATCAATTTCTTCATAAAAATCAAATGATGAATTTATATTGCAATACACATATGTATACACATCCAACGTTATCATATTACTAATAAACAAAATACAGCCAATCCATTGAGAACTCTATTCTCCCTGCCCATAACCCATGATGTTCTGTAAAGAAAAAAAAAAGATATCATTTACATTTATAAAAAAGGAATATGATGCATCTGTTGCTTCATAATGAGTAGATTCTTGATCTCAGTATGGAGCTGGTTTTTATATTTAGAGTTGTGCCATACATTAAAAAGAAAAGCTACCATTTGTGTCTTTCATCCAAGAAGGCCTCAATGGTGAATTTCCCTTCTATTTTAGTAAAATGTCAGTTGATTTCTTTCAAATTTCAATGGTTAAAAATTAATTATACCATGCTTAACTGATGTTTTTGGTAAAAGGATTTCAAGAACCCAAAGTGAAGGATTTCATTCACTTAAAAAATATTTACTGAGTGCTATTTATTGAGTGTGCTGGGCTGTGTGCAGGGCACTGCGGGACAGTGGCAGTTGAAGTTCCTTGAGACCTCCTCTTGGGAAGTCTGTTAGTCAGATGGGTGACAGGAAACAACCAATGGCAGTGCCCTGTGATGAGGAACCTACAGAGGCCCAAAAAGGGACATCATCTCTGATTCAGTGGTGGTGGTTTGTGGTGTCAACGTAGACCTCCAAAGGGAAGTGACAACTGAGCTGGGACCTGAATGGTGAGGCAGAACTAGTCAGGTGGCTGGTCCCAGTAGAGGCAGCAGCCAGAGGAGCTGCAAGTACCTCAGTGCCTCAGGAGCTGAGCGGCCAGGTGAGGCTGGAGATGTGGGCAGACCCAGGTCATGAAAGCCATTGTGAGCTACACTGGGAGTTTGGACTTTATCCTGAAAGCATGCAGTGTTATGCAGACTGTAAAGCCCGTGAACACTCCAACTTCATTATTAACTTGTGTGTGCACATGTGCGCATGTAAAATACCTATGCATGGAATCGACATCTATAATTCCATCTTGAGATTCCTCTTACGTGTGCCCTTCATGATAGCTACATTTGCTCCAATCCCATCCCTAGTAACTGGGAATTTATACTCATGTGAAACTCTATGAAGCTCAGTGCCAGTATGATAAACCAGGACTCTGTCTCTAGCTTTCTATAGAACTGGGGCAGATAGGCTGTTCCTCCTCTTGGCCCAGTGTCTGGCTGTTGCCCACCTCTGCTCAGTCCCACAAGTGAAGCAAGCATTAGTTTATATGGGGCAAGGATCAGAGTCTCCTCCATGTTTCACGATAAACCTGAGGACAGCAAGCAAGGTAGACAGTATGGGATCAGAACCTGATGCAAGAATACAATCAATAGTTCATTGGTGATGGTAGTGAAGTGATGGAGCAATGCCAGAGAAATGTGGGGGTGAAATGAATAAGACTGGACCCCAATGTATGTTCCAAGAAGATGAAGGATGAAGGGGAGTCAGTGATGCCCTCAAGATTTTTAGCTTGAGCAAATTAGGTGGATGGTAATGCCATCAATTAAGAAAGGGAGCTTGTCAGGAAGCTAGTTGAGTTTCAGGGACACCCAGGATACACAATGGCAACACCACCCAAGAGGCAGTTATAAAGGCCTGGATCCAGACATAGAGTGTGGTAAGAGACATGTGTTTGGAAATAATTATGCATCATTGATAGTTAAAGTCAAGCAAGAAGAAGAGATAAAAGAGTAATCTACAGCATAGGGAAAGAATTAAACTAAGGAGATCATACGAATGCTCACCAGTATTTAAAGCATACGTCGGCCAGGCGTGGTGGCTCACACCTGTAATCCTAGCACTTTGGGAGGCTGAGGCAGGCAGATCACCTGAGGTCAGGAGTTTGAAACCAGCCTGGCTAACATGGTAAAACGCTATCTCTACTAAAAATACAAATATTAGCTGAGCGTGGTGGCAGGAGCCTGTAATCCCAGCTACTAGAGAGGCTGAGGTGGGAGAATTGCTTGAACCCAGGAGGCAGAGGTTGCAGTGAGCCAAGATCATGCCATTGCATTCCAGCATGGGCAACAAGAGCGAAACTCCCTCTCAAAAAATAAATTAATAAATAATAAATAAAGTACACATCCAGAAAAGGAAGCTAGATGAGATTTCATAGATGTGAGGTGAGGAGGTTGAGGAAGCAACCAGAGACCGCAGTTGTGTCAAAAAGTTTAGCAAGGAAGGAAGGACGGAGGGAAGGCAGTTGCTTAGATGGATGAGATGGGCCAAAAGAAGGGGCTGTGCCCTTGTTGTTTGTTTGCTCCTCACATGGACAGACTTGACCACATCAGTGGCAACAGATACAAATGTCATGGGAAAAAGATTGAGGGTGCATGAGATTGAAGAGGCAATTGAGGAGAAGTCTTGGGAAGGAGGTCAGAGAAGCCGAAAAGCAAGGATTTGAATAGCATATTGCAGATATTTGAAGGTCAGCAGTTTTAAGGCGTTCACTCCACGTAGCTTCTATTTCTAAATACACTTGTGTGCACCTGCATTTTCTTACCTCAAGGCCGTTACTCAAAGTCAGTATTTATTCTTGCTCTGTGCCGGTGGTTTGGGTACCTTCTGTTTCCAGGAGGCAATACCCTTCTCATGATCCCTAAAGATAGAAAAGGGAAGCATAGGCTCTGTCAGTCACATCAAGATCTGAGACAGTGTGGACAATGTTACTACAAATTAATGAGGAGGATTGTGACAAGCATAACCTGAACCCATCTGCCATGAGAATACCTGAGGGTGCGATAACTTCATCTTCCTTATTCCATTCTCTCTCCTTCTCCCCCGTGTTGTGTTTCAGCTTGGTCTAGCGCTCATTTCTCCCCACTCCTTATTACTACATGTGATGTCTCAGCCACCATGGATGCCCTGGAGGGCAGGAACTGCCACATTTATCTTTCAGTCCTCCAAGGGATCTACCCAGTGTTTGTCACACACATTTATTGAATTAAATTAAATCATCATGTTCAAAGCAGTCTCCAAGACAGCCGCACTTCTGTGTCAATGATGCTCCCCCAGGCCCAATGTGTTTTTAGATTTTGGCTTAGAAATTTCTTCTGAGATATATAAAAGAATTGGTCACATTAATTTATAGCCATATAATATTTTTAGTCCCAAATGGCATTTGTCCAATACAATAATCAGTTTCCAAGATGGCTTCCTGGTATTCACACTCCTGGGCAGTCCCTTCCCACATTGGGGCAGGATTGGCCTGTGTATTTAATAATAGATTATGCAGAAGTGATGATATATCACTTCCAAGATTAGTTTATAAAAGACTGTGTCTTCTGCCTTCAGTGCTCTTGCTTGCTCATTCTCTCTCTCTCTCTCTCTCTCTTTCTCTCAAATAATCATCTCTGGGGGGATCCAGCTGTCATGATTTGAGGACATTCAGAAGTCTTATGGAAAGGTCATATGGTAAGAAACTGAAGCCCTTGGTCCAACAGCCTGTAAAGAACTGAGGCTTCCCAACAACATGTGAGTGGGCTTGGAAGTGGCTCCTTCAACCCCAGTCAAGCTTCAGATGAGATCACAGCCCAGTCAACGTCTTATCTGAAACCTTTTGATAGACTCTGAGCCAGAACCACCCAGCTAAGTTTCTCCTTGGTCTTTGACCCTCAGAAACTGTGAGATAATAAATGTGTGTGGTTTTAAGCTGCCACATTTTGGGGTAATTTGATATATAGCAATAGATAACCAACACACCCAAGTTGATTATTAATCTGATTAATCAGATTTGTCTCCAAATATCTTTTGAATATTCCCAACATCAAATCCAAGGGCAAATGTTTGCCACCAGTACGGAGATTTAAAAAAAAAAAAAAAAAGCCATGGATTCTGAAGGCAATTCTAAAAGAAAAGCTCATAAAAACGTTTCAGCAGTGGTCATGCTGTCATAATAACTGTATATTCTCCCAAAGTGACAACTTGGATGAGATATAAAACAGGCATTAAAAAAAAATCAAGCATCAGGTTATAAGCTCTAGCACTTCAAATAAACTGGAGTTTGCCTAATGAAGGTCAGACTTTGAGCTCATTGAAATGTTAATATCTCTGTTATTCATTTTAATGGGGAATGCTGAACATCAGGTGGATTTCGCAGTTCTTCTGGGAGGCAGCATGAAACAGGCACAGGTTTTAGATTCTGACAAATCTGATTAAAGTCCTACATTGGCAATGTAGCCACAAGCAAATTACAGGAACTCACTAAGCCTCAGTTAGCTCACCTACAAAATGGGAAAGAACATAGTGCTACCTCACAGAATGTTTGTGACACTGAAGAAGAAAATTGTGTTAGGCAATTAGTACAGGGTAGACAATTTGCATATGCCATTTAATGCCATGAGTTCTTACTGCTTTATTCGTCTATATAAGCAGGTAACACACGTGGTTGACAGGGCTATCATGAGGACCAAATGAGAAAACTGATCTGTACAGGAGAGGGACAAAATAACTTTGTTTCATCCATTTGGTGAGAAATTTGGTTGAGTATGGCAAAAAGAAGATCATTAGACACATTGTATGCCTGTATCAAAATATCTCATGTACCCCATAAATGTATATACCTCCTATGTACCCATAAAAATTAAATTTTTTAGTTTAAAAAAACAAGATTATATTAGAGTTCATGCTACTTTTTAAATGCTCCAGAGAGTGTCAGAAAAAAAAAATGGTGAATGCTTATTTCCTGAGCCAGATTTGATATTTTGATTCTTGGTAACTTTTTTTTTTTTTTTTTTTTTTTTTTTTTTTGAGACGGAGTCTGGCCTCTGTCGCCCAGGTTGGAGTGCAGTGGCGCAATCTCGGCTCACTGCAAGCTCCGCCTCCCGGGTTCACGCCATTCTCCTGCCTTAGCCTCCCGAGTAGCTGGGACTACAGGCGCCCACCACTACGCCCGGCTAATTTGTTGTATTTTTAGTAGAGACGGGGTTTCACCATGTTAGCCAGGATGGTCTCGATCTCCTGACTTCGTGATCCGCCCGCCTCGGCCTCCCAAAGTGCTGGGATTACAGGCGTGAGCCACCGCGCCCGGCCTCTTGGTAACTTTTAAGTCAGTTAGTGCCTCAAGGCTACCTTTTTAATGATTTGCAAAGCAAGTTTATACATTACTATTCTTTTCCTTTTTTACTTAAAATATTTTGTATTTCAGAGATTTAACTCCTATGAAACAGGAAACAGCTATGAAATAGGATTTCTCAGGAGTCCAGATTGATCAGAAAAGGGTCTGGTGGCACAGCAGGAAAGAAATCACTTACCAAGTGACCGATCATAAAATTGTTCACTTATGGACTCGTCTGAAATGAGACCTGTAACACAGTAATAATCATAAGACAAGACTCCTCTCACTGTTCCAGAATGTTCTATGACTTTACTGTTAATGCCACAAATATGCTTCTTAAGCAAAGAAGCAGTGAGAGATCACCATTGAGTTTTATTGCCGTCAGCACTAATAGGAAAAATGCCTCCTAAATCATAGAACACTAACCCAACCCACTTTGTATTAAAAGCCACACAAGAAAAGAAAGAAGGAGAGCCCTTCCTCCCTGAACTAAGACATTCAAAGAGATGATCAGATCTAGTTGTATGGCTGAAAGACGATAGAATTCAGACTGTTTACTCCTGATCCTCCCAGCTAGACATTCTTAAGGGGAAAACCAACACTGGCTCCGCTTACTTGGCAGAGATGTTGGGGCCATCAAATGGAATTATGTATGGAAAAGCTCTGTTGTGAATACAAAGGAATATCTAAGTGAATAGTTGTATCATTATTACCTAGTGATAAAAAATAAGCAAAAGCAAAACAAAATGTTAATTTTCTATGGCTGTAATTGTTGCAAGATTACATACATATGTATTTCTAGTTTTAAATGACTCACTAACAAAGAGTTGCAATATGGAGTTATTTTAAGAAAAAAAGTTAAAAAGAACAGATCTTAACTTACCAAATAGATAATTGTTTCTCCATTTATGAGATCCCAACATGTCCCCAAAAATCATCTAAAGAAATTCAGGCATCAGGATGTGTCAGCACATGAAAGAAAGAAAAAGGAAAGACACTGAAAAATGTAAATGTCATCTGGAAGACTCTGATATATGTTATATAATCCATTTTTAATGAAATAGGCAATACGTTATATTAAATAACTTTATATATATCAAACATATAAGTCTAAAAAAGCACATGGGGAAGAGCAAACTACGTGAAGTTTAAATTACCCACAGATCTTTCCCCTAGACTGAGAATGTACTCCCAAACATTGCCGGCTTCCAGAAAAGCAAAACCCTGTTACACAGACTTGCACACAGACTAAGTTTAGATCGAATTTTAGAGGTTTCTCTCTATAAAGTCACTGTAATATGTTCAGTAGGAAAAGGTGTCCACAAGAAGTTTTCATGAAACCACTAAAAGTCCATGCAATCATCACAAAGTAAAGTGGTTGCTTGGCTCGCAGTCTTTCTACCAAGAGTCTTGGTAGGCTGTCCTCCCTGTCCTGAACAGTCAGGTAATTTCTTGGCCTCCATCACAGTAGTTGGACTGGGAAGGGACACATACCAAGACAATTTAAGAGAGAAAGAACATTCTTTTCAACAGATAGTGCTGATACTACCAGATATGCACATGCAAAAGAATGAAGTCAAACCCCTTCCTCACAACATATGCAAAAATCAAGTCAACATGGATCATAGACCTAATGTAAGACTACAGAAACAACAAAACAAAAAATAGATAAACTGGAGTTCATCAAAATTTAATTTTGCTCTTCAAAGGGCACCATCAAGAAAGTAAAAGACAACCCATAGAGGGGGAGAAAATATTTCAAAACAACTAAATAAAAAGACAAATAGTGCAATTAAATCATAGGCAAGGATTTGAATAGACATTTCTTCAAAGAAGATGTATAATGGCCAATCATTAGTCGTTAGAAAAATGTAAATTAAAACCACAATGAGAGCTAGGCACAGTGGTTCATGCCTGTAATCCCAGCACTTTGGGAGGCAAGGCAGGCAGACTAGCTGAGGCCAGGAGTTGGAGACCAGGCAGGCCAACATGGCAAAACCCCGTCTCTACTAAAAATACAAAAATTAGCCATGCATGGTGGCACGCACGTGTAGTCCCAGCTTCTTGGGAGGCTGAGGCACTACAATTGCTTGAACCCAGGAGACAGAGGTTATAGTGAGCCGAGATTGTGCCACCGCACTCCAGACTGAGTGACAGAGTGAGACTCTGTCAACAACAACAAAAAAAACTACAATGAGATACCACGTCACACTCACTAGAATGGCTAAAATAAAAAAGACAGGCACCAACAAGAACTGACAAAAATGTATAGAAACTGAAATCCTCATACATTACTGGTGGGAATGTAAAATGGTACAGCTGCTATGGAAATAATGTGGCAGTTCCTCAAAAAGTTAAACATAAAGTCACTATACGGTCATTAAACATAGAGTTACTATATGATCCAGGAATTCTGTTTCCAAGAGAATTAAATACATGTGTACACAAAAACTTGCACATGAATGCTTCTAGCCTCATTATCTATGATAGCCAAAAAGGGAGAAATAAGCAAAATGTCGATCAATGAATGAATGGATCAATCAAATGTGGCTCTGTAAAACGGAACAATACAAAGGAATGAAGCATTGATGCATGCTACAACATGGATAAACCTCCAGAACATTATGCTAAGTGAAACAAGTCAGTCACAAAAGAATACAGGCTGTACGATTCCATTTGTATGAAATGATCAGAATGGACAAATCCATAGACACACAAAGTAGATTAGTGGTTGCCAAGTGTTAGGAGGAATGAGGAATAGAGAACAACTGTTACTGGGGTCTCTCTCCCGCGTGATAAAAGTGTTCTGGATTTAAATGGTGGTGGCAGTTGTGAATATGCTAGAAACCACTGAACTGTACATATTAAAAGGGTGAATTCTATGGTATGTAAATTATATCTCCACCAAAATGTATTTTTAAAGGGGGGTATCAAAACATCACATTGTACACAAGTAAATATATAAAATTTAAAATAAATTAATAATAAAGTTATATGTATAAAAGAACAAAAAGAGGGGACACCTAAGCCAGGCCAATAGAGGGAATACCAAGAGGTTTCTCTAACTGGCAGCAGAGAGAAATGCCTCTTTTCCCTCCTAAGTACAGAGGACATAAGTCTGGAGTAGCTTGAGGCTTTACTTCCTGCTGCAAGGGGAAAGCCTCTCTGCAGCAAGGGTGGACGTGGAGTGCAGAAGGCACAGTGACAGAGAGAGAGAGAGAGACAGAGGAAGGAGGAGAAGATGGAGGAGGCTCAGAGAAGGAAGGAGAAGGAGAGGGAGAGGGAGGAGGAAAGGGAGGAAGAGAGAGAGAGAAAAGGGAATGAGGGGGAGAAGGAAGAGGGAGGGGCAGAGGGGAGGGGAGGCCAGGAGAGAAGGGGAAGGAGAAGAATGTGGCACATACAGGACTGAAGGACTCTAAGTCGAGTTGTCCCTGAAGCCAACTTCTCTCCTTCCTTTCTGGGAATGTGATCCAGGGAATTACCTCTTTTTGGCTTAGACTACTTCTAGTTGAATATCTATCTTTTGAAATGAAAGGCAGTAAATAAATTAAATGCCCGTCACCCCTCCCGTAAGCTCAGAATTCCTGTCATCATTCTTCTTCAGTTTCTCTCTCTTATTTTGGGTCTCGTGTCGGAAACCCTAGCTGACTTCATCCTATCCGCTCCAAATCAGAAGGATTTGTCTAAAGTCAAGCTCACTCATTAGAAACTGAAGAAAGAGAAAGAGAGCTCCAACCTACAACTGTAATACATTGTACCATTTCAGCATCGTACTCCTGATGGGGCCTGCACCAGTACGAGGTTGAGTGAGTGCTTATGCACCATAAGGAAAGCTTTTATCCTCTACACATTTCAATTTCGGGATTGAAAAAGAAATAATAAAAACTACCGATAATTCACCTATCTATTTAGTTAACTATAGGAGAATATTTGCAAATTTAGAAATTTATTTTCTCAATTTTTTATTGTTACTATACTTTAAAAAATTATGTCATGGAAAGTCCAAATATTTTATATTCAGGGCTTTCATTATGTCCTTACCAGACTTACTCTAAGTCCTTATTAGTCATAATTTGGATTTTGGGGCTTATTTGCCATGGCTTCCATTTTTCTTTACCTTATATTCCTTACTCTGGAAATTCTTCTACATTCTCTATATGTTTTTCAAGTGATCTTTATTTTTATTACTCTGGGAGTTTTTTTCAGTTTTATTTCTTCTATTTCTTCCTTCCAACAATAATTTATTTGTTCTATGACTAAATGTATCCTAATCTAATGTCTTTCATATTTATAATATTGCCATTTTTTTTCACTGAGAATGATTACCAGCTGTTCTCTCATTTCTTCTCTGTTTCATGCAAGAAATTCATTTCAGAGTTTCCAGGAATTACTTAAGTCTCTATCTGCTTTCTTCTTGTCTTTCAAATTGTAGAATTTTTTAATTTGAGAATTTTTAAAAATAAATTTGCTCAAAAATGTTTATGATCACCTAACCTTTAAGAAGAAGCAATCAGAGAGTTTATTTTAAGATCTAGTTTTTTACAAGGGCTAACTTAATATCTGAGTCTTCTTAGAAAACTTGGAATTGGAAGAAAAGAGAGTGGTCTTCACTATGCAATTAGAAAGCTGCAACAGATTTGTAGGCTTTGCAAACAATCAGAACCCACTTTCCAAATCAGGGTGGAAGAGGCGTTAACTTAGCTGGCCATTTACTAAATTCATTTTGTGTTAAAGGTCATAAAATGAACCAGAATCCATTTCTTTCAACATTCACTACTAAGCCCTAGACCCAGTTAGCATTCTCTCTCACCTCTTATTTATTTCATATTTACTCCATATTTATTCTTACCTAGTTCCAATCTATTCGTCATCTGATTCTGTTACCCTCCTCTGCTCCCAACACACACACACTTAAAACTCTTTCATAGCCCCTTTGTCTTTAGGATAGAGCCAGGCAACCTCGACAAGACCCTCAAAGTCCATCTTGACTGCTAATGTTCCTCCAGCTCCACCTTGTGCCTCTCTCCCCATGTTTTTCTCATTCCTGTTGTAATGGAGTTCTGTCCATTTCAACCCACCAGCTTTCCTGGCAATTCAGGGTACCCCACCTGATTTCCCCTATGCTTGAAATACCCTTCCCCCTCCACACTCTGCCCTGTTTGTTCTGACTTCTACCCGCCTTCCAGTTCTTGGCTGGAAGGTCAGTTCCTGGGGGAAGCTGTCTGCTCCCCAGGTGACATGCATTCCTCTCACTATGTGGCCCCCAGTGCCTGCCTGATAGGGTAATTCCTGCTTAGTGGGCACCTTTCCCCAAGACGTGTCTATAAACTCCACAAAGGCTAGCACTGTGCTTGTCTTCCTCCCCACTGTCTTTTTTCTCATATGAACCACAAATCAAGATTAACAAAAGACTTGTGAAGTGATAAGCTTGGTCCTTGTCATTTCTGGTTAGCGGGGCCACAGTGTATGAGTGTGTTACAGCAGAATGTATTTGACTTCCTAAATATTTCAATAGGGTCTAAGAAAGGAGGCCCATGGTACTCGCCCCAGCCCTGAGAAAAGAAGATTCTTCAACTATGGCTCCAGGACAAGTTCAGAGGTCACCTGGGGGTTGACCTTCGAAAGTTGCCAGTGTGACGGGATCAATCAATAAGGCCGTGCTCAACTGAACTTTTTGTGGAGAAAGTCCTAATAAACTGTGTTAAGTTCTCTTTGTACCAATAAGGCCATCCTCTGCAATAGGAGTGTCTCAGTCATTAGTTTCATTACTTTCTAATTCTAAAATGTACCTCCAGAAGAAATAGTTAAGGCAGGAGTATATTAATTATATGGGAAAATTAACTTTTATGTGTAATTCTTGAAGTAGAAATTTTATAATATTTTAATGTAATTTTCACTACAGAGTTAAATCTTGAAAAACTGAACAAAAATATAAAAAGGAAAGAAAGATTATGTTAGAATCATCCATATAATGTTGGAAATATTTAAAAATATCTGTCAATAATATTATCCTATTACACATGAACAAATAATATGTCATGTTTTTATCCCTAGTTTAAAGTGAAGAGATGGCCTCTTCTTATCATATTCTTGTCCATTTCTTCCCCAGTTTTCTTGCATTTATACAACAAGTATTTAGTGAGCTATGTCAAACATTGTGATGCATCACACATTGTCCTAGACTGACAAAAACAAACATTCCCTGCCCTCATGAGACATACAGTCTAGTATGGAAAGCAGCCAATAATTGGACACTTATATAATATAATTTCAAGGAAAAAATGTATATATTATTAATATTACAGTATTATTGCAAATCAAACTTTCAATGCAATTGAGGAAAAATAAGGGTCCTGCCATCCATTGAGTATCCCAGTGCCAAGCCAGATCCTTCATGTCCATCAGCTTACTGGATTTTCTCAACAACCTATAAGGTGGTCTTTATGACTGCTAGCATTTAACAGATGAAGAAGCCATGGATCATGAGGGTTAAATGAAAGTCAAGTATCCTGACCTGGACTACAGAGCTGAGAAATAGTTTTGAACACTGGTCCAACAAAAATGTCCTTCTTGATTGCACTAAACCACAGTGCCAGCGAGCCACATACTTAGATCTGAAACTTTAAAGGTTTGTTAATTTTACTTGAAGGCCATTTCCCAATCCCAGGGAAATCAAGTGTGTGTGCGTGTGTATGTGTGCGTGTGTGCATGTGTGTGTGTGTGCGTGTGTGTGTGTGCATATGTGTGTGTGTGTGAGAGAGAGAGAGAGAAAGAGAGAGGACATACACGAGTGAAAGAATAAGCTGGGAGAAGTAGGGGATGTGGACAATGAGGCTGTAGGTGTCCAAGAGAGAATCCCACTGTGTCAGCAGAGTTCGGCATCCCCAAGCCCAGGTGATGATCCAGCTACCCAGCAAACCACTCTGTTTTTCACAAACCCACACAGACCCTAAGAGGTGCGGTCTGGGAGGAGACAAGGCCCCAGTCATACCTCTTCGCTGCTGTAAGACTCAGACGTGGAGGAGGACCAGCTGCAGCGAGCATGCACGCCCTGCACCTGCTGGGCAGATACCTTCACGGTGCTTCTGCAAACAGCTGTGGACTGGAAAAGACAAAGGGGTGAGTTCTCTCTTCAGCTGTTTGTGGAAAGGGATAGCCTCCATTGAGTAAATCAGGAAAATAAATGTCAGGTTTGACGAAATGACAAAGAAAAACTTCACAGAGGCATTTTATTTTTTCAAAATGAAAATTCCTCAAGACCGAAGCAGAAACAAATGGAATATTTAAACATCTCTTTGCTGTTTGACCCATTACAAGTCTCTAGGAAACGCAAACATTTCCCCCATGAGTGCTAACTGGGCTGCCCTGAGTCAATTTTCATTCGGACAAAAAGAAATGACGAAGAACCCCACAGGACTTCACTCTCTTCTTCTTTGCCCTCAGATTTCATTAGAAATAGAAGCTTGTGACACTTTGGTATGAGTCCTTTGTAAAACAGAGTCACAGTGAGTAGTTTCATGAAACAAATAACAAATCAAACATCCTCTTTTAAGTAACAAAACCCACGAGCTTGAACCTCAGAATGCAAACACTTTGGAAAACAAATTTTGGACTGCTGGTGTTGCCCTTTTCAGATGGGATTATTGCCCATGGGTGTTGACTAAGTGTCTGTGGAGACTAAAGCTATTCCACCTTGGATGCCAATCTGCCATGATGACTTCTGATTAACCCGTTTCTGGGAATCCCTCTAAGATTTCCACTTTCATGTGCATACCATAAATCCTGGCCTTGGGTCAAATTCCCTACAGTATGTAAGCCCTGGATCTGGGAGGTAATGGCACAGGGATCCACTGTCTCACCTCCACCCAAGACATGCATTCTGTTTGTAAGTCCCTATGAAGTGTTTTTTGTTTGTTTGTTTGTTTGTTTGTTTTTCCGAGAAACTGGATTTGGGAGCCTCTTTCTTCAGCCTCTCAGCTCCCTTGGCCTTTGGGGTTAGGTTTTCATGGTCCTGCTTACCACGGAACAGTGCTGTACATGTTCTGGTCATGAGAGACACGAAAGCGAACATGCCATGTTCCTGATCTCACTGAGCCTGAACTAGTGGGGAAGACAGATGTCATTCAACGGTCAATGGCAAAAGAACGTGACATGTGCCAGGAAGAGTCAGTGTTTCATAATCCTTTGTAAGAGAATTTTAAGTGTGTCTGGGATTTGTCTCTGGTGTTGTATTCACTTTACCTGATACAAATTCATCCTCATGTTAAAAAGCAGGAAACTGAGGCACCAGGGATAAAGTAATTTGTCAGGATCACTCAGGATCTCAGACTCCACAGCTCAATGTTCAGCCACGGAGTAACACTTCCCCCACCAGGGGACACAATGTCCACATGTTAGCAGTGTGGCCAGATGCTAGCCAGGCAGCGACCAAGTTCTTTGTGTGACTCCAGGTCATGGAAGAAGTGAGGCTCTTCCTTTTGTTCATTTCTGGGATGGGTCTCCTCCCACTTACCACATAGTAGTCCCTCTGGAAGGCACATGTAGCGGGATCTTCTCCAGAATCCTTCCTGCATGTAGTCTCCCGGATGCTGAACTCTAAATTCATGACCAAGTTGTTCTCATCTAGGACCTCAACCTTCACAAAAATAAAGTTTCAGAGTGTGATCAATGCATTTCTGAAGTTTATGATGCTATAAATCATTGTCTCTACCCCATAAGAAAAAAATTACAGAATTGTCCACCATGAAAGCAATAAATTATCTTAGCAATCACCTAGTTCCGTGCCTTTCTTCTGCAGACCAGAGAGGAAAAGTGACTTAACAAAGTCGTACAATAGTTTAGTGACGAAAATGGAACCAGAATGTAGGTGTTCTAACTCCAAGGCCAGTATTGCTTCTAACACTTTACAGTGACAATTGATCCTCACTGTTTGTGGATTCCATATTGGCAAACTCACCTACTCACTAAAATTTATTTGTAACCCCAAAATCAATACTAGTAACACTTACTTTGGCAATCATCTAGGGACAAATGCAGAACGACAAAAATCTTGAGTCACCCAACATGCATGTTACCAACAGGAGCCGAACAAGGAGACATTCTTCCTTCTTGTTTCAACTCTCATATTGAAAACAAGTGTGCTTTTTATGGTCTATTTCGTGGCTTTTTTTGCATTTTTGTGCTTTTTGTTAGTAGCTTTATGTTTATGATGGCCCCCAAGCCTGGTGTGGAAGAACCCACTAGTGTTCCAAAGCACAAGGCTGTGATGCAGCTGACATGGAAAATATGTGAGTAAGGTAAGCTTTGTTCAGGCAGGAGTCACAGTGCTGTTGGTCGTGAGTTCAATGTTAATGAATCAACAATATATATTAATTTAAGCATCTTTAAGCAGGAACTCACAAAAACAAGGTTAGTATTGATGGGTTGATGAAAATGTTGTGACCCAAGGCTCACAGGAACCAAACCTTCTATTTCCCCTAGGAGCAATGATTCTGTGTTTGCTAATTCAGTGTTCGTGGTGATTTTATACAACATAACTACTACAAGTAAGAAGAATCAACTGTCCATATTTCTAAGTGTCATTTTCCTAAAAGACTGCTCCATAATTTTTTAATAATTCCAGAAATAAGTAATTGAGCAACGAGTGCTCTCTGCAGTACAGACTATTCTCCAGCCCTAGCTTCCTGCTTGAGCAGTTCTGATATGTGAATGAGTTTAAATGATTTTCTTCTCCTTTCCACAAAGGAAAATAATCTAAACTCCATGACAAATCTGGGGAGTTCTGATGTCACAAATTCCTGTGACTTCTTGAGTACTCACTGTGTGTTCAGCACCAGAGGCAGAGCAGGGAAGATGCCCAGTGGCTTAAATTCCAGAGGAGGTGCCACACAGTGGACACATCAAAGAAAACTATCCAAGATCATCCCAGATAGTTATGGGGCTATCAAGAAAAACAACAACATGGCAATGGGGGTGAGGGAAGGAAGCAGCTGTTTTAGAGAAAATGCCAGAAAAATCCTCCCAAGGAAGGCAAATTTAAACTGAGCCTTGAAGGATGGGAAGAAGCTCATCCTGTGAATAGAAAGCAGAGCCAATGCCCTGGGGCAGGGACAACTCCGACTCTTGTGGCTGGAGCAAACCTGACCAGGGCAGGAACCATACACTGTGACTTTGGAGAGATGGAGCGTGTCAGGTATGGTCTTGGAGCCCACGGAAAGGTGTTTACATTTAATTCTCACTGCAGCGAGATGCTATCACAGAGTTTTAAGAGCAGCACGTGAATCACCGTGGCTGCTGCAAGGTAAACAGATTGGGGCAGGAACAAGGGGGCAGCAGGAAGCCAGTGGGGAGCCTGCCACGGTCCAGTACCTGACAACACCCCCAGGATCCAAGTCACTTCTTGCCTCTTAGTTTCTGAACCCACCTTGCAGCAAATTGAAGTCAGCAACACATTGAACGTACTGCCCAGGGAGGAGAGAGATGGAGGCAGCGCTCTTTCTGTGAGAGCGAGAACTACTTACAAGTAGGGAATAATAGGCACATGCAGAACATTTTGTTTTGGAAAAAAAGTGGCAAAACTCCAAGCTGAGGACGGGGATCTTTATGTCTCCTAACATAGGACACATAATGAGTGCTGATAAAAGTAGAATTTTCTGAAAACAAGTAGAAATAAAAACTCAACCTCACCATTAATTACTACCTCATATACTTATAATTTTAATATATTGAACGTTAAATCTGTGTCTCATTAAAAAATTAAAAAATAAAAATCTCTCCCATCAACTGAAGTCCATTGTTTGGGGCCCTCCACTGCAGGGTGAGCTTCAGCAATTCACCTAAAAGCAATTTGATGGAAGCAACTGGCAACACAAAAGCTTAGCTGAAAAGATGAAAATGTGAGTTTTTTGGGGGTACAGATCATTTTATTGAGCTATGAGATAACTTTGCAACCTCTTTTGCATCTTGAAGGGGACTTTCAAGAATAGGGAGAAACATCTAACATTTTTGCTGTTTCATTTGAACTCACTTTCTGCCAGTAAATTTCTATTCTGTGTAATTCAAGAAATGTGGGACAGCCTAAATGCTGAACAATAAGAAGTCAACTCATTGTGGTTTTGATTTGCATTTCTCTGATGGCCAGTGATGATGAGCATTTTTTCATGTGTCTTTTGGCTTCATAAATGTCTTCTTTTGAGAAGTGTCTGTTCATATCCTTCGCCCACTTGTTGATGGGGTTGTTTGTTTTTTTTCTTGTAAATTTGTTTGAGTTCATTGTAGATTCTGGATATTAGCCCTTTGTCAGATGAGTAGATTGCAAAAATTTTCTCCCATTCTGTAGGTTGCCTGTTCACTCTGATGGTAGTTTATTTTGCCGTGCAGAAGCTCTTTAGTTTAATTAGATCCCATTTGTCAACTGGGAAGCGGGGAGGGATAGCATTAGGAGATATACTTAATGTTAAATGATGAGTTAATGGGTGCAGCACACCAACATAGCACATGTATATATATGTAACAAACCTGCACGTTGTGCACATGTACCCTAAAACTTAAAGTATAATAAAAAAACTTACCAAGATACTCATAAAATAAAATAATTCATTTCCAAAAAAAAAAAAGAAGTCAACTGGAGAAAATTAAAAACCCAGCATTATTGCTGAAACAAATTATGAGAATTTACAATCAGTATTACAGTATTGTCCTATTTTTCTTTAAAAATACATTGTATACCTTCATATGAATAAAAACACTCCAAAAGGATATCCTCTCATGGGTTTATAGTGAGTGTTTCTCAGATAAATGGATAATGAATGTTATTTTTCATTTTCCCTTTCTTGTATTTTTTGACTTTTTGTAATGATTACATTTTGGTTTTTATTTTTAAAAGAAATACAAATATATAAAAATAAAAGACCCATAGCAATTCCATTTGACAATTGTAATGGTTAATTTTATAGTGTCAACTTGACTGAACCATGGTGCCCAGATATTTGGTCAACATTTTTCTGAATGTTTCTGTGAAGCTATTCTTTGAATGGGATTAATATTTAAATCAGTGGACTTTAAGTAAAGCAGATGACCCTCCATTATGTGGGTGGGCTTCATCGAATCAGTTAAAGGCCTTAATAGAATAAAGACAGAAATCTTCCCATCAGAAAGGAATTCTGCCAGCAGACTGCCTTTGGATTTAAACTGTAAGTTATCCCTGAATCTCCAGCCTGCTGGCCTACCTCATCAGATTTTCTTTTTTCCTTTTGGACTTGCCAGCCTTTGAAATTGCATGAGGCAATTCCTTATAATAAATCTCTGTCTCTCTCAATGTCTCTCTCTCATATATTCATATGCATCCATTTATATATGTATGCATGTCATATTGGTTCTGTTTCTCTGGAGAACCCTCACTAATAGGGCATCAATGGTCACTTAGGTTTTTCAAATGAATCCCTTATTAATGGACAAAAAGTAAAGATCAGAAATGGCTAGCTGAGAATAATTTAGAAAGCCAAAAACCAAAAAATGCAAAGAGGTTGAAAGGTAAAATGGACACACAAAAAAGGCATGGAGACCTCAAGGATCCCAAAACTCCATGGCTTTGCCTCCAAATGTACCTCAAATCTATCTGCTCCCCGCATCCTCCCTGCCCTGACTTGAGACCCCACACCAGCATCTCACCATGATCAGTTTCTCCCCTCACACCCCACTCCACACAGCAGCTGGAAAGATTGCAATGGACTGTTTGTCCCCCTGCCCCAATCCGTATAGTGAAACTCTAATCCCTGATGTGATATTTGGAGGTTGGGCCTTTGGGAGGTTATTAGGTCTTCAAGGTAGAGCACTTATAAGTGGGATTAGCATCCTTATAAGAAGAGGCTGGAGAGTCAGCTAGCTCTCTTTCTGCCATGTGAGGATACAGCAGGAAATCAGCAGTCTGCAGCCCAGAAGAGGGCCCTCACCAGAACCAGACCATGCTGGCACCCTCATCCCAGATCTCAGCCTCCTGAATTCTGAGAAATAAATTGGTGTTTTTTATGCACCACCTAGACCATGGTTTGTTATGTGTTCGTGGTACTTTGTTACGGTGGCCCAAGCTAAGCAGAGATGTTTTGCAAATGCACATGTCCCTAGGGGATACCCATTGCCCTTAAAACAGACCTCAAACTCCTCAAAATCATGACCTAGGCATGTCCCACTCATGCCCACCTCTCTGACCGCTCTCCACTCCCACCTTTCTCTCCCAGGCTCACTTGGCTCTAGCCAGCCTCCCTCTCAAGGTCTTTCGTCCTTCAGGACCCTCCCACTGACTCTGCCAGCTCACCCAATATTCCTCAGAACGTCTTTCCACAGTGGGAACTTCTTGTCACTGGAGTGAGTCTTAGCTCAAAGATGCAGCATCAGAGGACACTGTTGCCCCATCTGACTGCTGCCCCAGGCAAGGCCTATCATGTCAACCTGCTTACCCTCCTCTACGGTACTCTCCACTATTGGAAATGAATTTGGTTTATTTAACTGTGTCCTCTTCCTCTTCCCCTTTCTTCCCCTTCCCCTCCCTCCCCATCTCCTTTCCCTCTCTTTCCCTGGTAGAAACTGCTCCCTATGAAACCACAGCCCTACTTGTCCTCTTTGCTTCCCCCTCCCCAGCATAGGGCCCAGCATAGGGCCAATGCCCACCTTTCCTTTCTCTGCTTGTGTCCACTGAGGGAATAGTCCAAGTGAGCCTAATGTCAAGGTTGGAGCAAGAAAACCATCAGTGCTAAAGTCGTGTGGATTTTTCCTTTCTCCTCCTTTCTCAAATTTGGAGCCCAGGAGGTGAGTAACTTGAAATCAATTAAAAGAATATTTGATCTAGGTCTGTTGGTAATACCCAGTGGTTCTTCACCGAGACCGCACATTAGAATGAGCAGGAGAACATTTAAGAATATGAGTCCCGCCCTCAGAGACTGGGATTTAAGGAGTCGATCATCCCTCCTGGACATCAGAAATATTTAAAGCTCCCGTGCAATGATGATGTGTAGTCTGAGTAGAGAATCACTGCACTTGGTAAGCAAACCTGAGGGCAAAACAGAAGGGCCCGACCCTTCTCCCTACAACCATTGAACTGTACCCCCAAATACTCATGACTAAACCACTTATTTGCTTTGAACATATTCTTAGAAGTGAAACTATGCAATTGAAAGTTTTAAATATTTACTAATTTAACGTTTAACATGCTAGTAAATATGTTTAACACATATTTCCAACTTGCTTTTCAAATACAATTTTACAAAATTCCAAACTCTCGAGCGGCAGTTGTGATGTTTTTTTCACCGTTATTCTTTTACCTTGTTATTCTTCTTTTTCACATTGCTATTTTAATTCTGCACTTTTCTTCTATTAGGGAGGTTGAATAGCTTTCCAAATCTTTCTTAGTCTTTTGTATTTCCTCTTTCGTGAATTGTTTGTAACCCCAGTGCTAGTGATCTATTCACTCAACTCTCTCCTGAGGGCTTTGCCTTTTAGTGTATCCCTCATGTCTGCTAGGGTAGAGAGAATTGGTATATTTGGAGCCATCTATAGGGTGTTTATAGAAGACATGGTTAATACACACAACATAAATCAAAATATGAAACACTCCCAATAGAAAAAAATATCACCAGGAGAGATCAAAGGAAGAGAATCTCCCTTCCAGTGGGAGAAGAAATAGAGTTCTCAACAAGAGGGCACGGTGACTGTAGCTTGACCAATGAATTTGAATAATCAGAAAAGGCAGGGAGAGGCAAGAATAGGCAGACCTCCAGGTAAAGGAGCAGTGTACTTGAGGTGGAGAGGCAACATTTTTCATGTGCTCATCAAGAGTCACACACATCGCATATAATTGTATCTATTTTTAGGTGCATGTGCGTCTGGGCTCAAGTCTGGGTGACTATACCAAGATGGCACATGAGCCAGAACACGCTCTGGTGGCTGTGCCTCACAATAGCTCATCTCCACAGGGCAGATTTCCACGGTGTCAGTAATTGGTTCTCTTGGGATCTATCCTCATGCTCTTATTCATCTAATAAACTGCTAACTTTCTTCTGTGGTGAGCAATAGCTAAATCAAAAGTAAATTTAAACTGTTCATCTGCAAGGTTGGCAAAAAGACCCCGATTCCACACCACCACAAGTGGATTTCATTAAATGCCAATGGAAACTGGCATTTGAAATACAATACAAGCAAGGAAAGGGGGTTCTGTATTCTGATCCAGGAGCAGCTCAACCTTTGGTGTGGCAGCTGACCAGTGCCTCCACACCACAACATCCAGAGCAAGTGACTCCACTCTGGCCATGATTCTGGAATGGCACCTAAAAAAAAGCATAGCCCATAGTCTTCATGAACTATAATCAAACTAGAAAATAAAACTGGGTCCTTTTGATTCATTTCCCTTGAAATTTGGAAAAGAGAAACTAGGAGCCAGGTTCTGAGGAAGATCAAGCTGAATATGTTGTATTTGGAGACTAGAACTAGGAAATCATGAGCCATGTGCTCTACAGAGTAGCAGAGGGAACAAGCTAAGAGTCAGTCCAGGAGGGATGGGAGAAGGCAGCAGGCAGACAGAGAGAAAGCAATGTCCATCTGGCCTCTGCTGCCTGGACCTTCAGCCGTGTCTTCATTCTCATTCCCATGCTGCCTGGCTATACAGAGCCTTCATTCCTAAGATGTGCAACTTTATAGAACCTCTCTACCTCCCACCTTAACCTAAATTTGCTTGAAAATATGTTCATCCCTACCTCCAAATGAGCCCCATGCAGATGATAATAAGGCAGTGAAATTACCTGGGGAACAGGAAGAAGGGAGATGACTTGCTGCTTATGTTTCTCATTTCCTTTGAAGGATATTTTTACATTTCTTTCCTTGCATATCACAGACTTAGTCATTGGAAGCCCAAGTGATTACTCTTTCTTTAGCTCCCAAAGCTAAGAGGAAACAGACTATTACCAAATTGACAAGGAAAGGTGAATTTCTTTGACTCAAAAGCCAGATTATTTCCAGTAAGTATTAGGAGCAGAACTGCTGAATTTGAAAGGAGGCTCATTTCCAATAAATGAGAAGTTCGTAATAAAACACCTCAGAAAGAATCGCGAGGACTTCAAGTACAAAAGCAGGCTGCAGGGAACCAGAAGACAAGGTTAGAGAGGAGAATACAGCAGAAGAATCAGTCATCAAAAGTGGTTTGGATAGCCTCATGACAAAAAATTGTAATTAAATCTTTCTCTGTCAAAGAAAAGAGACAGTATGAAAGAGATGACTAGCTACTATCATTTTTAAACTGGAGAAAATTTCTTAAAAGTATATCCAATGAACTGACAAAAGGCAGACAGCATTGGAAGGAGGAGTAGAGAAGATTTCATTTTGCACTTACTCTTTTTAATGAGCTTCTGAATGCCCGAAACAGATACGGACTCAGTGACTGGGAATTCACTTTTACCACAGAGGCACTGAGGGCATCCCTTAAGGAGGATGGATCGTAGTCGTACACTGGGAAACCTGGACACGCAAGCACATGGGGCACAGTGAGACAAGACACAGGCGCCAGCATGGCTCTGCATGATCCAGAGCAGGTGGCCAGGTTGGTGAATACCTTACCTGAGCAAGACCAGTAGTTCATTCCAAGAGCAAACATAATCAATATCTTCATCATCATCGTCATCTTCTCCATTCTGGAAATCATGATTGTAATCGAGAGACAGAGAGTGTCTCTCTATGTGTTTGGGGATGACAGTTCTTCCTAAGAGGAGCTGTCTTTATCAAACACTGGCTGCTTATTTTGACTGCAGCAATCTGTAACTTAAACAGAAACAATTGATCCTGGGGTCAATATTTTCTGCTGACTTTTCCTATGGAAAGGTTCCAGTTTGAGGACACTTTTGAAGTTTACAACTCACAAGAGAACTTTAGCCCAAGGCAAAAGGCATCAAGAGGCTCAGGATTCCACGTGTGCTGTTTATTTTTCTCTATTTTAATTTCATTCTTTGGAGGGGATATAATCTTACATTCAACAAAATGGTTAATCTTAAATTGTTGTGTATTGAGATCCCCTCATGGTTCTAAAGATCTTGCAGTTGACTACTTATGAAAATAGTGTGGGTATAAGATCTTCTTGGAAATTATGACTTTGGAGAAGATAATTTTATATAGGGGTCCTAAATATTCGAAGCAAGTACAAGTGCAGTAAAAAGCTGGGACACACCATCCTATTAACCAATCTTCTGTGCTACTGGACACTTTTGCACATCACCTGGATAATAAGGTATTTACATATTGATGATTCCCATGCACTGTAAGATCCCAAGGTAGTTTTTGAATGATTAAAAAGGAGAACTACTTAATTGGAAGTACAGTTTGTGTTGTATGTAGGTCATTGTGTTCTTATTTGTGGATTTCACGCATAAGAAGCTGTGTTTTGTCTCAGAAAGACCTGGACTGAGATCTTGGCTCTACCATGTACCAGGAGTATCCCCTTGGGCATGGCACTCAACACCTCTGAACCTCAATTTTCTCATCTATAAAATAGGCATAAATGGTTAGAGGTCAGGTGTGTTCTTAGTCAGGGTTCTCCAGAAAGGAGAACCAAAATATAGAGGGAAAGAAAAAGAGAGATTTTTTAAATATATACTTTAAGTTCTGGGGCACATGTGCAGAACCTTCAGGTTTGTTACATAGGTATACATGTGCCATGGTTGTTTGCTGCACCCATCAACCCATCATCTACATTAGGTATTTCTCCTAATACTATCCCTCCCCCAGCCCCCCACCCCCCAACAGGCCCCGGTGTGTGATGTTCCTCTCCCTGTGTCCATTTGTTCTCATTGTTCAACTCCCACTTATGAGTGAGAACATGTGGTGTTTGGTTTTCTGTTCTTGTGTTAGTTTGCTGAGATTGATGGTTTCCAGCTTCATCCACGTCCCTACAAAGGACATGAACTCATCCCTTTTTATGGCTGCTTAGTATTCCATGGTGTATATGTGCCACATTTTCTTTATCCAGTCTATCATTGACAGGTATTTGGGTTGGTTCCAAGTCTTTGCTATTGTGAACAGTGCCACAATAAACATACCTGTGCATGTGTCTTTATAGTAGAATGATTTATAATCCTTTGTGTACATACCCAGTAATGGGATTGCTGGGTCAAATGGTATTTCTAGTTCTAGATCCTTGAGGAATTGCCACACTGTCTTCCACAATGGTTGAACTAATTCACACTCCCACCAACAGTGTAAAAGTGTTACTATTTCTCCACATCCTCTCCAGCATCTGTTGTTTCCTGACTTTTTAAGGATCGCCATTCTAACTGGCGTGAGATGATATCTCATTGTGGTTTTGATTTGCATTTCTCTAATCACCAATGATGATGAGCATTTTTTCATGTGAGTGTTGGCTGCATAAATGTTTTCTTTTGAGAAGTGTCGGTTCATATCCTTTGCTCACTTTTTAATGGGGTTGGTTGTTTTTTCCTTGTGGCTAGCCATATGCAGAAAGATGAAACTAGATCCCTTCCTTACACCTTATACAAAAATTAACTCAAGATGGATTACAGACTTAAACGTAAAACCTAAAACCATAAAAACCCTAGAAGAAAACCTAAGCAATACCATTCAGGACATAGGCATGGGCAAAGACTTCATGACTAAAATACCAAAAGCAATGGCAACAAAAGCCAAAATAGACAAATGGGCTCTAATTAAACTAAAGAACTTCTGCAGAGCAAAAGAAACTATCATCAGAGTGAACAAGCAACCTACAGAATGGGAGAAAATTTTTGCGATCTATCCATCTGACAAAGGGCCAATACCTAGAATCTACAAAGAGCTTAAACAAGTTTACAAGAAAGAGATTTTAAGGTGTTTGCTCACACAATTGTGGAAGCTGGCAAGTCCAAAGTGTGTGGTGTAGGCTGGGAGGCTTGAGCCCCAGTGAAGAGTTGCGTTTCAGCCAAAGGCAATTGACTGGCAGAATATCTTCCTGCTCGGGGGACATCAGTCTTTTTCTATTCAGGCCTTTGACTGATTGGATGAGGCCCACCCACATAATGGAGGGTAACCTACTTTGCACGAAGTCTATTAATTTAAATGTTAATCTCATTTTTAAACATACCTTCCCAGAAACGTCTAAAATAGTGTTTGACAAAATGTCTGAGTACCGTGGCCTAGCCAAGTTGACACATTATATTAGTCATCATATACAGATTAAATAACAAGCTCTCAGAAGAGTACTTGGCAATTAATTGCTCAACAATTGGTAACCACTAGTAAGAATTCAATTCAATAGATACTTTTAGTATCTGCTACGTGTAAGGCAACAGGTCCAGAGAATATCTGAAATGAACTAATAATCCAGCCTATCCTTCATAAACAATGCAAATGTGGGTGCCAACACAGGTAATACAAATCCCTGGAGGAATTCAGAGAGAAGCTGAAGAAAGACTTCTTGGAGATGATGGAAACATTAGCAGTTTGTGTTCTTCTCTCAAGCTCAGTGCCCAGGAGATCATGTGTCTCTTTGACCTTGGCCTTGATGGATGCAAACTCATTCAACAGGAGAGAAGGAGCCTCAGCCCAGGACAAAAGACCAGAAAAGGCAACACTGGGAATGAGACAGCAGTCATTTGCCAAGGGATGTGGTGGGGAGCAGGGATATTCTTTAAAGGCAGGCCAGGCACTGTTACCAACCAGGAAGATGAGGAGACCTAAACACAATAGATGTACCCTGTAGGAAGGCAGGGATGCCAAGTTTCAATTACTGCTACTGTTATATAAAGCAACTTTATGAATCAAAGTACTGCCTCAGTTTTGCCTGCCCTCTTCACCAAGGGACAAAAGTATGCTTCTGATGACTTTACATACTGACCAGGTCATGATGCTCTCATGAGTATTTACTGCCTTGACCAAAAGATGTTCTTGCTGCAAGTCTTACTCATCAGCACTTTGGCACAGGCATATTTAAAATCCCTGGATAATCTCAGGTTCTAAATGCTCATTCATCTCACTCATGCACAACACTGGGTCCAGCAGTTTCTGGCCACTCTCCAGCCTCATCTTGAGCCATCCTCCCTTCCCCACTAGGTGTCCTTGAGTTCCTTGGGGACACCAAATGACTTCCATCCCAAGGCCTTTCCATATGCTATTCACTGCATCAGACAATAATGACATTCTTCTTGCATGCCCCCAATCAGCTTCTCTCTACCACTCAAGTCTCAGCTAAAAGAGCACCTCCTCAGAGAGCTTCCCTTGATCAAGCCCTGACCTAAACCACTCTATCCTCTAACCCTCCATGCCAGTTCCCTGCTTCCCCCATTCCTAGCACTTACCACAAATGCATAATGATCTTGCTGGTTTGCTTGATGTTGTCTTTCTCCTCTAGTAGACTCTAAGCTCCATGAGGCAGAAACCATGACTGTCTTATTTATGGTATCCCGAAGCACCCAGATAGGAATATGATTAAATATTAGCTGAATGAATGAGTGAGTGAATGAGCACACTTGGTCTCTCTGAACTTTACTCCAAGCCTTTCTGTTTGAAACCGGCACTAATTTCTGGTATGTAACAGGTACACAGAGCGGTGCGCTATGAGGTGATGACCATTAAAATTTGTAATTCTATTACTTTTAACCTGCTTTGAGCTCAATTCCATTAGAGTCTTCCAGATTTAACTAATGGCACCATCTGGCACCAAACTCCATGGTCTCATTAAATGAGCAGTAGTAATAAAACTAATTGCAAAAGAGTAGAGGAGATTAAGGAGACAACAGTAAAATAATGTTGCCAGCACATTGGTGTGGGGAGAGATTCTTTCATTTCTCAGATTCTCTAGGCTACAATTAAACGTTGGCACCAGACATGCAGGGCAGGCACAGATTAGTGCTAAAAAATGATGATCTAAAAATGCCTCTGCAGACTTCTGTCATGTCTAGTAAACCTAGGAGATTAAACACAAGACATCTATTAAATTTCAGGCCATAATGATTTCTTTTATTAGTCTTTCTCCCATCTGCATAAATGTGTACAGCATTAATGCCCCCCAGTTTTGTGCTGCTCCAACACAAATTATTTAGATAAGGTATTAAAAATTATGTGGCACTAAGTGAAAAGAGTTGTGTATAATAGCTTTTTTTAACATAGCCTCTGGAAAGTTATATAAAATTTACCACAGAAAGCTTGACAACAGCAATTGGAAACCTATAGAATTAAGATGGGTGGGCATGCACATTATAGACTAATAAGATTCATTGCTATCATCTTTATTATTTCTTTTGAGATTGTTTCTTTTCATCTTGATCATCTCTGTTATTTGAGAAAAATCACTGCATTTAGAGCAAATGTAAACAAAATCTTTATCTAATGCATAAACCATAGTTTTTGGTGCTGCCTTCCAATTTCATGTAATAGCATGATTTCTAAATTCCTGAACTCCACTATCAAGATTTACCTTGACGGCCTATGGTTCACAACCCTTCCATGTTCAATGCTATTGTTATATTTATTCGGTAGGAACCACAGGTTTATCTGCTAAGCAAAGTAGTACAGATCAGCAGTTCTCACAGTGCAGTCCCAGACCAGCAGCTTCAGCACCTCCTAGGAACTTGCAAATTCCCAAGCCCTATCCCAGACCTGCTAAATCAGGAACTCTAGGAAGAAGATCCAGCCATCTATACGTGTACCAGTTTCCGCATTATTGTGACTTACAGTCAAGTCTGAGATTCACTGGTACAGAGCAATGGTTCTCAAAAGGGATGATTTTTGCCCATTTGGGGGCACTTGGCAATGTTTGAAGTCACTACCAATTGCCACAACTGCAGGAGAGGGTTCTACTGACATCTAGTAGGTAGTAGCTAGAGATACTACTGAACATGATTAATATAATGCACAGGACAGATGCCCACAAGAAAGAATTATCTGGTTCAAAATATGAATAGTGCCAAAGTTGAAAAACCCTGGTATAGGAAAGGACAAAGAAGAGTGAGCCCCACCCCTTTAAGGACACTTCCCAAAGGTCACACACAACATTAATATTTGCATCTCATTGGCCAGAAATACGTTACAGAGCTAAACTACTGTGAGGAACAGTAGGAAATGTAATCTGCTAACTGAGAGGATAGATGGTGGAGTAGTAAGCAAGACTTTGCAAACTTGAGTTGTAGAAACCAGGGAATTTATGCTGCATAGTATAGAGATGAAGGGTATCTCCAGGAAGACAGTTGTGCAGGAGGCTAGAGAGCAATCCTTGGTTGGAAAGTCCCAAAGAAAAGATGAAATTAATAGAGTCCTTGATAAACAATATTCAGAAGAGATTTATATTTCTGATGGAGAGTTTTAGAGTTTCATTTCTGATAAGTACAGAGAAGATAAAGCAAATTTTTTCAATGAGGTGTTGTTATTTTCAGGAAAAAATAAACATTTATTCAAGAAATGTTTATCAGTTGGGAATGTCTTAGTTATAGTGTGGTAACAAACATTTCCAAAGTTGCAGTAGCTGGTAACAATAAGGTTTCATTTTTTGCTTATACTACATATCCACCACAGGTTGAAAGGGGGGTTATCTTCATAATAGTCACAAATGGATGCAAGGCAATGAAGCAACCATTTATTATTATTATTATGGTAAATAACACATAGCAGGAGATCTGCTCTCTTAACAAACGTTAGGTATACAATGCAGTATTGACAACTATGAGTACAATGTCACAAAGCAGATCCCTTGAACCTTTACATCTTGCATGACTGAAACACTACACCCATTGAACAACTCCCTTTCCTCCTTCCCCAAACCCCTATTCTCTAGCAATCACTGTTATATTTTCTGTTTCTATGAGTTTGGTTACTTTAAAAACCTCATATAAATGGAATCATGCAGTATTTGTCCTTTTGTGACTGGCTTATTTAACTTAGTGTAATGTCCTAGCACAATGTTCATCCATGTCATAGCATATGATAGGCTTATTTTTCTAGCTAAATAATATTCCATTCTATGTACATACCACATTTTCCTTATCCATTCATCCATCAATGAACATTTAGGCTATTTCCACCTCTTGGCCTTTGTGAACAATGCTACAATAAACATAAGAGTGCAAATATCTCTTCAAAAACATGACTTCAGTTCTTTTGGATAAATTCCCAGAAGTGGGATTGTGAATCATACGGTAGTTATTTTTAAGTTTTTGAAGAATCACCTTACTGTTTTCTACAGCAGCTGCACCATTTTACATTCACATAAACAGTGTTCAAGACTTCCAACTGCTACACATGTTCACCAACACTTGTTATTTTCTGGCTTTTGGATAATGACCATTCTAACAAGTGTGAGGTGACATATCATTGTGATTTTGATTTGCATTTCTCTGATGACTAGTGATGTTGAGCATCTTTTCATATACTGGTTAGCCATTTATATGTCTTCTTTGGGGAAATGTCTATTCAAATCTTTTGCCAATTTTTTCATTGGGTTATTTGTGGCTTTTGGCCATTATGTTATAGAAGTTCCTTATATATTTCAGACATTAATCCCTTATCAGATGCACAATTTGCAAATATTTTCTGCCATTTTGTAGGTTTCCTTTTCACACTATTGGTTGTTTACTCCACTGTGCAGAAGTCTTTCAGTTTAATTAATCCTACTTGTCTATTCTTGTTTTAGTTGCCTGTGCTTTTGGTGTCATGTCCAAGAAATCACTGCCAAGACCAATGTCATGAAGATTTTCCCATATGTTTTCTTCTAGGAGTTTTACAGTTTTAAGTCTTATGTTTAACTTTTTAATCCATTTTGAGTTGATTTTTGTGTATGGCGCAAGATTAGGATCCAATCTCTTTTACACATGGATATCCAGTTTTTCCAATACCATTCATTGAAGACACTAATGTTTCCCCACTGTTTACTCTGGGCTCCCTTGGCAAAGAGCAATTGATCACTTTTTGTATAGATTAATTTCTGGGCTCTCTATTCTGTTCTATTTGTCTATATGTCTATCGTTAGGCAAGAACCACAGTGTTTTCATTACTATAGCTATATTTTGAAATCAAATAGTGTAACACCTCCAGTTTTGTTCTTTCTGAAGATTGATTTGTGGTCTTCTGTGGTTCCATATAAATTATAGAATTTCTTTCTTTTCTATTTCAATTAAAATGCCATTAGAATTTTGGTAGAAATTGCATTGAATCTTTAGATTTCTTTGGGTAGCATGAACATTTTAACAATAGTATTTCTTGCAATTCATAAAACATAAGTTGCCTTTTTATTTATCTGTGTCTTCTTTGACTTCTTTCCACAATGTTTTGTAGTTTTCAATATACAAGTCTTTTGCATCTTTGGTTAAATTTATTTCTAGGTATTTAATTCATCTTGATGCTATTATAAATAAATTGTTTTCTTAATTTCTTTTTTGGATTGTTTGTTGTTAGTGTATAGAAATGCAACTGATTTTTGTGTGTTGATTTTGTATCCTGCAACTTTGCTGAATTCATTTATTAGTTCTAACAGGATTTTGTGAAATCTTTCAGATTTTCTACATATAACATCATATCATCTGTGAACAGAGATAATTTTACTGCTTCTTTTTCAATTTGGATGCCTGTTATTTCTTTTTCTTGCCTATTACTCTGACTAGAACTTCCAGTACAATGCTGAATAGAAGTGGGAATGTGGACATCCTTGCTTTCTTCTTGATCTTAGAGGAAAAGTTTTCAGTTTTTCACCATTGATGTATGAGGTACAACTAACAGTATGATGTTAGCTATGGGCTTTATATATACAGCCTTTATTATGTTGAGGTAATTTCCTTCTCTTCCTACTTTGCTGAGTGTTTTTATCATGAAAAGGTGTTAATTTTCTTAAATGCTTTTCCTGCGTATATTGAGATAATTGTGTGATTCTTATACTTTGTTCTGTTAATGTGCTATATCACATTGATGGATTTCTGTATGTTCAACCATTCTTGAATCCCAGAAATGAATCCACTTAGTCATGGTGTATGATTCTGCTAATGTGCTGTTGAATTTATTTGGCTACTGTTTTGTTAAGGATGTTTGCACCTATATTCATCAGGGACATTAGCCCATAATTTTATTTTCTTATAGTTTCTATTTCTGTGTAACTCTGGTCGTATATAATGAGTTTGAAAATGTTCCTTCTTTTCAATTTTTTTTGAAGAGTTTACAGATTGGCATCAATTCTTTAAATGTTTGGTAGAATTCAGCAGCGACGTCATCTGGTCCTGGGCTTTTCTCTGTTGGGAAGTTTTTGATTACTATTTAATCTCCTTACTTATACATCTGTTCAGATTTTCTATTTCTTCATTATAGGTATTTACAGGTTGTGTGTATACTTAAAATTTAAGAGAGAAGATCTCTCATTATGTGTTATTTACCAGAAAAACCTGGGTTTTCCAATGCATTGGCGTGTAATTGTTCATAGCCGTCTCTTAGAATTCTTCCTATTTCTTTGGCATTAGTTGTAATGCCTCCTCTTTTATTTCTTATTTTATTTATTTGAATCTTTTCAGTCTAGTTAAAAATTTGTCAATTTTATTGATCTTTTTCAAAAATAAACTGTTACTTTGGCTATTGTTTTTCTATCCATTTTATTTCTGTTAGAATCTATATAGTTTTATTCATTCTGCTAACTGTAGGCTTAGTTTATTGTTCTTTATTCTAGCTCCTTGAGGTGTACGTTTAGGCTGTTTATTTGGGATCTTTCTTTTTTTTAGTGCAAGCATTTATCACTTCCCTCTTAGTACTGTGTTTTTTGTATCAAGTAAGTTTTGGCATATTATTTGTTCTCACTTGTATCAGTATTTTCTAATTTCCCTTTTGCTTCCTCTTTGTCCCATTAGGTGTTTAGGAAGATGTCATTTAATTTCTACATATTTGCAAATACTGGTTTTCCATCTGCTATTGATTTCTAGTTTTATTCCACTGTGGTTGAACAAGATACTTGCTGTGATTTCAATCGTTTTAAATCTATTAAGACTTGTTTTGTGACCTAACATGAGTTCTGTCTTAAAGAATATTCTGTGTGTTTGAGAAAAACATGTATTCTTCTGCTCTTGGGTGGGATGTTCTGTATATGTCCATTAGGACCATTCATTCTATAGTGTTGTACAAGTCCTCTGCTTCCTTATTGATATTTTATCTGGATTTTCTATCCATTATTGAAAGTAGAGTATTGAAATATCTTACTATTATTATGTTGCTGGCTATTTCCCCCTTTCTATTCTGTCAATATTTGCTTTACATATTTTGGTGCTCTGATGTTGGGTGCATATATATTTATATTCATATTTATATTTATATTTATCTTCCTAGTGAATTGACTTTTTTATCATGATATAATGTCCTTCTTTGTCTCTTGTGACAGTTTTGACTTCATATCTATTTTCATTGATATAAGAATTGCCACCCATGCTCTCTTTTGGTTACCATTTTCATGGAATATGTTTCCATCCTTTAACTTTCAGCCTACATGTGTCCTTAATTCTAAAGGCAGCATTTTGTATACAGTGTACAGTTGGATCTTGTTTTTTCTAAGTATATTCCCCACTCGATAGCTTTTGATTGAGATGTTTAATCCATTTACATTTAAAGTAATTATTGATAAAGGAGTTACTATAGCCAATATTTAATTGATTTTTGTATTTTTTGTAGTGATTTCATCCCTCTTTTCTTGTTGTCTTTCTTTGTTTTATTGATTTTTTTGTAGTGACATGTTTTAAATTTCTAAATTTTTTGGTATATCTTCTGTAGGTATTTTCTTTGTAGTCACCACAAGGCTTTCATAAGACATCTTTTAACAATCTATTTTAAGCTCATAGCAACTTAATTTCAATTGCACACAAAAGCTCTACACTTTGATTTCTCCATGAAATACTTTATATTATTATTTATTAAAGAAGCATGCTTAGATTTATTTTAATTTTTATTGATATACAATATTTGTACATTTTTGCGAGGGTACATGTGGTATTTTGATACGTGCATAGAATGTCTAATGCTCAAGTCAGGGTGTTCAGGGGATCCACCTGAATGGACTTATCATTTATAAGTGTTAGAGACTTTTTAAGCCCTCTCTTCTAGCTATTTTGAAATACACAATATATTGTTGTTAACTGTAGTCACCTTACTCTGCTATCTAATGACGGAACTTATTTCTTCTATCTAACTGTATGTTTGTACCCATTAAACAACCTCATTTCATTTCACCCCTCACACACACAAACCCTTCCCATTCTCTGGTAACTGTCATTCTATTATCTACCTCCATGAGATCAATTCTTTTAGCTCCCACATATGAGTGAGAACATATAATGTTTGTCCTTCTATTCTTGGCTTATTTTACCTAACATAATGACCTCCAGTTCCACATATGTTGCTGCAGATGGAGAATTTCATTCTGTTTCAATGGCCAAGTAGTATTCCTTTGGTTATACGCACCACATTTTCTTTATTCATTCAAATCTCGGTGTACACTTAGGTTGATTTCATATCTTTGCTATTGTGAATAGTGCCATAATAAACACGGGGGTCCAGGTTTCCCTTGGATGTACTGATTTTCTTTCCTTTCAATAAATACCCAGTAGTGGGATTGCTGGATTTTATGGTAGTACTATTATTAGTTTTTTGATAAATTTTCATGCTGTTTTCCATAATGGCTATACTAATTTACATTCTCACCAACAATGGATAACAGTTCTCTTTTCTCCACATCCTTGCCAGCATTGGCTATTTTTTTTGTCTTTTATATAATAGCTATTCTAACTGAAATAAAAGGATAGCTCACTACAGCCTCAAACTCCTGGGCTCAAGTGATCCTTCTTTTTTTTTCTTTTCATTATACTTTAAGTTCTAGGGTACATGTGCACAACGTGCAAGTTTGTTACATATGTCTACATGTGCCATGTTGGTGTGCTGCGCCCATTAACTCGTCATTTACATTAGGTATATCTCCTAATGCTATCCCTCTCCCCTCCCCCCACCCCACAACAGGCCCCGGTGTGTGATGTTCCCCTTCCTATGTCCAAATGTTCTCATTGTTCAATTCCCACCTATGAGTGAGAACACGCGGTGTTTGGTTTTTTGTCCCTGCGATAGTTTACTGAGAATGATGGTTTCCAGCTTCATCCATGTCCCTACAAAGAACATGAACTCATCCTTTTTATGGCTGCATAGTACTCCATGGTGTATATGTGCCACATTTTCTTAATCCAGTCTATCATTGTTGGACATTTGGGTTGGTTCCAAGTCTTTGCTATTGTGAATAGTGCTGCAATAAACATGCGTGTGCATGTGTCTTTATAGCAGCATGATTTATAATCCTTTGTGTATATACCCAGTAATGGGATGGCTGGGTCAAATAGTATTTCTAGTTCTAGATCCTTGAGGAATCGCTACTCAAGTGATCCTTCTTAAGAGGCTGATTCAATTGTTTTACTTGTTATTAGTCTGTTCAGGTTTTATATTTATTTATGGTTCAATATTGGCAGAGATTATGTGTCCAGGAACTTACCCATTTCCCATAGGTTTTCCAGTTTGTTAATATATAGTTGTTCATAACAGTTTCTGATGATCTTTTGAATTTCTGTGGTATCAGTTGTTATGTCTCATTTTTTTATTTCTGATTAGGTTTATTTGGATCTTCTCTCTTTTTTTCTTGCTTAGTCTAGTTAGTGATTTATCAATTCTATCTTTTCAGATAACCAAATTTTCATTTTGTTTGTCCTTTGTGTTTTTATAGTCTCTATTTTATATAGTTCTGCTCTGATCTTTATAATTTGTTTCCTTCTACTACTTTTTGGTTTGGTTTGTTCTTGCTTTTGTAATTCCTTAAGTTGCATCATCAGATTGTTTATTTGAAATCTTTCTCTTTTTCGATGTAAGCACTTATTGCTATAAACTTCCCTTGTAGAACTCCTTTTGCTGTATCCCATGGGTTTTTGGCATGCTGTGTTTCTATCTTCATTTGTTTCAAGGATTTTTTTTTTTAATTTTCTCCTACATTTCTTCATTGATCCAGTGGTCTTTCAAGAGCACATTGTATAATTTCCATGTATTTGAACAGTTTCCAAAGTTCCTTTTGTTATTAATTTTCAGTTTTATTCCACTGTGGTCTGAGAAGATACTTGGTATGATTTCATTTTTAAAAAAATTTGTGGAGACATTTTGTGGTCTAACATATGATCTATCCTGGACAATGTTCCATGTGCTGACGAGAAGAATGTGTATCCTGCAGCTGTTGGATAAATGTTCTGTAGATGTCTGTTAGAAGAATTTGGTCTAAAGTGCAGTTTAAATTCAATGTTTCTTTGTTGATTTGCTGTCTACATGATCTGTATAATGCTAAGAGTGGGGTGTTGAAGTCCTTAACTATTTAACATTATTATACTGGAGTCTATCTTTTCCTCTAGATCTAATAATAATTACTTGTTATTATTACTATATACTTGTTATATATATATATGTTTTATATATATATATATTATTACTATATACTTGTTATAATTACTATATACCCAGATATATAATCTGGGTACTCAGGTGTTGGATGCTTATACATTTAGAATTGTTATATCTTCTTGCTGAATTGATTGATCCCTTTATCATTATATGACTTTCTGTGTCTCTTATTACTGTTTTGGACTTAAAGTCCATTTTATATGACTTAACTATAACTAATCCTTCTTGCTTTTCATTTCTGTTTTTGTGGAATATATTTTGCTATCTCTTTATTTTCAGTCCGTAAGTGTCTTTACTGATGAAACAAATTTCTTACAGGCAGCATACAGTTAGGCCATTTTTTAAAATTCATTCAGCCAGTCTATATCTTTTAAGTGGAAAATGCAACTCATTTATATTCAAGTTTATTATTGATATGTGAGGATTTATTCCTGTCATTGTGTTTATTGTTTTCTGGATGCTTTGTATATCTTTTGATCCTTTCTTTCTCTCTTATTGTTTATCATTGCAGTTTTGCAGCTTCTACAGTGGTAACATTTGAGTCTTTTCTCTTCCTCATATGTGTATTTGCTCTGCCAGTGAGTTTTATACTTTCATGTGTTTTCATGAAGGTCGATATTATCCTTTGTATTCCAGGTTTGGGACTCCCTTAAGCATTTCTTGTAGGACCAGTCTATTGGTGATGAGCTCCTTCAGTTTTTGCTTTATTGGGAAAGACTTTATTTCTCCCTCATTTGTGAAGGATTATTTTTTTAGGTATACTATTCTTGGATGGCGATTTTTTTCTTTTAGCACTTTGAATATATCATCCCATTCTGTCCCGGGCTGAAAGGTTTCTACTGAGAAATCCTCTTTTAGTCCAATGGGGATTCCCTTATATGTGGCCAGACTCCTTTGCTGTTTCTACAATTCTCTGTCTTTGACTTTTCACAGTTTGATATAACATGCTGTGGAGACTTTTTGGATTGTATCCATTTGAGGATCCCTGAGTTTCCTGGATCTGGATATCTAAACCTCTTGCTAGACTTGGGAAGTTTTTAGCTATTGTTTTGTTAAGAAAGTTTTCTATGCCTTTGGCCATCTCTTCACCTTCTAGAACACCCAAAATTCACATATTGGGTCTCTATGTGGTGTCCATATGTCACATCTGCTTTATTCATTCTTTTTTCTTTTCTTCTTCTTCCTCTTTTTTTTTCTTTTTGGCCTGACTGGGTTATCTTTAAAGACCTGTCTTCAAGTTCTGAGACTCTTCTACTTGCTCTAGTCTATTATTGATGCTCTTGAACAAATATTTTCTCTCATTTAATTCTTTAGTTCCAAAATTTCTGTTTTTTTGTTTTATTTTGTTTATGATATTGGTGAATTTCTTGTTTATATCCTGAATGGTTTTCCTGATCTCTTTGCATTGTTCATCTGTGTTCTCTTTTATCTCACTAAGCTTTTTAAATGTCATTATTTTGAATACTTTTCCTGGCATTTTATAAATTTCTTTTCATTGAAATATGTTGCTAAAGAATTATTGTGTTCCTTCAGAGGTTTCATATTTCCATGTTTGTTCCTGTTTCTTACATTTTTAAATTGATAGCTGTGCATCTGTTACAATGGTCACTTCTTCGAACTTTTAAAATTGGCTTTTATAGGGAAAGACCTTCTCCTGAAGATGAATCTATGGTGTTTGTTGGATAGGACATTTTAGCTTTTATTCTGGGTGTGTGCAGAAGTATAGTCTTATATGATTTCTTTGGCTATAACCAGCAATAGTGGTGTCTGATTTCTTCAGTGGCTTGAGCTGCAGTTATTAGTGGAGGCTATTGTGAGGTTTTGCTGGTAACAAGGACACCAAGTGGACCAGTCTTTGGGCCCCACTGGTGGCAGTGGTTAGCTGGATGGGTCTTTCCTCAGGCCCCCAGGAGAAGTGCACAGAAACTAGATGTGATGGACAGGGCAGGGTAATTCCAGGGCCCTCAGGGATGTGCTTGGGTACTGGGATGTTGGGGGTACATGTGCATTGCCAGGCCAGGTAGGTCTGGCCTAAGGGCTCCTGGTGGTGTGCTTGGGTGCTGGCTATGGCAGGCAGGGTGGGCTGATCCCCAGGCCCTCCTCAGCAGAGTGCTTGGCTGCCTACAGCAGTGAGAGTAGTGGTTGCAGGGAGCCTGTCCTTGGGGCATGTGCAAGTGCACTACGGCCCTGTTGCTGGAGGAAGCATGGCTGCTGACAGTGGCTGCAGCTGCAGGTAAGCAGGTCTCAGGCCTCCTGAGAACTGTAGCTCTGCTGCTGAGGAAGCAGGGTTAATGTCAGTGGCATGCACTTCAGCCTCCACGGGCAGCAGAAGTGGCTGTAATGGATGGTGGCTGAGTCTGTTCTCAGGGTGTGTGTACAGCAGCCCTAATGCTAGAGGAGGCTGGAGTTGCTGTCTGTGGTAGCCACCCTATGTAGGCAGTTCTCAGGCTTTAGGAAGCACAGGCTTTGGCTCTCTTTGTCCCATGGGCAGCCTCCATAGTGTCCTCCACTGTCCATTCCCTCAGGTGCAAGACACTGTGTGTGCTAGAATGCTGGGGACGCTGCTGCTCCACTGAGTCCAGCTGGCATTGTGCTGATGCAGTCCTCTTCGTGAATGCAGTGGGAATGTTAGTGTGTCCCTAGAAATGTGTAAATGTAGGGGCTGTTGGGTCCCAGGGCGGGATGCAGTCTGGTAAGGACTGAGCTCTCAAAATGGTGCCAAGCTACAGCTACTTAGGAATGGGGAAAGGGGGCTGGATGAGGAACCCAGTGTGAGGCTCCTTTCTGGAATGGTCTTCAGGCAGCTCCCTATGCTATCGTAGGCCCCACAAGGATTGAAGGGTTCTCCCATGGCTAGGGTTGCAGAAGTTCATGGTGGGAATGTGCACAGCTGGGGATCTTTTACCCTTTCTTTAGACTGGGGAGCCTCTCCAGGCTCCCAGCCAATCCCAGTGAACTGACTGCCTTGCTTCTCTCTCCTTCCATGCCTGTGGTGTTTTCTGTCACTTCTCTGCTAAATTCCAGTGTTCTCTCTCAGATGCTCTATTCAAAGTGTGACTGTCTACTTGTTATTTTGATTTTTCATGGAGGAGGCAAGTGTCAGATGCTGCCAGTTGGCTATCTTGAAGGTCCTCCTCAAACTCTATGTTGATGATGTCACATTTCTTTATACTTTGTATCCATTAACATATTTTATATAGTTATTTTGAATACTTTGTTTTAACTCCTATACCTGCATTTAAAATGATTTATGCACCATCATTGCAGTATCATAGTATTCTGTATTTATCTATATATTCAATTTTATCAGCAAACTTTATACTTTCATATGCTTTTGTGCTGCCATTCAATCTTTCATTTTAATTTGAAGGACCTCCTTTATCATTTCTTGTAAGGCTGGTCTAGTTGTGATGGCCTCCCTTGGCTTTGTTTATCTGGAAAAGTTTTATCTTTCCTTCATTTTTGAAGAACCATTAAGCCAGATATAGTATTTTTAGTTGGCAAATTTTTACTTTCAGCACTTTGAATGTACATCCCAATCCCCTGATATCTTATGGAGTTTTCTTTTATGCATTCTCTTGAGGCCTTCAGAACTCCCTCTTTGTCTCTGACTTTTGATCATTTGATTATTATATTACTCTGTATGGACTTCTTTTAATTTATCCTATTTGGAGACCACTGGGCTTCTTAAATCTGGATGTGCCTTTTCCTTCTCAATTTTTAAAAAGTTCTGGCCACTATTTTTTTAAATAAGCCTTGTGCTCATTTTTCCTTCTCTTCTGAGACTCACATAATGCATAGCCTTGTTTACTTGATGGTGTTCCATAAGTCCCTTAGACTTTCTTTACTCTTTTGTATTCTTTTTTTCTTCTTGCTCCTCTGACTGGGTAATTTCAAATGATCTGTCTTTGAGTTAGCTTATTCTTCGGCTTGATGACGTCTACTGTTGAACTTCTCTAATGAATTTTTTAGTTCACTTACATTCTTTAGCTCCAAAATTTCTGTTTGTTTCTCATATTTTTTATTTATTTGTTGAGATCCAAATTTTGTTCAAACACTGTTTTCTTGAGCTCACTGAATATTATTATGATGGTTATTTTGAATTCTTTGTTTGGTGTTTTGTATACCTACACTTATTTAGGGCCAATTTCTGTAGATTTATTCTGTTTCTTTGATTAGGCTATATTTTCCAGTTTCTTTATGTTTCTGTAGCTTGGAGTTGATATCTGCAAATCCAAAGGAACAGGCACCTTTCCCATTATTCACAGACTGGCTTCATGCAGGGAAAGACCTTCGCCAATTAGCACAGGTAGAAAATCTGGAGGTCTCTCAAATTTTCTATGGATGTATTTTCTCTTGGCGAGTGTGTGTAAATTTCTAATTAGAAGAATTTGCTTGTTTCTATCTTCATATGCTCATAATCTCTTACTTCCTCTGGTGTCTACCTGCTGTACTCTGGGTCTTCTGTAGCAGCAGCATGTGCTCCAGCTTTTTTTTTTTTCAGTAGTCACCAGGAATCTAGAGTATGTTAGGTCCCATCAGCACCCTGAATTGGATGAGACAGAAATCAGTACTTCAGGCAGCTCTGCAAAATGCCGTGCTCCAACAATTTCTTTCCCCAGGGAGAAATTACCATTTGAGAGTTTTCACCCACTCATTCTCTGCTGAGCCAGGAGGAGGGGCTATTGTAAATGAGTATATACTAGTCCAAACTGTTGCCTTTATTTTCAGTGTCCCTACCAGCCTCGTGCTTCTTCCTGCCAGTGCTTACATTCAGGCAAACAGAAACCAGTCCCTCAGGCAGCCACTCAGAAAGCTGGACCTTTAGACACACGCTTCAATTCCTTACCTCCTAAGGAAGAAGCCAGGAGTTTTGGGTTTTTTTACCCATTTGTTTTGTGCTGTACTGAAGGGAAGAACAAGGCCAAGAAAAGTGCCCTGAATGTTCCTACTGACTTTTATGCAGCTGGTCTCATGCCCATCTCAGATGCAGGAACTTCTTGTTATTTGTTTCTGGGCTTCTCAGAAAGGAAGTTGCCCCATGTATTATTATTAAATCAGTGTGTGCATGGGTAAAAGGAGGGTCTGGATCTTCCAATCCACCATTATGCTAGCATCACTCATAAATTTCTTGAATATTGGTAGTTAGCAATACCAGACAGAAAGAGAGCTCTGGTAAGTTTCACACCAGTAATTACATGCTCTGGCCTGGAGCTCATTGGCTAGACCTAGTCACATGACTTTACCTAATTCAAAGGGAGCAGGAAAGCAAGTCCTGCTATGTACCTTAAAAGTTAAGAACAAAATATCTGTCAGTGAGCACTAATGACAACCACAAAAGGAAATGCGGTATTGCTGTGAAAAATACTTCTGGTCATGATAATACAAACACTGAACAATAACAAAAACTATAATATGACTCTCTTGGGAGGATGAAGGTGGGGTTGGGAACAGGGCATGAAATGACTAAGTCTTTATTCTTTCACCATAGGAAGTCACAAATGCTAAACAATCAAAACTAGCAGTATGAGTCTATTACTTAGAAATAGGAAAAGAAAAAAGAAAAACAAACAGACAAAAGACTTTTAAGTGGTTGCTTCAGCTCTTAGAGTGAAGTGGGGCAAGGATTTACATGAACATTAACACATGTCATCCATCCAGGAAGAAAAGGGAAGAATGCAGTGAGATGCCTTATTAGCTTCCCTGCCACTCAACTCCAGATGCTCAGACTGGGAGCAAATCCTGTATCTGTTTCCACTTTCACAACCAGCAAACATGCACCAGTCATAAGCAAAAAACCTGAAGAACTGAATAATTTTCATTTGAAGGATAATTTGCAAATTTTGATACTTCCAGTAACCAAGTCTGATCCTGTGCTAACCCCTGGAAGCACAATAGCCTTACTATGTGACCAGAATCCAAATATTTTAATACAACACTCTTTCATTTTTAAAATGTAAATCAGTGGACATGTTTATGGGCTCAACCATTGAAAGCACTCCAAAAACTTCTCTAAAAGAGTCTGTGATGCTTTCAAATTATTGGGATTGCTTTGTACCTCTCCAAAATTACTAAGAAGCATGAAGTTATTTTCAACCTGGGAGGATATATACATTTTTAAAGCAGTCATTTTCCAAACATGTGCTATTGAAAAATATAGTGACAAGGGCAGGTCTTGGGGTCAAAAACCACTGTCTTCTGAATGAGGCCCCTAGCCCTTAGTGACTGAAATCATTAAACTCTTTTTATTTGTCTCACGTAGATGTAAATAATGATGACTGCCTTGCTTCTTCTCATCAGATGCACTCAATTGCCTTTATCTTTCTTCTGAAGACTGTCACGAAGGTGTTGGTGGGAGAATACTCAAGACAGGGAAATAAAAAAACTTGTAATTTCACCTCAAGAGAATATTCTGTATTTCAAAGCTAACCTCCTGCTGCCTAATCCTATTTTGCACGTTAGAAACTGAAAATTATGTTGGCCTCCCTGTGTGACTTTGAGACACTTCTAATCTCTGCTCCATTCTCCCACCCTCAGGCAGATGGAGGTCCTGGGCCAACTAGAGGTGATGTCATGTTCTCAAAGAGACAAAAAAGAAATGAGATGAATAATTTCCAAAGTATTCCCCAATTTTGATGCAACCACTTGGATAGTTTTCATGGGCTAAGGACTATGCTGAGCACTCACATCCCCACGGTAACCCAGCAGGAGAAACCAAATGTGACTCCCTTTTTGCAGACAGGAATATGGTGCCCAGATTGCAGGGTTAGTGGTGGAGGCAGGTGCCTGAGCTCTCTGCTGGGTTGTTACACTACCTTCTACTAGGCCACTTGCCATGGCCACAGGGGTGATAAGACTCTCCCTTAGGGACACCACTATAGGTTTGGAGGGATTGGGAGCCAAGGCAAAGCCTAAGTAGGGAGAAGAGGGAAAAGCTTCAACAAGCATTGCAAGGGACTTTCTCTTGCTTTTGACTACAACTCCCTACCTCACCTTCTCCATGGCCAAGTTATTTTGCCCAACCAGACTCAGCTCAGACTCCACCTCCCTTGCACAGTTTAATCCCATGCTCTCTGTCTCCGCTCTAATCCCATGGGTCCTACAGCAGCTCCCTGGGATTTCCTCTATTATCATGCCTTTCACACTGTGTTAATATCTTGAGTTTGTCTTTCTCTCTCACTAGACTGTGGGTTTTTTGAAGGCAGCAGTTAAGTCATTTATTGCAAATAATTCAATAAATGATTGTTGAATGAATAAATAAATGCATAAAGGAATGACTGCGTTCAGAAGAGGAAACTGGAGCTTTGTGACCTGCCCAATTTCACATAACTAGTTATGCCTGTACATATGTAAAAGTTATGTCTCCTAATTTCTGATTCAGGGCTTTTTCTACTATACTTCGCTAAACTCTGGATGTTTTTCCTCTTTAAGAGTCCCCTATAAAGATCAGCTAACACCCTGGGAGAAATTAATGTAACCATTTGAAAGGAAATAGACCATAGATTAAGAACATAGGAGGACATATTAATATTTCTAAATTTTCTGCAATAAACCAGTACTAATAAAAAAAAGAACATAGGAGGAAAAAAATGACAAAATTAGGAGAAAAAGGGAACATTAAAAAGTGAATAAGTAAGAGAGATGGTCAATAAAACCTTTGCTTATTTCGGATTATCATGTAGGGGTGATCTCAGGAATGTAGTTTGTCAATGCATAAGGAAAAACAGGGACTTATACTCAAGACATTCACATGTTTTATTTCTGCACATCTCGATACTAAAGTCTAAGAAATATACAGAATGAATAAAATATAATTAATTAATGTCAAAAACTGTGAAGGGTCTGAGATTTCACCAAACACGCAACTAGCATGAGTGCTAAAAGAAGACACAAGATTATTTGTTAGAGATGAAAGACAGTTTATTACTTACAGCAGGTGCCAGGGTTTCAATATTTTTTGCATTGGTTACTTGAGCTACAATTCCCACAAAGCAACACGAAAATAGCCATATTATACCTGCATATGCAGTCAATTATATTTCCAGCAGAACACTGATCTGAGAGAAATGGAATCACTTATTATGGGCAGGAAGCACACCTGCCCTTTTCTTTAGAGGAAGACATTATCTTTATTATATTGGGAAGCTAGCATGTCTGTCCTCTGTTCTGAAGGGGGACTTCATCTGTATCTTCCAAGGCTGTTCATTACTCAAAATGCTTGAATAGACAGATAGTCAGAAACAAAAGTAGTCAGTATCTCTATTCATAACATGTGCACAAACATAAGAAACCAATGGATAGTTACCCCCCAATAATGAGCTGATTTCTTTGCTGATTCACCTATTAAATAATACTTAGTCATTATGTGTCATGCACTGAGCTGAATGTGGGGGATACAATAGTGAGCGAACCTCGATATGATTCCTGGCTTCAGAGAGTTTACACTTCAGTGGAGAAGATTAAATATTAATCAAATAATCTCATAAATGCACACAAAGTGGCAACAGTGATGAGGAATCTCAAAAGAGGTCAATGGCACTCAGGAGGGGCTCCGTAGGAAGTGTTGCAAAAGTACATCACAGGAGTATTTGAGGTAGGGAGTCAAGAAAGGCTTTCCTGAAAAAGTGGATCTTGAGACCTGAAAGGCAAATCAGAATTAATGAGGCGAAGAAGAGAGGCCAGAGGTTCCAAGGCAGATGGAATAGAGCAAGAAAAGGGCCTGCAGTAGGAAGGAGAATGTCATTCCTGAGTGAGGGCATCATACAGTTTGCTCAGTGTGGTCATATTTTATGCCTGTTGTCCAAGACTAACTATTAACAGCATCTCTTTCCCTCTCCATAGTGTCCTTGAGAAATTGAGATAGAGATCAGAGAGGGAGAATATGTATCAGATAAGGCTAGAAAGGTAAGTAGGACTAGAGATTTTTTTTTTTTTTTGAGACAGAGTCTCACTCTGTCACCCAGGCTGGAGTGCAATGGCATGATCTCGGCTCACTGCAAGCTCTGCCTCCCGAGTTCGAGAGATTCTCCTACCTCAGCCTCCTAAGTAGCTGGGACTACAGGCACCCGCCACCATGCCTGGCTAATTTTTTTTTTTTTTTGTATTTTTAGTAGAGACGGGGTTTTACTGTGTTGGCTAGGATGGTCTCGATTTCCTGACCTCGTGATCCGCCTGCCTCAGCCTCCCAAAATGCTGGGATTACAGGCGTGAGCCACCGCGCCCAGCCAGACCAGAGCATTTTGAGCCTTATAGCCCCCAGTAACAATCTTGTTCGTTAATCCAAGAGCAAGCGGAAGCTATGTAAGGGTTTTAAATACTGCATGATCAGAGTTTCATTTTGAAGAGATCACTTTGGTCTAGAGTTGGAGAAGAGTTAGAGGAGGGCAGGAATAAGTAGGTGCACAAGGAAGTGTCGAAGTCTATTACTGTGCTTCAGGCAAAGATAACAGTCCAAGTCTAAGCTGGACAAAGATGCAGCGGTAGGGAAGGAAAGAAGTGTTTAGATTGCAGAGATGTTTAGAGGATACAATCAACAGGATATGAAAAGAAAAGTAAGAGGGTGCCAAAAATGACTCCAAGATTTCTGCCTGGTGGAAACATTAAAGAGTGGCAGGGCATGGTGGCTCACGCCTGTAATCCCAGGAGTTCAAAACCAGCCTGGCCAACATGGCGAAACCCTGAATCTACCAAAAATACAAAAGTTAGCTTGGCCGCAGTGGTGCACACCTGTAATCTCAGCTACTTTGGAGGCTAAGGCAAGAGAATCGCTTGAGCCTGGGAGGAGGAGGTTGCAGTGAGCCTAGATCGCACCACTGCATTCTGGTCTGGGTGACAGAGTGAGACCCTATCTCAAAAAAAAAAAATTAAAAAATTAAAAACCATTAAAGAGTGTATATCAAGATGTCAGTTGGATAAGCAGAGAGGGGCTCAGATAGGAAACCTGGGCTGGAATTATAAATCTAGGAATCAACAGAATCTAGACCATAACTGAAGCAATGGGTGTGAATGAGCTGACCCCGGGTGGTCCAGGAGAGAGCCTAAGACAGAGAAGGAAGGAAGGCCAAGATTCAGTGGTCAGAGTAGGATGAATTGCAGTCAGAGGGGACTAAGAAGTAGCAGTCAATGGTATGAAGAAAACCTGCAGACTGTGGTTTCCAGAAAATCAACAGAAGAAAGAGTTCAGGAAGAAGGAAGTTGTCAACAATGTCAAATCTGCTGGGCAATGAGGTAATGGGAAAACTGAAAAATGTCATTGGGTATAAAGACATTGAGATCACTGGCCAGCTTAGAAGGAGGAGCTTCATGGGGGAATGAAGGCTGTAGTGGACTGGAGAAGGCTAAGCAGAGAAAGAGAGGGAAAGCAATGGAGACAATGAGTATAGGGACATTTCTGAAAACTCAGACTACGAAAGAAAGGAGACAGAAAGGGCAATGGGAAGAGGGAGGGCATAGGCTTTATATAGTGAAAATGGGAAAGGCTTGAGCAAATTGAAATACTTCTGATGGAAGTTTCCAGTTGAGAGAGGAAGAGGTTAAGGGAAGGCGAGAGGAGGGGTAATCACTGCTACAAGGTTCCTGACAAGAATGGAGGGGATGGCATCCAAAGCACAGGAGGAGACAGCTGACCTTAGAGAAAACAAAAGAACACTCCTCCACTGCAGTAGAAAAGAACCCTAACGTTCTGGTCCAGGTGGATGAAGGTCTGTAACTTGGAAGAGAGAGATTGAGAGAATTGCTATTGGAATGGAAAAGTAGAAAGTCAGACTATTTGCCAAGACTACAGAAGGAGATTGGGGAACAAGAGGAACCAAAGCCTTTGAGGATAATGGAGGTCTGAAATGGCCATGACAGAGAGTAGGGAGTGGGTAGAAGGAGAGCTTCAGACAGAGCACACGCTTACACGCACACACACGCACACAAGCGAGGCAGGGCCCAAAATCCTGCTACTCCTCCTCTCCACACTCGGTAAATTCTCTCGAATGCAGCCGGGCGGGCCCCCTTCTTCCTTTCCACTTGCCTCCCTGGAACCTTCCTGTTTCCTCATTTTTCTACCACCAGGTTCATTCCCACAACCAAAGACTGCCTGGTGAACCAAGCAGGAAACTCCACCCTTCCGAAGGCTGTGAGAGGAGAGGGAAGGTGTGAACACTCATCATTTAACACCTGTCCTTTCTGCCCTGCCACATTTACAGAAATCACGTAAAAGCAACCAAAATGGTCAAGAAGGTTTGTTGTTGTTTGTTTTGACCAAAGCCATGTGCTCTCCTTCCATTTATTCTAGCAGTGACAAAATGTCAGTATTTCAAAGCAGGGAGAGCCTGCATAATTATTTGGTTCAAATCATTCCTTTTTCTAATGAGGGAACTGAAGCCCAGGGAAGCTTCATGATCCGTCTCATCAGTGGGGTTTTCACATTCTTTGAGAATGTGAAATACTGGAGAATTAATCTGAGCAAATCATATGAAGAGGTGAGCCGTGGTGCTCAATGAAAATGAACTTATCTTCCCTCTCTGAACTCAAAAGTGCTTCCATTCAAGTCAAATGCTCTTCAAGTCTGAAAATGAAAGCCTCCTGCCTTTTAATGGGGAGAGAAATTGTGTCACTTAATTGTGGAAGGATCAGAAGAGGAAACCTCATAACAAAGGAACCTAAATCCAGGATTCTGGAGCTCTCAGCAGTGGAAGGAAAATGATTCTCCTGACCTGGAAATGACCCTCCCTTGGAATGAGAGTATTGTGGTTGCCTGACACTCCGAAGGATAGCAGTGCTCAAAGTCCTGGGGCTTTGATGGGTTTTGAAGGGGCTGGAGGGTGGGGGAGCTGGGGAGTAGGAGGGGGCTGTGGAGGGAGAAGGATGGGAGGTTCTGCAGGGGACAGAGCTATTGCTTGGTGTTGGTGTCCTCAGGCTGTCCCTGGGGAGGGGGCTGCTAGGGAATGGACTGTGGAGAAACCTGCAGGGGGCCAGGAACTCAAGTCTTGTCAGTTCTGGGTCACTGAAGGCACATGGCTTAGAATAAAGCATCCATAAATCGCCTTATGCATCGGAAAGAAACTGACAGCGGGGCTTGAAAGGACATCCATTTCTGGAATAATCCGAGAGTGTTGCAGCTTCAGCAGAGCAGATTCAATGGGGAGGAGGGGATTTTCATTTTGCGGTGGTTTTGCCCCCATTGGGAGGTCTATCCAGAGGACGTGAGAGGTGAAGCTGAAGGCAAAAACTCTCGCCATCAACCCAGAGGGCAGTTTCTCTTGAATTCTTCACTCATCTCTGAAAAAAAGGAACCAAACATCATAGCCATTTGCCAGTGCAGAAATGAAAGCAAGAGACGCGGTGGAGGGGGGGGTGGGGGGCGGGTGGTGCGAAGGAGGAAGCTCAAAGGTAGGGTGAAAGGCATGTGAAACAGGGACAGAAACCCCGCACTATTTACAGTCAAGTGATTGGGAGTTACCATAGTCATAATAGAGACAGCATGCATTTGGAAGCATTATCTGTCCCTTTGTACTTACTTAAAAGCGATAAGGCAAAACACGCACATGGAATTTCAGTTATAGCCACACAAAATTACTGCAAATGCTATTTTCCCATCTCATAACTTAAAAGGAAAAAAAAAGTGCTGCTAAAGCTCTTCATTTGGAGACCTGCAGCTTTGTTGTTGGGTTTTGTTTTTTTTGGGGGGGGGGGCATGTGTGTGTGTGTGTGTGTGGAAAAAAAGCACTATACTGGGTGGAAAATCCACTTTGGGGTTGAGGGTGGCAGATGCACTTTAATACCCACACCCTATGCAGGGGTCTCCTGTGTCCCTGTAGGAAGCCTCCCTGGGGTCTTTACCCCACAGGTGCAGCTCCCTGAAGGCAATTGGCTTGTTTTCATTTTTCTCAGGCAAAATCATTCCTGACATGTGAAGGCAAATTTCACAGGATAACTGTGAAACATTTTGCCCAAAACACAGATTTTAAAAGTTGGTAAGTGACATGTAGCTACAAGAGCTAACATTTTATGAGTACGGACTGCATGCCAGGCAAGGGTCCCAACATATTTCAGAGGCGGGATTTGAGCCCAGGCGAGCCAGTTCAAACCTGTGCTCTCCACCACTAGCCCATATGTGTTCCATTTGCTTCAAACACTCCTCCGTGATAAGTGCTATTTATCCCTTAGCTGGGTCCTGGGGAGAGGTAACAGCGTGCTGGTAGCCCTCACAGCCCTCACTCGCTCGCTCTCGGTGTCTCCTCGGCCTCGGCGCCCATTCTGGCCGTGCTTGAGGAGCCCTTCAGCCTGCCGCTGCACTGTGGGAGCCCTTCTCTGGGCTGGCCGAGGCCGGAGCCGGCTCCCTTGGCTTGCGGGGAGGTGTGGAGGGAGAGGCACGGGCAGGAACCGGGGCTGCGCACAGCGCTTGCGGGCCAACTAGAGTTCCGGGTGGGCGTGGGCTTGGTGGGCCCTGCACTCGGAGCGGCCAGCCGGCCCTGCGGCCCAGGCAGTGAGGAGCTTAGCACCCAGGCCAGCAGCTGCAGAGGGTGCACTGGGTCCCCCAGCAGTGCTGGTCCACCAGCCCGCGCGCTTGATTTGTCGCTGGGCCTTAGCTGCCTCCGCACCAGGCAGGGCTCGAGACCTGCAGCCCGCCTTGCCTGAGTCTGCCCCCTCGCCCGCCGTGGGCTCCTGCCCGGCCTGAGTCTCCCCGATGAGTGCCGCCCCCTTCACTCCACGGCGCCAAATCCCATCCACCGCCCAAGGGCTGAGGAGTGCAGGCGAACGGCGCAGGACTGGCAGGCAGCTCCACCTGTGGCCCTGGTGTGAGATCCACTGGGTGGAGCCAGCTGGGATCCTGAGTCTAGTGGGACTTGGAGAATCTTTATGTTTAGCTAAGGGATTGTAAATACACCAATCAGCACTCTATATCTAGCTCAAGGTTTGTAAACACACCAATCAGCACTCTTTATCTAGCTGAAGGTTTGTAAACAACACACCAATCAGCACCCTGTGTCTAGCTCAGGGTTTGTGGATGCACCAATCAGCACTCTATCTAGTTAATCTGGTGGGGACTTGGAGAATCTTTATGTCTAGCTAAAGGATTGTGAATGCACCAATTGGCACTCTGTATCTAGCTCAAGGTTTGTAAATGCACCAATCAGCACTCTGTGTCTAGCCAGGGTTTGTAAATACACCAATGGACACTCTGTATCTAGCTAATCTAGTGGGGAGGTGGAGAACTTTTGTGTCTAGCTCAGGGATTGTAAATGCACCAATCAGCACCCTGTCAAAACGGACCAATCAGCTCTCTGTGAAACAGACCAATCGGCTCTCTGTAAAGTGGACCAATCAGCAGGATGTGGGTGGGGCCAGATAAGGAAATAAAAGCAGGCTGCCCCGGTCAGCAGGGACGATCCGCTTAGTTGCCTTCCATGCTGTAGAGGCTTTGTTTTTTCACTCTTTGCAGTAAATCTTGCTGCTGCTCACTTTTTGGGTCCACACTGCCTTTATGTGCTGTTAACACTCACTGCGAAGGTTTGCAGCTTCACTCCTGAAGCTAGCGAGACCACGAACCCACCGGGAGAGACGAACAACTCCAGACTCGCCACCTTAAGAGCTATAACACTCACCGCAAAAGTCTGTAACTTCACCGCTGAGCCAGCGAGACCATGAACCCACCAGAGGGAAGAAACTCCAAGCACATCTAAACATCAGAAGCAACAAACTCTGGGCATGCTGCCTTTAAGAACAGTAACACTCACTGCGAGGGTTTGTGGCTTCATTCTTGAAGTCAGTGAGACCAAGAACCCACCAATTCTGGACACACTGGGATGCCTTCCTGCCTTTTCTCCCATAGCGAGGTTGTGACCCCCTCCTACCTGCTCCCCTAAAGTCCTTGCACTCAAGCCCCCATCACAGTTCATGGCTCATGCCTGCAACTAGCTTGGACCTGGCTTTCCATGTGGATTGTAATTCCATGAGAATAGGTTTAGGTTATAGCTAAGCACATTATGGCACACAGTTTATGTGTCTAAATGCATACGTGTGTGAACTGGTACAAATGTCCAGGGCTTTGTCCCACAAGAGCTCCTAATCAGGGGAGTTGGGGAGACAGAGCTGTGATGGTTAACTTCATGTGTCAACTTGACTGGGTCATGGGGTGCCCAGATATGTCGTTAAGCTTTATTTCTGGGTGTGTCTGTGGAGGTGTTTCAGAATGAGATTAGCATTTGGATTGGTGGACTCAATAAAGCAGATTTCCCTCCCCAGTGTGGATGGGTATCACTCAATCCATGGAGGACCTGAATGGAACAAAAGGGTTGAGGAAGGCTGAATTCTCTATTTCTGCCTGACTTTGAGCTGAGACATTGTTCTTCTGCCTTTGGACTGGGACTTGCGCCATCAATGCTTGTGGTTCTCAGGCCTTTGGACTCAGACTGGAATTACACACTACCAGCTTTCCTGGGTCTCCAGCTTGCAGATGACAGACTGTGGGATTTCACAGCCTCCATCATCATGTGAGCCAGTTCCTCATAATAAATGTATTGTTTCTGTTTATCTGGAGTCCCCTATACAATGACCAGCAAGGGCTGAAGTCAAGTTTGTAAATAGGGGTCTGTCCTCACATGGGGCAGGACTTGTGACCTCTGCCTGGGATTGCAAGGAAAGGGTGCAAAGGTGCTTAATTACAAATAATATTTCAACTAGGCAAGAGAGAAGAAGGAACATGAATAAAGAAATTATACAGCACTTTGGAGAATGGTGAAGAAGAGCTCAGTTCAACCACATAAATATCCCATCCAACTCCTGCAACAGACCAGGCACTGTCTGGGTGTAACGAGTTAAACAAACCAGTAAAAGTCTCTTCCCTCAAGAACTTCCCAGTCCAGTGAAGGGAGGAGACACATAAACAGATCATGATGGGAGTTGATCATCACAGCTGCCTGACCATGAATTGACTACAGGGGTGTCAAGGCACTTAGCCACTAAGTAGGGTCCAGCCAGGGCCTGTGACTAAGAGAAGTCCTTGTCCAGCACCAGGTGACCTACAGGTTCTATTTTCTACACGTGCCATGAGTGGAAGAGCCAGGAAGCCCTCATAGGACAAAGCTACCAGAGGTTGCTCTGGGAGCAGAGGATCAAGGCAGGCTTGCAGGAAGAGGTGATTCTCAAGTTGGGCCCTGACGGTAAAATAAGAGTTTGCCAAAGAGACAGGTGGAAGAGACATTAGCCAGAGAGAACAGCTGAAAATGGTGGTGATGGGGACAGCTAACATTCACTGAGCAGTTATAAAGGGCCAGCCCTGGATCTAGGGACTTCTCAACTTATCTCATGGAATCCTCTCAGTCCTCTGAGGAAGAAGGGTCATTTTACAGATGCATAAACCAAGGCACAGAAAACTCATATAACCTTTTCAAAGTCGCAGAGCTTTCGAACAATGATGCAGTTCTGAGTTATAGCACTATGCTGCCTCCTTTTAGGAAACCCCTAGAGGAATAAAACAAAGGATAGGGGAAAGCCATGGGGAAGAGTGGCCAACACAAGTGGTTTGGTTTTCCCCTGGCAAAGAGTGCTGGGCAGTAGGTGGTGGGAAGTGTCAAAGGGGAACATGCCACTCAGCTCAGGACAGGAGGGCCACACTGGCAGTTGGCATGAAGTCTGTGCCCAGACGGCTGTCTTCGAAGTTTGGGATCTAGGCAGGGAGGACTCTAGGATGCATCTGCAGAGGTAAGGGCCAGGCCGCTGCTGTCCATGAGCCCCATATTAGAAGTTAGGCAGGAGTTAGTACATAGGGAATCTCTGAAGACTTGTGAGCAGGGAATGGTTGGCTCCATCTTGCATTTCAGAAAGATACCCCCAGAGCAGTGTTGAGAATCAATGGGAGAGGTGAGAACTTGGATGGAAGGATCTTGCTGCAATCTAGCATGATGGGGGGCTGTGGGGGGCTCGCAGGCATGCCATGCTCCATGTTCTAGAAGGTCACGGGTGTTCTGATGATACAAGTGCTTTAATTTGTGTATTTATTTTCTGAAGATTTGTACCATCCCAGGGAAAGGGTCCTCAAAACACACTCCCCCTAACACATTCCTCTAGCCTGCCCCTTTTTGCTGTTCTTAGTCTCCCTGAATCCTCCTCAATATTTTCCCAGCAACTTCAAATGCATCCCACTTGACTAATGCACCGCCGTTAGTGACCACGTGCAGCCACCTGTGTCTTGCCCTCTACCTTGAGGAGTTTCTTGGGGCAGTTCTGCTCTACAAATACAAGACTGGTCTCCTTGGGAGGAATTCAGGAGAAGCCAATGTTCTCTGTCTTATTTCACAAGCAAAGATGAGTGTCCCCAGGCACTTCCCTCATCCTCTACCCCACACAGGAGAATCTCCTTATTCTGTATGTGGATCTGCAGAATAAAGATACACACGCACTTGGAATTCTGCCTTGTAGTGTTAATTTCATTGCTTAAATTAACCTCAACTATTCAAACAGATTGTAAAATGATGGAAGGCGCAGGCTACCAATCCCTTTCACTTATTTTGAACCATTCTTATAGCCAAAGAAGTGCCCAAAGTCAACATTTAGTAACAACATGTTACATGTTACACATATAAAAGAAGAAGGGAAATTTCTTCTTGTCAGATAAGATTTTTGTAGGGAACAAACTGATTTTAAAAATTTGATGCTATAAATGTGTATGTGTAGTACCCTAAGCCCCAACTGATTCCACTAAATTAATTGTGGTTCAGAGATGCCTGTTTGGGTCTGATAAACAAATGAGGTAGGCCAGCTACTGTCACTTTTCCCATAAAGATTTCTATCTTCAGGGGAATAAAGGCTCACCTGCTCATACCTGAGTTCGGGTTGGGAAGGTCAGTGGGATGTGTGCTCCCCGTATCCAGCACCAGCTCAACCCTGACTTTCAAGCCTTTTATTTTGAGACTGAGGCTGCGCCAGCAACTGTATCCATGACAACAACACACTTCAGTCCCCAGGTGGACCAAGCAGCAGCAGCATGGGAAAAGAGACATTTCCCAGATTCTTCCTGGAATGAATGTGTGTTTGGAGCAGGAGGGCCCAGGAACACTCTGGAGACAATGCCTACAACAAGGGAATCATGTCCTTTGCTGGGCCCGAAGCTCCATTGTCAAGTGGTTTGTGGACAATCAACATTCGTGTTGACCCCAACATAGAGCAGGAGCACCTGTTTGTGAGCCCACATGAGGCCTCAAAAAAGCCCCATGACACATTGGGGTGGCTCTGAGTCAATGAATCTGGAGTCCCCGGGGCTACAGATGGATGCCTGACTTGGGGGAAACCAAAAAGTGGGCCACAGAATTCAGATCTGGCCATGTTGACAAGAACCAGAACCAGAGGGGGGAATTCATTTGCTTGCATTTAATCAGAATGCTCTAGTCATCTGCTTAGAGAAGTCAGTTCATGTAACTCTGGGAACCAAATCCCTATAGAAGTGAATCTGACCGAATTAAGGAATTTTATTTTGTCACTCTCAATAAAATGACAAAAGCAACACATGACAATTCCTCCATTATTTATTTCATGAACACACTCATTAAACCAAGCTGCAGGATTCTCAGTTGTGCAAAAGTACACAGGACACATTTAGTACCATACACAAGGACATAGCACCTTTGATTAGAAGTATGTTCAATACATTATTGTGAACTACACTAAAAATAATGATTTTTCATAAGCAAAATTCTCAGAGTAACCTGCAAAAACATCCACCAGATGAACTGGGTTGAAAACATTTAACAGTTCCCTCTCTAATGCAAGTTGCTTCTCAGTATTGGGCAAGTTTTCTGTCTTGGTGTTTAAGTAAAAAGGCATCTTTTATTTGTGTTAATTCCTTGCAAACATAGTGAATGTTGTGAGTAGTTATTTTCACTACTGCCCAGACAAAAGGAAAATAAACTTTTTTAGTTAATGCTTTTGTAGTTTTTCAAATTAGATCTTTTAGTAGCTTCCTTCTAAAATTTCCTCCTTCAGCCAGTGAGTTTATAGTGTATTCAAAGCTGAGAAACTAATTATGGGCATTTCAATTGCCTTGTGCACATCCTGCTCAAATACGACCACTTCCAGAGAAAGCTGGGACTACAGGTGTTCAGTAAGATAATCTCTCCAATTCTATACCATTCCCTTCACCATCCATAATATTTATTTATTTATTTATTTATTTATTTATTTATTTTCAGTCGGAGTCTCACTCTGTCACCCCGGCTGGAGTGCAGTGGTGCAATCTTGGTTCACTGCAACCTCCGCCTCCCAGGTTCCAGCAATTCTTGTACCTCAGCCTTCTGAGTAGCTGGGATTACAGGAGTGCACCACCACACCCAGCTAATTTTTTTATTTTTAGTAGAGATGTGGTTTTGCCATGTTGGCCAGGCTGGTCTCGAACTCCTGACCTCAAGTGATCTGCCCACCATCCATAATATTTAAATAAGCATATTGACTTCTTCTTAAACTAAGGGTTAAATATAATATTTTATTTTAATAGTTCAGGTTCATGTATCTCATATCTTATGCTCAAGTTAATAATTCCTATTTGCTATACATTTATGAAAAAGCCTTATAAATGGTTTTAATAATAAATAGATATTTTAATATTTAATAATAAATAGATATTTATTGGAATCTAACCTTGGAAAATTTTCCCAAATACAGCAATAGGATTCATGCACAAAGATGCTCATCCCAATGATCAACTGGAGATAGCCTTCAATGAGCAAAATTATGGTAATCGCTAGAGGTTGCCTATTATGCAATTATTGATATAATGTTTAAGAAGGCTATGAATATAATAAAAACATATTTGATAAAATACTAAGTGAAAAAGCTTACATAAAAAGTATATATGTAGTATGATAACATTCTGTAAAATTTTGAAAGAGAATTGAGACATACATAGAAAAAAAATAGACTTGAAAAACCATCCAGAAATTGTTAGCAGTGATTACCTTAAGGTAATGGGGACAATTTATGTTCTTTCTACATCTCTGTATGGTCTAAATTTTCTATAATAGCCAGCTATTATTTTTAATGGAAAAATAATAAGAGGAGTATCCAATAAGAACAAAGTCAGTAGTGCCTTTCAAGGTTGCATTTTGGGCGACTTTTCACATATTTAGGAATGGGGGTGGTTCCTTCAATAGGAGCCTGGTGAGTCCAAGAGAGCAAGAGACTGCCTTGTCACCTCCTCTGACAGGTAAGAAGCATCCTGAGAAATGAAAACACTTTTCCTGAAGAGAGCGGGGTCCTCTTGCTGCAGCATGTTTTAGAATCTGGCCTAATTTGAGAGACTTTTAACAATATGCCAACTAATTAGTCACATAATACAAAAAAGGGAAAAGTAGAGAATCAATTGGAAATGAACAAAATAACAATACAGGAGTAAAGCATGACCAGGTTCTTATTCATAGGATAGATGTTCTCCTATATATGTGTTCATCAAAAATAAGATTAAAGGAAAAAGGAGGCGGTAAGAACACACTTAAACTATCAACCTCCAGTCCCAGGCATTGAGACACAGAGAGAAACAGGCACCATTCTGGAGAAACACATAAAGGAAATATTCTTCCTTTATATCCGTCTTCAAGTATGAAACCAATCACACACTTTATTCTCAAGGTCTCAGCACACTAGGGTGATTTAAAATCATCCACCATGTACCCAGGGGTCTGAAAATCTCTCATTTAGTAGTCGATAGCAAAATTGTTCATCAGCATTCCTTAATATGATCTGTAAAAACAAAGAAAGAACACTGTGTTAAGAATAGATTTCCCACTTCCATTCTCAGGCAGGATATGGTTTGCTTCAAAATATACTGGGAATATACTGGGAATAGATCCAAATATACCACCAAAGTTGAGAGATTTTTTTTTTTATAGAAGCAGCTCTGAGAATGTTTTTTTCTCTTAAAGATGTGTATTCTGACCAGTTTATCGGTGTGAGCTGCGTGACTAAGGTTGAATGATCAAGGCTCAACTCATTCAAACTCATTCAATCTAGGTTAAAACCCAGAATGTTTCTGAGCATTTTATTTGCTCAGTGGTTTCTGCATAAATTTTTAAAAACTGAATTAAAACTGAAATAACATAAAAATGTGGGTTTTTGATGAGTCCCCCAAGGAACAGCCTAGATTCTTTTAATGAACTAGAACGTAAGTGCAGCAAATGCAAGAATCAACGGACTATTATGCAGGAAATGAACAACTTCCAGGGACCTTCCTTAAAGTAAGGTCTATTCCCATAGTCTTCAGGGAGGGTGCCCACTGCTGAAGTATAAAAATAGGAGAAAACAAATGGCTTGCTCTCACCCTGGATTCTTACTTCCTTTCAACTTTGGTGTAAGAGAAGGAAAAAAAATAGACAATTATCTGTTTATTTCATCCCAAGTTCCGGGATCAAAGGTTGATTCAAGGATGGAGATGGGGGAATTGGTACAGGCTTGCCCCCAGGGTCAGCTCCTCGCCTAGGTCAAACGGTTTCCAGTTCACTCCCACAAGAGACTGACACTGTCTTCCCTGGCCACTACCCCAGGGAAGGATTACCCTCACCCCTCTAGAGAAAGAAGCCTAAGGAGACACTGGCAGAGCATACCTAGCTGATTGCCTATAAAGTTATATTTTCAGTGATGTTCTTAAGGATATGACAAACACAACATTCAAAAAAATGATCTTATATCTAGAAGTAAAAAGCATACAAAAAGTTGGACATGCCAAATTTGTTGTCTCTGAGGCCACCAGTGGTTCTGAATTTTGGGGACACCTGTTTTCTCATGGGCTCTTTTGCTCCTCTTTTTTTTTCTGTGTAGATGCAAATGTCTACACCCACACACACACACAAAATAAGTGATGTCCTTCTCTTAGTTCCTTTTCATTCATCAGTTACTTAATTCTCAATATGTTAATAAAAGTTTAAGGTTAAAGAAAGGGCGAGTTGATAGGAAATCAGTCTGTCTGCCCGTTTTACTCACAGTCAGCACATTTGAGAAAGAATGAGAGATGAGAAGACTGGATATTTAGGAGGGGGATGTGCGTGTCTGAATCTGACTCTCTTCTGATTATTACAACTCTTTAATCACCTTTAGATTTGTATCATTTTAGTTGTTCTATCTGTTGCTGATTTTGTTTCTATATTTCAGCAGATAAACTAAACAAGATGGCATGTGTTTCAAAACCCAAATTGTAATTTATTATAAGGTTTAATAGTGTTTTCATTAAATACGATTATGAAAAAGTTGAAATAAGTTCTCCCTTAATATGCAAGGCTTATTTTCTTGAGCACGTCAGAAGGCTGTACCTCCCTTTCAGATTACATCAAATGTGCATCAGTCTTGCTCTAACAAAGCCCTCCATAATACAGTGCTTTTTAATATGAGCTATAACTGTCAGAACCCAAGGAAAAGAACTCTGAGACCAGAAAGATTGAAAGGAACCTAATGCAACATGATTTCCCCTATAGCACAATCACCCCATGAATAGGAATTTCTGCAGCTTAAGTACTTAATGCATAGACAGTGGTCAGTGTATGAGGTCAGTGCCAGGGCCAGCACAGTTCTGAGCACTGAGCAGGTACTCAATAAATACTCATGGAAGGAAGGGAAGAGAGGAAGGAGAAAGAAGAGAATTCTTAATTATGTTTCCATTCCTTGCAATTTGCTTTCTCAAAAAAAAAAAAAATTCTAATCCAGTGGAATGCCCATTGCTGTTTTTTTCCTAACTCGACGTGTCCATAAAACATTCCTAACATTTGGTTTCAAGATTTGGACAGGTAATGAGAAAACATAATAAAAGCAAACAGTAAGACCATGGAGCAAAGCCTTGGGTTAAATTTTGTCAGTTAATTGAATTGCATTTTTATTGTGCAAAAGAGCTATTGTTAAAAACCTTGAATGCCTCACCAAAACATTTTTTGTTAGTAAAAAGATGATTAACATATTTGTATATTCATAGTAATAAATATAATATCATGAGAATAAGACATCTTTGGGTGCTGATCTGTAAATACATTCATGATACAGAATTAAGGAAGATCAAAAAATAACAGAACTTGGAACAGTGTGACCTTGTTTCAATTCATGCCAAAATAGCTGCATAGGTTGCAAGTGTTTTAAAAGGTCCTACAGGACAAGATACTTACACCCTGCTCGTAGCAATGCTAATCCCTGGTGTGGGCAGCAAAATTGGTAGGGAAGGTAATGTGAGGAGGAACTTCAACTTGTTCTTTCTCTATCTCTGTATTTTTTTTTTTTGCACAATGCATTATTTTCAAATTTGGTAATTTATGGAAATAAAATAACTGAGGAAAAAATCATGATCTTAAATTAGTCTTAAAAGATGCAAATCTTCAGAGCAAAGTAAAAAGCTATTAGAATGACTCACCTTGCTATAATTAGATTTTTCTCCATTAGAGTTCATACAGTTTTATTTGATTTTATTAGCAATCTCTTTCAGAAGACCCTTGAGATCATTAAGCTTGGAAAGAGAAAAAAATAGAACTCATCTTAAGATAAATTTTCCAACTTTCATTTTTAAATTATCGCTCTGTGCCTTTTCTAAGAAACAGACATGTCTACTAAATAGCAAGCATGGCACATCTAAAATAAGGCAGAATGAGAGTGGCATGTGATATTTCAGATCCTGATCATTGCTTACTTTCTGAAATCATATCACTAGCAATTAGTAACCAATTAGTAAACCAATTAATATTAACTTTACTCAGATCCAAATCATTAGTGCTCCCAAACAGAAATAATAGATTGCAATAATACAAACAAGTAATATGTAAAAAGAATAATGTTCTATGTAACTAACATTAATAAAAGTATAAGATACTAATTAAGTTTTGCTTTGGTAAAAGTATAATACTAATAAAAATAATGTGATACTAAGAAATCAAATTTTTGCAAATAAAAGATTTCCCCACACACACAAAAACAGCAGACAATTTAAGTAAGAGGCATAATGAAATTAATCTTGATCCATGCATGTTTCACAAATTTATTACAAAAGATACATGAAGTCATTTTAAATTACATGTCATATTACTACATTTGCTAAAAGCAATTTCTGTACAGTTTGGTTTCTAATTTGCTTTATCACTCACTCAAGAAAAAAATCTGTATTTAAGTTGAGCTTAATTCCAGTAGTAACCTTTTACTTTAACTGTTTAAAAATAAAAGAAAAAAATGAAACTATAAGTGCTAACGGCTTCCTAAAATAAATAAGGCATAGTAAGATCCATACTTACAGACTTAAGATGAATTGTAAATAACTTTGTTTTCTGGTATAAGGAGATGGGGAAATTTTGTATTCCCTATAGGAGCTTTTGAAAGAGCCTTGTATTTGTTAATAGTAAAATGACTTTAGTAAGCTGTTTAAAGTAGAGCAAAAACTCCAAGAGCAAAATACATTTTTAAAAAAGAGAGTTGAAAAACAATGGGAAAAAAAATCATTGAAAGTAAGAGTTGGTTTTTTGAAAAGATAAACAAAATCAACAAACCTTTTAAGAAAAGGAAGAAGATACAAATAAATACAGTCAGAAATGAGAAAGACAACCTTACAACAGAGGGCATAGAAATGAAAGGGATCAGAAGGGGCTAGTATGAACAATTATATGCAAACAAGGTGGACAACCTAGAAGAAATGGAAATATCCCAGAAATGTACAACTTACAAAGACCTGAATCAAGAAGAAATACAAAGCCTGAACAGACAAACAACAAATGAAGAAAATGAAAATCAGCAATCAAAAAGCTTTCAACAAAGAAAAGCCCAGGATGGCTTACTGGGAAATCAGATGGCTTACTGGTAAATTCTAGCAGACAGTCAAAGAAGAACAAATGCCAAACCTTAGACTCTTCCAAAAAATAGAAAAGGGAACAAGTACAAATTCATTGTGTGAGGCCAGCATTGTTCTTTTACCAAAGCCGGAAAAAGATAACACAAGAAAAGAAAACTATAGGCCAATGTTCCTGAGGAACATAGATACAGAAATCTCAATAAAATACTAGCAAACTGAATTTCAGAGCATATTAAAAGGATCCGTGAAGACACCACCACCCAGGGGTATTTAGCCCTGGGATGCAAGGGTGGTTCAAAATATGAAGATTCATCAGTGTGATACACTACATTAACAGAATGAAAGACAAAAACCACATGATCATCTCAATAGATACAGAAAAAGTAGTTGACAAAATTCAAGGCCTTTTCATGATAAAAGAAAAAAAAAGACTCTCAACAAAATCGATATAGAAGGAACTTACTACAACACAATAAAGGCCATATATGAAAAAACCCACAACTAAAATCATATTTAATGGGGTAAAATTGAAAGCTTTTTCTCTAAGATCAAGAATAAGGCAAGGATGCCCATTCTCACCACTGCTATTTAACATAGCATGACAAGTTCTAGCCAGAGAAATCAGACAAGAAAAAAAGAAAAGAAAAGGCATCTAAATAACAAAGAAGAAAGTAAAATTATCTCTATTTGCATATAACATAATCTTATATGAAGAAAATCCTAAAGACTACACACACTCACACACACACACACACACACTCTCACACACACAAAAAAAAACTGTTAGGACTGCTGGGCGTGGTGGCTCATGCCTGTAATCCTAGCACTTTGGGAGTCCAAGGCAGGCAGATCACAAGGTCAGGAGATGGAGACCATCCTGCTCAACATGGTGAAACCCCATCTCTACTAAAAATACAAAAATTAGCCGGGCATGGTGGTGCACGCCTGTAATCCCAGCTACTCAGGAGGCTGAAGCAGGAGAATCGCTTGAACCCAGGAGGCAGAGGTTGCAGTGGGCTGAGATTGCACCACTGCACTCCAGCCTGGGTGACAGAGACTCTGTCTCAAAAAAAAAAAAAAACTGTTAGAACTCATAAATAAATTCAGTATATTTGCAGGATACAAAGTCAACACATAAAAATTAATGGCATTTCTATACACCAACAAAGAGCTATCTAGAAGGGAAATTATGAAAACAATCCATTAATATAAGTAACAAAAAGAATAAAATTCTTACAAATTTAACAAAGAAGTAAAAGACTGGTACACTGGAAATTATAAAACATTGATAAAGGAAATCTTTTTTTTTTTTTTTTTTTTTGAGACAGTCTCGCTCTGTCTCCCAGGCTGGAGTGCAGTGGCGCGATCTCGGTTCACTGCAAGCTCTGCCTCCCAGGTTCACGCCATTCTCCTGCCTTAGCCTCCAGAGTAGCTGGGACTACAGGTGCCTGCCACCACACCCGGCTAATTTTTCTGTTTTTAGTAGAGACGGGGTTTCCCTGTGTTAGCCAGGATGGTCTCGATCTCCTGACCTTGTGATCCACCTGCCTCGGCCTCCCAAAGTGCTGGGATTACAGGCATGAACCACTGCGCCCGGCCAGGAAATTTTAAAAGACACAAATAAATGGAAAAACATCCCATGTTCATGGATTGAAAAAATGAATATTGCCAAAATATCCATTCTACTCAAAGAAGTCTACAGATTCAATGCAATCCCTATCAAAATTCCATGAGCTTTTTTTTTAAAGAAATAGAGAAAACAATCCTAAAATTATATAAAACCACAGAAGATTCTGAATAGCCAAAGCAATCTTGAGCAAAAAGAACTAAGCTGGAAGCATCACACTTCCTGACTTCAAATTATATTACAAAGCTAAAGTAATCAAAACAGTACGGTACTGACATAAAAACAGACTATAGACCAATGGAATAGAATAAAGGGCCCAGAAATAAATTCACATATTTATAGCCAACTGATTTCTCCAAAGGCATCAGTGGGGAAAGGAAAGTCTTCAATAAATGGTGTTGAAAAAACTGGATATCCACATGTAAAAGAATAACATTGGACCCCTATCTCAGACTATACACAAAAATCAACTCAAAATGGATCAAAGGCTTAAACATAAGACTTGAAACTGTAAAACTCCCAGAAGAAAGCATAGGGGAAAACCTTCTTGACTCTGGTCGTGGCAATGATTTTTTTGGATATGACTCCAAAAGCAAGGACAAGAAAAGCAAAAACAAACAAGTGGGATTATGTAAAACAAAACCTTCTTCACAACAAAGGAAGCAATAAATTAAATAAAAGGGCAACCTATGAAGTGGGAAAAAGAGATTTACAAACCATTTATCAGTAAGCACCTAATATCCACAATACATAGGGAACTCATACAACTCAATACCAAAAATACAAATAAACTGATTAAAAAGTGGGTAAAAACTTAGACACTTCTCAAAAGAAAAAATTCAAATGTCAAACAGGTATATGAAAAGGTGCTCAACACTTAATCATCAGGGAAATACAAATCAAAACCACAATGAGACCATACCTCACACCTGTTACGACGCTTATTATCAAAAAGGCAGATGATAAGTGTTGGCAAGGAGGTGGGAAAAGGCGAACTCTTGTACACTATTGGTGGGAAGGTAAGTTGATATAGCTATTATGGAAAACAGTATAGAAGTTCCTCAAAAAAAACAAAAATACAATTATCATATGATCCAGCAATCCCACCTCTGGGTTTAGGTCCAAAAGAATTGAAATCAGGATCACAAAGAGATATCTGCATTCTCACATTCACTGCAGCATGATTCACAATAGCCAAAATATGGAAACTACCTAATGTCCATCAAGAGATCAATGGATAAAGAAAATGTGGTACATACCTATAATGGAATATTTTTCACCCTTAAAATGGGGAAAGAAATGCTGCCATTTTCCACAGCGTAAGTGGAGCTGGAGGACATTATGCTAAACAAAATTAGCCAGACACAGAAAGAGAAATAATGCACTATCTCACTTATATGTGAAATCTAAAAGAGTCAAACTCATCAAGTCAGAGAGTAGCACGGTGGTCGCTGGGGCTAAGAAGGAGGGGCAAATCAGGTGATATTGGTCAAAGGGCAGAAAGTTTCTGTTATGCAAGATAAATAAATTCTAGAGATCAACTGTACAGCATGGTGACAATAGTTAACAACATTGTACCCACGAAATTTGCCAGGAGGAGAGATTTTAAATTAATCTAATTCCCTCACACATACATACAACACTCACAGATGGTAAATATGTAGAAGTAATACGATGTTAATTAGCTGGGCTCGGTTGTAGTGATCATTTTGCAATGTATACATGCATCAAAGCATCAAATTGTACATTTTAAATATATATAATTTTATATGTCAATGATATCTCAATAAAGCTGTTTAAAAATAAATTTAAAAGACTCCAGAAGCTTTCTTGAGAAACAAAAGATTATCCCTAAAATTCTCTGTGAGTAAAAAGAAGGAGGGATTTTTGGTTGTTCAGAAGGGGAAGTAAGAGGACAGAGGGGGAAATTTTAAAAAAAGAGACAGAGCAAGGGGAAAGGGAGAAGGGGAGGGAGGCGGTGGGACCTCCTGAGTGATGGCCGAGGCTCTGCGCTGTGCAGTGGGGATCCAGGCTGACGAACTTCCTGGACCCTAGGAGTCAGGTCAGCTGGTCCTGTATCCACAATTCTACCGCCTCTCCTCTGACCCAGGGCCCAGGCTGGGGCCAAGGCTCGCACCCTGTCCCTCTCTTCCTGCATCCACTGTTGCTGCCCTCCTCTGTCCACTCTCTGCATGTCCCACAGCAGGATCAGGACCAAGGTGTGGCTTGGGGAAGCTTTTGCCCAAACCCTAAGATGGCTTTCCATTAGCTCCCTCCGAAGTCACTCCAAATAAACTCGAGTAAAAAACAAAACAAACTAAAATAGACTGTTTTCTCTACAAACACACCACGTAGAAGAGTTCCCAGCGCATCTAACTCCCCAACCAGATTGCTGGAGCCTCTCCTCCACAACCATTCTGATCACTCAGAGAGCACTGTGAAAGGAGGATTCCAGATAGGTCCCTCTTGGGTTTTAAAACTCCCCGAGCCTTCCCTTGCATGGGAATAAAATCCAGCTCTGTAAAGAGGCAAGCAAGTTCCCAGGCAGAATAACCCAGACTCCCCCACTTCTTCCCACTGGGCTCTCTTCTGGTTCATGCTGCCCCTCATTTCAGCTGCTTACAACAACCCATCGTTCTCTAGACTTAGGGCCTTCACAGCTGCCAACTACTGCCTAGATTTTTTAAATGTTGAGGGTAAATAACACAAATAAATAAACAAGAAACTGTAAACAGATAAATTCTTATATGAGAGCTCTGCAAGGGACCCCTTTTGTTCATTTATTCATTCAATAAACATTTATTAAGGCTCTACTATGGTCAAGGTACTGGGTGGTGGAGATTTTGCCAAACCAGATGGGGTCCTGTCTACCCACCGAACAGCCACAACACTGGGAGGTCTATGAATGTCATCATCCGGGATGCCATTCTCAAACTAACGTGATAGAATACCAAATATCATCTCCTCTTCAGAGCCTAGCAGGGATCTAGCATATACGAATCGATTGTGATTTGAACCTGATTATAATTTCAGCTACCCAGCTCAGAGTGAGGGCAGACACACTCTGTCTATGCCTGGTGTTCATATGCGTACTCACGCATTTCCAATGCCCTCCAAATAAAACAGGCAACGAATCAGAGTGGCAGCAAAGACTAGCATCAAGGCACACTGGCTCCCAAAAAGCTCTTTTGAGCCTTCCTTATGTTCCCTATAATTGTAAGCATCTTCACCTGCCTCCACAGCTGAAAGAAAGAGAAGAGGGGGCCCTGAGTTGGATAAGACAGAAAAGATTTTGGACATCATGGAAGTGGGACTTCAAGACTCTTCCCTGGGAGATGCTTAGAGCATGAGAAGCAATACCATTCCAGCACCCTGCTCTTAGACAGTGAATTAAGAAAGCTGAATATAACTTCTTTTATTATCACAACTACTGGCCTCTAGCTGAAAGCTCAAAGTATTAGTGACCAAAAAAAAAAAAAAATCCAAACTATTAACAGAACCATACCTTTGTATCCAGTTGTCTAAATCGATGCCTCATTCTGCAAAGAAGTTAATGAAAAAGAAAGTGAACAAGAGAAAAACAGATTGAGAGAGGGCTATTAGGCTCCATTTTGCAGTCTTTTAAATTAAAGTACAGAATACAAGTCATTTTCACTCTTAGCTAAATCAAGAATCAGCTGCATTTACCTTTCTGATTTTCTTCCTAGTACCCTAACAAAGCAGAATTTTATCTCATCACAATTAGAAGTGCAGCACATAAATGCTATTGCTGTTGACAGGGCGGTGGAAAAGGACTTGTAAGTCTGTGTGTCCCTTGCAAAACCTAGATCTCAGAGTCTAGGGATGGAGGAGAGCTTATGACATCATCTCTGTTGTTAGAACGAGCATCCCATGCTTCTTTCAACAGCTGTATTGAACCCAGCAAAGGTATTAGTTGTGCTTATATATACTCATATTTTGTTAGAGTGAAACTTGAGGTGTGTTTTGAACCCTCAGGAAGAGTGACAGCTGTCAGTGAAGAACGTTAACATTTACAATAAGAGCACGCTCTATAGACTTCACAACACATTACTTCTGGGCCACCTACAGACTTAGCTATGACTTATCTATTTCTATAAGATGTTTAATCAACGTATTTCTTAATCACATGGATTTTATAACAGCTTCATGCGATTCATAAATGAATTCAGGATTTTTCATGGACAGCCTGTAACAGATCAACAAAATGGTTTTTCTATCTTCTAATATCTGTACTTCTTCACCACAAAGATAAATAGGTGTGTGGCACTTGCAAGATAATGCCAATGGCCCATGACCTGTGAGTCTTGCCAGAACCCACCTCTGCGGCCGCAGCAGGGGACCCACCCTCTTGTTACCTAGTTCCATGGCCCTGCACTGCAGGCTCCAAATACCTCTCTCTCTCCCAGGGCCTTGAAGGGCAATTGGGATAGTAGGTGGGTGTTTTTTCTCCTTCTCCAAAGGCTGGCACACACTTACGCGTTTGTCATCTTCAATTGCCCGGGTAATATCTTTGTGGTGGTATTATTCTCTGTTGAAAATGCTCTTTACTGAGTTTGCTCAAATAAGCTGCCTACGTTCTATGGGCTTATGTCTACAGAGGGAGCCTTGCAAAGCAGAAAGGGATGTCTGACATACTCCTCTGAGGTGTCGTTGGCTTTTGTGTTGATCTTGACAAGGTAGTTTTCCTTCATGACACCCTCCCATGCCAGAGTCTCATTGTCTTCATTTTTGAAACCTTGAATAATGAGAAAAAGAAAACATTCAAATTGTTTCATTTGCCCCTTGCTTCCTAAATTAAGATCTTCTAAGGCATTTTGTGAGACTCTAGAACTAAGAATGAGATTCGTCCTGCACAGGCTGGTTTGACTGATGTTACTTCCTAGTGACAGCATCAGAGTGATGGAATAGTAATGGCTTTCTCCTAACAATGAAGAATTGGAGCTGCCTGTGTGAAATAGGAATGCAATCTTTATTCTAAATAATCGATCTAAATCCTATCTGTGTGTTTTGTGACTTCGCAAAATCATTCCACTAATGAATTTAGTTCTCACATTTGATATGTGCTCTTCTTCCATTTTGATGACATAAAAATGCTAAACAATTCAGCTGGATAATTGCTGATGAATTGTGTACTTACTCTCAACCTAAAACTGGGGTAGGAGCTCTGGAGGAGAGGAAAATAAGCCCGAGGCATTGTTTCTGTCCTTCTGAAACATGAGCTGTGGACCTCAAAGAAAATTCACCTAAGATAGGGCATGCCGTAAGATTGTTCTGGGACATATTCCAGTAAGATTTTTAGTTCAATTCCTTATGGTGCCTGAGCCTTTCAGAAGACAGGAAAACAAAAGGACAGATCCACATGTCACCTATATTTCAGGTACGAATGCAATGGACGTCAAACCTCCACACAAATTCACGGGGACAAGAGAGCACATATGCTCACACAGGTGTCCATTTGGAATAAAATTATGTTGTTTTTAACTTTTGAGTTACCATTTAAATGTATTCATCAACATGTTAGAGTTTAGGAATAATTATAAGATTTCTCTGGATTTAAAAAGAATTAATTGGGGGTCAAAGACAGAACCAATATGCACATGGCTGGATTTAAGCAAATTCTGTGTGTGTGTGTGTGTGTGTGTGTGTGTGTGTGTGTGTGTAGATGACGTTTCGCTCTTGTCACCCAGGCTGGAGTGCAGTGGTGCAATCTCGGCTCACTGCAACCTCTGCCTCCCTGCAACCTCAGCCTCCTAGGTTCAAGCGATTCTCCTGCCTCAGCCTCCCAAGCAGCTGGGACTACAAGCGCATACCACCAAACCCAGCTAATTTTTATATTTTTAGTAGAGATGGGGTTTCATCACGTTGGCCAGGCTGGTCTCAAACTCCTGACCTCAAGTGGTTTACCTGCCTCGGCCTCCCAAAGTTCTGGGATTACAGGCTTGAGACACTGTGCCCAGCCTCGATTTAAGCAAATTCCACATAGCAAATATGTATTTATTTTTAAGTGTGGTTATTCACTTTACAAAATAATTCTTAACTAATTTTTTGAATTGTATTTTTCCCAACAAAGAAGTTTCAATGTCTTTTCTTCAAACAAAATCAATGAGAGAGTCCAACAGGAGTGCTTAAAAATCAGCATGGAAAGGGTAGACACTCCTGGACACAGACAGCCAGAGAGCAAGGATGACAAATGACCAAAAAATAAAAATAAAAAATGACCAACCTCTGTAACAGTCAAAGAAATGCTGATTGAAATGATGACATCGCATTTTCACTAACCATGCTGGAAAATTAGCAGTAAAATAATGACTATATCCCATGTTGGCAAGAATGTGGAGAAATAGGTCTCCCATACGAGGGGGCAAATCTGTCAATTGTTACTGCCTTAGGGTAATGGGGGACCAGAAGGTGGAGGAGGGGGGACAGCCAATATACAAAGACTTAAGAGGTGCATACCCTTTATTTAGAAATTTCTCTTTAGAAATAACTCAAAGGAAAAAAGTATTCATGTGCTCAGAAACGAATGCATAGAACTCTTTAACATAGCATTATATGCTAGCAAAAGCATCAAAACAATCTACATGTTTAACAAGGAACTGATTAATTATGGTGCATCCATAGGCTGGAATACTACTCCACGATTGAAGATTGTCATGTAGATTAGATGGTTATTTGTGGATATGGAAAAATTTTGCGATGTATTATTAGTTAAATGAGCAAGTTAGATTATGAATGTGTGTGTGTAGAGCAATCCAATTACTATACACCCACACAAAAATAACAGAATAAACACCAGTGTGTTGACAATATTTACCTCTGGATGGTGGGTTACATGTGCTCTTCATCTTTATTTGTGCTTTTCTATATTTTTCAAATGTCCTATAATGAATATGGATTGCTTTCCGAATCATGCAAAATAATACATTTTATGAAAAAGCAATTACTGTGTAGCATACATTTTTATTACTTGAAGATGTCACCAAAAAAAGTACCAAAAGTGAAACTTTGGATTCCACTGCTCTGAAAGTCATTTGAAAAATCTCGCATTTTTCTCCAAAGAAGAACAATTTCAGAATTAAACCCATGACGTCACCACCATTTGGAGGCAAAGCAAAATACATGTAGGAAACGAATTGCCAGCTAGAGGCCCTGGCAGCCGCCAAGTGCTGCGGTTTCAGGCATTAGTCATCTCCAAGGAGGAGAAGCAAATGAGCAGGCAGTGACCAGGCACCCTGGGGAGTCTGCAGTCAGAAAGTGGGGCTCTTGGCTCTCTCTGTCCCATTACTGCCACACCACCCGAGGGTGGAGAAAGATCCTGTCCTTCTGTTGTCTCCTATTCTCAGTGTTTCTTTGTTTCTTCCGAGAATATAAACTATCTGAAGAGGGATCATGTCAACAGTTAAACACACCATTTCTCTGGTTATTATGAGATCGCCACTCTCCCAGGGGCCCACTTGGGAGACAGGTCCAAATTCACTCTTTCATGTCTGACTTATCTGGTGGCTTCCTTGTGCTGAAGCCCCTTTTCATTTGCTGGCCAAATTGGGGGATTTGTTTCCATTTTATAGTCATATTGTGCTTAATCATTAATTAAGTTTTAGGGGAATGTAATGAATTTCGTCCTGCCTTCTCAACCTCACCCCTAATCTGGAGTACTGATTTGTCCTTATTTAGGCACTGAATTTCCTAATTCCCCTGATCCTGGGACTGAGTACAATGTATCTTTGGAGAATGGACCTTTATCCCATGCAGCCCCTCCTCCCACACATCCTCAACCTGAATCCCACTAGCGATGAGCAGTTCACTACCTCCACAGAACAATTAATCTCATTTCCAGATAGCCCACACTGTTAGACATTGTTCTTTGTACTGAATCAAAATCTTCCTCACTTTTATCCATTGTTTGTTTTCTCCCCTGAATCATTCAGAAAGAAGTATGATGCTTGTAGGTTTTCTGTTACCTGAAGGCACAGAATGGCCCCCTAAGACTTCTCCCAGGTCCTATAGCCACCAGCCGTGACATGGCTTCAAGACAGAACCAATGAGAGTCCTGAGGCATGTCATTAAGTGCTTCTAGTATCTGGGTGCCATGTTTGAGTCAAATTCCAGATCTGAACTTCCAAATCCTCTCCCTGATATAAAGACTTTTTGTGCTTTTAGTCAGAATTGACTCACTTTGTCTTTCAAGGCAAAACGATGGAAAGAAAGACGCAACTTATCCAAATTGTCAAAACACTTTCTTCATTAAGAACAGCAATTACATATGTGTGATCGTTAATGACATCCCCAAAGTGACATTTAACATTTTAAAATAATGCTGTTAAAAGAGTTGACTATGATGATTCTTTAAGGCATGACACGAGTTCGGGGTCGTGAATACATTTATATTCTGAAAGCCAGACTTCAGGGGCTCACAGCTATAGGGAGAGCACAGAAATATGTTATGATCAATATTTAAAGTAATATTTATGAGTACTTTGTCTCCTTTTCTAAGTAGTTCAAGAACCCCACAAAAAACGATGCTTCTTGGCAAGTTAAATTTTTCTTAATTGCCACCAATTACCATGTCTAGGTTAGCAAAATTTATATTTTTACTTTCTGAATCTTCAAAATATTTGAGATTACACTAAAGGCACAGGCATAATCAGCCCTCTATGGAACATGAATCCAGTGGTGGCAGTCAGTGACCATTTTATCAAATACCCTTAGGAAAAAAACAGAAGGGAACAGCTGTCCAGCAGCCACTGAAAGACACAACACCTGTGAACAGTAGAATGAGGATTTTAAAAAAAAGCAGAGAGAAGGACCACCTAACCCTATTCCTTTAGTCACATGTACTGGATTCTCCCCTATATTTCCCACTTCCAAATTGCCCTTAACTCCAAATTTCCTATCTAACAGCGACTTTTCTTTTTTCAGTAGTGTTCCAGGTGGAGGTGGGGAGGCATCTCACGACCCTCCCCTCCGCCAACATATTCCCCAAATCACAGGAGTGAGCATCAGGATCTGAGAAGCCTAATTCCATGTGGTGATCTGTGGGTCTCCCCACACCAGCCCTGGGAGTATCTTTGCTCATTTCTGCCTTGAGGGAAACAAGTCCAGTCATCAAAGAGGTGTCATGATGTATGTTTCATGGTTCATGTCACCATTTCTTGCACTGTAGTGTCTCCTGTCTACAGTTTTTCCTTCCTCTGGGATTCACTGTGACTTGGTGGGCTGAGGGCAGGGGAAAGGGGACCGTATGGAGCTAAAATGTGACTGTAGGATACAGTCCAAGCCTTACTCTCGTCTCCTGCAACCCTCAGTCCTGAGGTCTTCTCTCCCCTGTCCTCCTACCTCTCTTAACTCCCTCCTCCCTCTGCCCACTCCTCGCTCTGTGGCGCCATTTCAGCCTCTGCCTCTTTGCTTGGCTAATTCCAATTCATCTTCTGGGTCTCAGCTTGAATATTCCCTTCCTCCATAAATCTTCCCTGATGCACTCTAGTCAAGGGTTTAAATGTCCTCTCTGTGGCCATCACAACCCCCTGCACATTCCCTAAAATTAGTGTTTCCCACACTTTTTAATTAAGGCTTTTCCATTTTCATTCTCTGCTCCCCACTCCCCCAGATGATGAGCCCTGCTCGAGGGCACAGATAGCTTCTAGCTTATTTAGCACCAAATCCCCAGGGCCCACTATCATGTGGTAGGCTCTTGGCACATATTTGTTGAATCAGCTCTCCCAGTCCCCCTCACTCACTGCATCGCAGGCTCTCCGCGAAATTATCTACGTCACCTCTGGTCCAGCTCCCACCAAGTGATGGCCTCCAGGCCCAGCCCATGTGCCTTTGTTCATGGCTGCAGCCCCAGAACTGAGACTTCATGTTTGTGCAGGACTGACCCCCTCCTGCAAGAGGACTGCTTTTACACTATTTATTTTTATAGGTGCTAAGGGGGGGTGCTCCTTTTCATGCTGTGCTTTTCTTGCCTATGCACAATTTCCACCCATCCTTGTGCTCACTCAATTTTCCAATTTAGATCTGTGGGTAGTGTGGTGTGCGTTTTACAGAACTCTGCCAAAGTGGACTGTGGCAGGAAATGAGGTTGGTAGACTCTTGCTTCTGAAATTTATCAGAACTCAATGATGTTCCTTTCTAACTTTTGTTCCCCTACTTAGACATTTTATGAGCACTTTTTTCATTGGTTTCTGGGGGCCGTCCGGAATATAAGTGATGATAGGGTTTAGGACACAGTACCTCAAAATATGGCACCACGGCATATTGAATATTTTAAACTGAAAGAATTGAAGAAAAACCACACAATCAGGAAGGTCTCTCTGATCTGACTTTTCCTGCCCCTCTCCCCAGAAGCAGGTCATATCACCTAGGAAGGATTTTCTGACCTTCCCCTACAGCAGGTCATAGGACCCTCATGTGAGAGGCACACTCCTTATACCTAGGGGAAAACAGTGTCCTCATCTCCAAAGACACAGGGATGCAGAGAGAAATGTGAATGCATAGGCCTTGCTAGGTTTCCCAGTTTATTACCATGGGATCATACTCTGTTTGCCCTATCCTATTTCTCCACAACCTTCCACTCTTCATTAAACCTACTATTAAAAATGTTCAAGTTTGGCTGAGAACAGTAGCTAACGCCTATAATCCGGGAACTTTAGGAGGCTGAGGTGGGCGGATCACTTGAAGCCAGGAGTTCGAGACCATTCTGGCCAACATGGCGAAACCTGTCCCTACTAAAAATACAAAAACCAGCCTGGCGTGGTGGTGCACGCCTGTAATCCCAGCTACTCGGGATCCTGAGGCAGGGGAATTGCTTGAACTCGGGAGGTGGAGGTTTCAGAGAGCCGAGACTGCGCCACTGCACTCCAGCCTGGGGGACAGAGCGAGACACCATTTCCGAAAAAAAAAAAAAGGTTGTTTCTTTGGATCTTCCTTTCCTTATGAAGGCTCCTATGTCACATAAAACTTATATTAAATTTCTATGCTTTCCTCTTGTTACTCTGTCTTTTGTTGTAGGGATCTCAGCCATGAGCCTAAGACAGGTAGAGGAAAAGATATTTTTCCTCCCTGACTGTAACAAGATAACTGAATAATTTATAAATATCAAGGAAGCCTTTTCAATGCCAAATTGCCAAAGGTCATTTTCTAGAGCCAAGTTCATGCATTTTTAAAACATCCACACAGGGCCAGGGCGCAGTGGCTCATGCCTGTAATCCCAGCACTTTGGGAGGCCAAGGCAGGCAGATCACAAAGTCAGGAGTTCAAGACGAGCCTGGCCAACATAGTGAAACCCCATCTCTACTAAAAATACAAAAATTAGCCAGGTGTGGTGGCGGGTGCCTGTAGTCCCAGCTACTTGGGAGGCTGAGGCAGGAGAATCACTTGAACCCAGGAGGCGGAGGTTGCAGTGAGCCGAGATCATGCCACTGCACTCCAGCCTGGGCAACACAGAGAGACTCTGTCTCAAAAATAAATAAATAAATAAATAAATAAATAAATAAATAAATCATCCACATTGATCACAGATGCTGCTCAGAAAGAATGTGCTCAGGAAAGGTTTTTTCCAAGGATGGAAAACATACACGATCTTCAAATTACTTGTGAAAATATATCAATTTTGGAACAGTAGTAACAGAAAATCAGCTAAGTGCAGAGTATGCTAAAGAGGCTCTTTCTTAAAGATCTGCTGCAACTGCCTGGGCATGGTGAGGATCAGGAAAGTCTCCCCGGGTTCAGCCCGTATACTCAGCATTTTCCAGGGGTGAATGCAGCTGCAGATGTCAGGGCATAGAAAATTGTGTTCTAAATTGTTCGAGGCATCAAAGATAACGTGGGACTGCTCGAACTATCCAAGTCTAGTATGGTAGGTGAGTTAATGAGAGGTAAGCCCCCATGCACCTTGCTCCAAGGGCGCCACGCATTTCTGCTGTGAATTTGGGAGTAGGACGGGCAGTGAGAAGCTCCCCTTCTTTTGATAAACCAGCATTGGGTGGGGGAGGCATTCTCAGAGGACCGGCGCATTCAGCTCAGTGATGCCTAGAGTGGTAGGTGGCCAAACAGGGCCACGATGGCCAAACAGGGCCACGGATTCTTCCACCCACCGGGCAGGCTGTCCTTCCCACCCAGAAGCAGAGTCACATTCTCTACCCGTTCTGTCTGGGTGGGCCTGTGACTTGCTTGGACCAATAGAACGCAGCAGAAGTGACGTCATCTGACTTTCTGAGCCACAGCCTCAGGGGCCTTGCAGTACCTGCTTTTTGCAGGAACCCAGCTGCTATGTGTGGTGACACTGAGACTCCCTGCTGCTGGCCAGCCGGCACTGCATGTGAGAATGCGTGTGGATGTCCAGACCAGCCAGCCTGGGGTCCAGCTTCCAATCACTGGATGCTTCAAGGAACAGAGGCAGCCAGCCCAGCCCAGCTCTGCCCTGCCCTGCCCTGCCCTGCCCCAGGAGGGACCCACAGAATCATGGGCAAATAAATGCTTTCAGGAAACCAAGTTTCGGGGTGACTTGTTACATAATTATATATAACTGATCCACTTAGAGACGTAAAATGACCCTCCTTTATTTTTTTCACAAGAAGGAAACTGAAAATGAAAATCCTGAAGGTACCAAAGCGTGGTCCAACCCGAGTCATTAACTCTACATCCCTTGTCAGCACACAGGGCTGTTAAGACTAGAAGGGTGATCAGCAGTCCCTGAAACCAAGGAGGTTCCCAGAAGGCAAAAATGCCCATGTTACAATTGGGATAGTCCTGGGCAAATGGGCACAAGCTGCTCACTCTAACTGAATGGGTAGAATCTGCTCACCTTAACAGGATGGGCACAAGCTGGCACCCTAACTGGATGGGCACAAGCTGGCACTCTAACTGGATGGGCACAGGCGGCTCACCCTAACTGGATGGGCACAGGCTGCTCACCCTAACTGGATGGGCACAGGCGGCTCACCCTAACTGGATGGGCACAAGCGGCTCACTCTAACTGGATGGGCACAAGCTGGCACCCTAACTGGATGGGCACAAGCAGCTCACCCTAACTAGCTGGGTACAATCTGCTCACCCTAACTGGTTGGGCGCAGGCTGCTGGCACCCTAACTGGTTGGGCGCAGGCTGCTCACCCTAACTGGATTCCCAGGATGCAGGACTCTCAGTACTAAGATGGGGAAGTCCTGGGCAAACTACAACGAGATGGTCACCCTAGGCCCTAGGCACATTTGCCATTCTGAGTCCCTTCCTTCAGAAAAAATATATTAAAAATATTGTATGACTTAGTTGGTGTAAAACAAATACATTAATATATATGAGAACACTTTCTTTAATCTAAAAGCTCATTTTTTTCTTCTGGTTTTGAAAGAAAATGTAAAGATGTTCAGGAGCCCCTGAGGTCCTGTGGGCCCTGGCACTGTGCCTGATGGAGGAGTTGGCCCCACAGCTACATCCCCATCCCAGAGATGGATCTTTGGCTTAGGTCTGAGGTTAAGGGATGAGGAAAAAGGCCAGGGGTGCCCTTTCTATCTTTTCTTTTGTGTCCAAACCTCCAAACAAATAAAAACAGGCCCCTTCCTCCCTGCATGCTTAATCTGGTTGAGGCATAACTGGGGGCTAGGAAGATTGTCTGGCTTAGTGGCTCTGGGAGAAACTCAAGCCTGATGTGGTTTCCTACAGGGCCAGGAAGAGAGCTGGATGCTGGCTCCCTGCATTCAAAGGACATGTGGCTGACAGCTGCTACCACTTCAGGGGTAGGGAGTGGTGGCTGGGTGGGGAGCAGCCTGCACCCCAGTTTGTAAGGGCTAGGTGACCACATGAGAGAGAGAATGATCCACAGTCTGATGTGTGGATGCGTTGGGTTGATGGCTGCCTTCCTGAAGACATTAGTGTGTGGAGTGTGTGGTGGACCCCTGGAAACCAGAGGCTGGGGTAGGGGGGAGCCACCAGAGAAATCATGGCCAAGTCTTAGGAGTTGGGGTCAGAGGTGACAGCCAGGGACTCTCTGAAGGACCCCCTGAGTGCCCACACAATCAAGGATCAGTTTCAAACATCTGCCAGGCCAGAGGGCACGAAGCAGCCCAGAACAGCATCACTAAGAAAAGGCTTTCAGCTCCCCTTCCCATCCTGTCCCTCTGTGCTCCAGCTGTGGAGGGTCAGTCCCCACAGCTGGTGAATGGGAGCAAAGAGAGGGAACAGCCCACTGCCGACCCTCCCTGACGGCTCCATCAGCTGGGAATGGGGCAGGGAGGAGGAGTCTCACCTCTGAATAGCAATTAATAGGCTGGCTAATATATTGAACTGCACGTTCCTATTTCTTTCTTTCTTTTTTTTTGAGACGGAGTCTCACTCTGTCGCCCAGGCTGGAGTGCAGTGGTGAGATCTCGGCTCACTGCATCCTCCACCTCCTGGGTTCAAGCAATTCTCCTGCCTCAGCCTCCCGAGTAGCTGGGACTACAGGACTACAGGCACACACCACCACACCCGGCTAATTTTTTTGTATTTTAGTAGAGATGGGGTTTCACCGTGTTGCCCAGGCTGGTCACAAACTCCTGAGCTCAGGCAATCCGCCCGCCTAGGCCTCCCAAAGTGTTGGGATTACAGGCGTGAGCCACCACGCCTGGCCACACATTCCTATTTCTAAACTGAGATGATGTTTTCTCAAATATGACAATTGTTAAGATTTTCTATTCTCCTAAGAAGAGTCACAAACCGTGCTGGAGTCAGATTTAAAGGTTCCTAGAGAATAAATTTCACGGGAACAATGAAAAGCAAAAACAAAGTCATGATTGGACACTATCCCATGAATTCTGCCCGTTCAACATACTATTTACATTATTATTACACGATCTGTCCAAAAGTCATTCATTCCCCACAGAGCAGGCTATCCCGGCAGATCTACAGTGCTTTCTTCAGCTACATTTCTCTAGAGTAATTCATTGGTTGGCCTGAGGCCTGATCTTTACAGATGTACAGATGTGAACAGTGAAAGATCTGTGAATAATTCCTTCCTGTTGAGATACACACCAGGCATCCTTCCCTGAAATTAATCGCTGCTTCTGATCCCAAGTACACATGGATAAACCACTCACAGCAGACAGAAGACTCCATGTTTTTCTCCTTGCAGCAACACTTGAAGCACTTCTTCACCACCATGTAGAAGTAAGCGAAGACGATGAAGGGGAAGGGGATATTGAGGCGGCTGCAGTACTCCTGCACCAGGAAGTACCTCTGGAACTTCCAGACCTGGTCATTGTTCTCCTGGACGGTGCCCACCGTGTAGCTGGTGAGGGAAGAGAGAAGGCCAAGACTTAGCATTGCGCATGCCTCATCGCTAAACTGCCTAGTATGGTAATAGTGGTATTAAGCTATTACTGCAATAGCTTAAGTACAGACAGGAGAGAAGAATCCAGAGTGATACACGAGCCAAAATAACTCAGCAGGAAGTGAAAGTGACCTTCAATTCATGCTGGGTCAAAAGTGTGTCTGGCTTTTGGTGGTTTTTTTTTTTTTTTAATCACAAAAAAATGCTCAACAAACTTTAAAATTATTTTATTTCAAGATCTTTCAATGATTCTCTTTTTTTATTCATTTCTTATGATGTTAGATACAAAGTGGTCCAAGATGTCAACACCCTTGGGACTAGCATGGTGGCCCTCATCCATGTCTAAGTGTAAACAGCCTGAGAAGAAAACAGCTTGTTAGTGTTTATCAAGAGCCTTAAAAATGTTCATCCCTTTGACCCAATGACTTTACTTCTGGGAATCTACCCTAAGAATAAGGAAATACTAAGAAAAAATATATATGTAAATGAATATATATGCATGACTGTTGGCCACCAGCACCATATGTAACAGCTGCCCCCACCCCCTACTCAAAGAGAAAGAAAGAAACTAAATGTTCATCACTAAGAAAATGTGTCACACATTACGATTAATCAATATGATTACATTATGCAGCCATTAAAGTTATGAATAATTGTTTTATTATGGGGAAATGCTTATCATATATGTTAAGTGAAAATAATTAGGCTCAAACTTGTACTTACAATACGGTTTTGTTATGCAGATCTCAATTCACAAAGAGAAATAGATCAACCACAAATGGCAGTCACCTTGGGCATCATGTTTTGAGTGCTGTTTAGTCTCTTTTCCATTTGCTTTCCAGCATGAGGCAATGAGTATGAATTACTTCCATAATGATTAAAATGTTCATTTTGTGTCTTACTCCAAAACTGATAATGCCAAGGATTTCTCTGTTACAAATTAAACCAAAACTATAAAATAGCTAACACTTATTATAAACCAGACACTGTTCCAGCAGTCTGCTTAAATTAACTGGCTTAATCTACAAACAACTCTCTGATGTATGTCTATTATCTATGATGTCTATTATCATCTACAATGAACAGATCAGGAAATGGAGGCACAACAAAGGTAAGTGAATTGTCTGAGTCCTCCAGTTAGGAAGTGTTGAATTCGGGATTTGGACCCCGCAATCCAGCCCCACGTCTATTTGTTTCGCTGCTACATGATACCACCTCACAGAGGGGAGCAGGAAATGTTTTAAGCAATGCTCTATTTCAAAAAATGGGTTTGAGATATGCTTCATTTCAAAAGGATTTTACTGGGCCACTTGCTAGCTTAGCATTTTAGATAACTACAAAGCATATTACAATTTGCAAAGTTCAACCATCCAAGACATTTTTATTGCTAATATCAAATCATCCCTTCAAGAGCCAAAGAGGTGCAATGAACTGTTTGAAGGCAAATCCTGATGGGGGAAGCATTAAATTATCCAAATTCTGGGGAACATCCTCAATAAAGTCAGGCAGAAAAATCGATTACATATGTTACGAGACCTCATTCTTGCACCTTAGTACATTACATTAGACTTAAATATCTTAAGCAAAAAAAAATGTCGGATACCTACGCAAAACACTGACCAACACAGACAATGGTTATTGGCTTTGCTTAAAGTTTAGCTTTGTTTATCTTGGTGTTTAATGACGAATGGAACACCTCTGCAATCTACACTAGGGCCTGGATCCCGTGTAAGGCAGACTTGTAGCAGGTGCCTCTTGAACAGGGTGAGATCCTTAAAAGAAAAGGATTTCTGTTTATTAAACATCTCCTCCATGTAAGCTCCTATGCTATGCCTGTAAATTGGTTGGTTGACTGATCCTCACATCAACCCTGAGTGGTAGATTACTTAGGTGAAAAACAGCCAGGACTGGGATGTATTATAGTGCAGCCAGTCAAATCTAGCAGCCAGCCTGGCGTTTCTTCCAAATGTAGGTCAGGCTGCTTTGAGGCTAATAGCAAGCATCATCATCCACCCTTTCTAGTCCACAGCTGGTTCTGTTGCCTACAAAATGCACTGCATGTTTCTGCGGCTGCAACGAGACACGTGTGCATGCAGCAGCCCCCGATTAGGGAAGTTCAGGCTAAGAACTTGCCAGAAATCAGTTTACTACTTGGGCCAGAACAACTATTACCATTCAAATTATTGTCCCTAGAAGTAACTTGAAATATTCGAGTTTGGGGAATTTAACCTAAAAATAAGAAGAGATGAATGTGAAAATACTTTAAGCAATGTTGTATTTCCAAAAAAGAAATAGATGCTCTATTTCAAAAAAGGAAATAGAAATCTTTGACTATATATCTAGTCAAAAAATGGATTATACTGACTTCCCAAAACTCTAACACCAAAGAAAAAATCAAAACAACTGCATCCATTTTTGTGCATTGATGTTGTTTTCTGAGGTATTATTCCAAAGGAAGCAATAAGTCCTATTGAAAAGAGAAACTTCCAGGATGCTCAGAGCAGGGGAAAGCATTCTCTCTGGCAAGTGGGCCCCCCATCTTCCTCAGAGAGCTCAGAGTGGAAACGCAGCCCACAAGAGTCCAAGTAGGAAGAGATTTATTGCACCATGGCTTAAGTGGCCACTTGGAGTCAGGGAAAAACATGTCTTCTAGATCATCTAAAATAGGGATTGGAAAACTGCAACTTGGGACCAAGCCAAGCCCCCCACCTGTTTTTGTACAGTCCATGAGCTAAGAATGGCTTTTACAAAGCAGGGAGGTGCAGGTGGGTACAGCATCACTGAATACTGCTTCTTTTGACACATCTGACCAATGACCCTAGCTGGCCCTTACAGAGAAAGTCTGTGATCCCTGAGCTACAGTGCACGTAGGCCAGTGCCCATGAATAAGGCTTTGTGTTTGTATCATTCCCTACTTTTAAAGAGCTCTGCCTCATAGGTCACCAATCATTTGTTCCTCAGGACAACTGGGTTGACTGCACGGCCCCTCCTGCTGGAAGAGTAGCTTCCTCTGTACCTCAAGGGCAAAGGTGGATCCAGTGAGCAGCAATGCTTTCCCAGACAAATAGCAAGAACTCTTATGGGCATCCCAGGGGGTGTGAATGAACCAGCTGATAACTGGACATTAATACCCAAAAGCCGTTTTGCATAAATAATGCATATTCAGGATTGGCTAGGCTGAGATTTATTTATACACCGAGGTACAGCTGACCCATATGGCAGCAGCTTCCAAAATGTTCTTTTTCTCTCAAGTCAGTCCAGGACTCAGCCAAATAGACATGAGGGTTCTCCAGAGGGGGGCTCCTAATGGAGCGATGCTTCCACCTGCTTTCCTAAAACAATGTTTATATTCTGTAGACATTGTTTTCAAATTCTGTAAAGGGGAGACTGAACTCTGCAGAAAAGGATTTTCTGGGCCAGCACGTGCACACCCCCTCAGCAAAGCAAGCATTGTAGCAGCTTAGAGACCATCTCTCATGCCCAGGGTCTCACCCGCCCCATCTGAGATGGTTCTTAAAGTCTCCTTGACAACCAGTGGCCATCTGGTGTTGTCCCTGAGAGAATTCTGCAATTTTCCCTTTGTGCATCTCCAGCGATATCTTGTGCCCTTGGCGTCCTGTCCCTGGCAAACACCTAGCTGGCTGGAGACATGCAGTGACAGCTGAGGTCCATCTCCTGAAACCAGCTGAGCAGGAGAGGAGGAGGAAGGAGAGGCCATGCAGAGGGACAGCAGTTCAGAAACTCACTGAGAGTGGAAATGGTACCAAGAGGGAACAGACGTTTAGAATTCAGATCACTTTGTACATAAATGAAGTCCAGAAGTACCTTAAAAGAATAACACACCATGACCATGGAATAGGATGACTAAATATTAAGAACATTTATGTCATTCATCTTTTGTACAATGCATCATAATACTAGATCAAAGGGAAAAATAGCATTTCAATAACTGCTAGAAATCTTCTGGCAACATATAACATCCTTTTCTGATTAGGAAGAGAAAGAGAAAGGAGCTTAATAAACAAAAAAGAGGAGGAACTTTCCATGACATGATAAAAAGAAAAAAAAAGAAAAGTAATTTAGTAAGGAGACTCATTCCAGAATAAATAAGGAAAACTTTAATAACCTTCTTACGTACCAAAACGTAGTCACTGAAAAAACATAATAGAAAAAGTACCTTACTTTTTTCCCCCTACCATAAGTGGCTGGAAACAAATTAACAAGGAATCTGCCAGATCCATATGAAAAAGACCATAAAACTTTACTGGGAAATTATATATGTTTGAATAAATGAAAATCATAGCATTTCTTCTCAATAGTAAGATGCCAAATTCCCTTAAATGATTCTACAAACCTAACATCATCATAATAATATTCACAAGAATTTTTGGGGGAAGGAGAAAGAAGAAAGAATCCACAAGATAAGCCTTAGGCTCCTCTGTACAATTAAATATACAAGAAATGCCAGAAAAGTTTTGAATAAGAATAATGAGGGAAACTTGTACAACAGATGTTAGAACGCCTAAAAGAAAAAAATACTTCAGTAATCAAAGCCATTTGGTAGTAAAAACCAAAATACAAAGACAGATCCACAGAACAGAATGCAAAGTCTGCAAAAAATTCACAAGGAAAAAGTAGATGCTAAAACAATGGCAGAATTTTCAAATACACTGAAATACAAGAAACTTGTCAGCTAATTCCCTATCAGATGGACACCTCCTCCAAACTTTGCGTAGATTTCATGGATTTTCCTTTGTCGCTCCTTCCCCAGCACACAGGCAGTATCTAGCCAGTACTGCCCCATGGCCCGTGGTGACAGTGACTTTTCGCTCTCTCTGATGCGCTGGTGTGTATGTTAAACTGTGTAACACATCCTGGTTCCCCTCTCATTCTGCAACATCAAAAAAGCAGGTACAAAGCCAACAACAGCCAGCAGTAAGAGATGACAAGCGATTGGATCACACTGATTTTGGAATTGATAATTCAGGTTAGTATATTGCTAACAGAATAACCAACTAAGACTGTGCCATATACTTGCACGAAGACCCATGACATTTCTCTTCAACTTCAGGAAAAAGTCCAAATTCTTTAATATACTATAAAAGACTCTCCATAACCTAGCCCCTGCCTACATTTCCACCCTCCCCGGCTGCTGATTCCTCCCTAGACTAACATTATCTCCCCTGCTTCTACCTCTCCTACCAACACTTGGGGCTCTGGGTACATGATCTTTCAAGCAAACATCACCTCCACCTAGCTGCTGCTGCAGATCCTAGGCTCCCCCAGCCAACAATCTCACAATTAATAACTCCCTCCTCTGCAAATAGCCTCTCCATGCTGTTTGTATTACATTATATTATATATATTATATTCATATGTTTCCATGTCATCTCTTCCCTTAATATCAGGGACTTAACCTTTCTCTGCCTCCCACTCCTTACGTGTAAAATGGCAATAAGGCTGCACCTGAGGCAGGTTAGATGAGGTGGTCAGAGCCTCCCTTGACAGGAAACAAGAAACTTGTCAAATTGATGAAGAGAACAAACCACCTAACAGTGCACAGACCGCATCCTGAGCTCGTGGTTAGAACACCCTACAGCAAAAAGGCAGGAGCAGAAGAGAAAAATCCCCACATTTGTACAAGCACAGAAACCCGTGATTAGTGTCCTTGGGCTGACCTGTGCTCATTATAATAGTAAAAAACACACCCCCAGGTGGAGATTTAAAATGCTTATAAGACATGCGATGGATGTACTAGCATGTACAGCCACTGCACATGTGGACCTAAGAAACCACTCCTAACATGCTTAATAGCAACACCCCTTACCACCCCTTCATGAATAATCATGCAAATTTCCCATAAAGGGAGATCCCCCAGTATTAGACAGAGCTGTCTTGCCTTTGAGTGGCCCGTTCTGACCGGCTGCTAGAGTGTACTTTGGCTTTGCAGTCAACTCTCTTGCTTGCTTTTGCTTTTGACTCACTTTCAAATTATTTTCTGTCCCAAAGTCAAGAACCTGAACTAGCCCACCGGCTACACACCTACACAGAAATGAGTAATAATTAAATGAGGCGACCCCTGTAAAGCACTTGAACCTGTGCCCAGCATGGGAAAGCTTCAATAAATATTAGCTATTGTTACTATTACAATTATCTGCGCTCTTCTTTCTATTCTTTTCACCCCAATTCAATAACCTCCCTTAGACTGTTCACACAGCACTCAAACCTTTAGTTTGTATCAGGTCATTATTTTCTTCCTTCTACTTTTCTGCATGTTTATATTACTCCTAAGATCTGAAAAACATTTTTAGAAATTATTCTACAGCAGGACATGTTTGACGAGTCCTTTTCAGAACTGCCTGGGGTGAACTTATCTTCAGGGCACAATGCTTATAAATGCCCTAGCTCCTGGTAAGTCGACCTGGAGTCATTTACTGACTTTAAATTCACTTCCTGCCGCTGATAAGCCACACAGGCCCTGTGATCGATAATTTTAATGTAGAATAATCACAGATGTTCACATCCATTTCCTTTCTCTGTTGAATACCATCTAGAGAGCACTCCAATACTCCTTCAGAATTCCCAAAGGTACATTTGCATTGCAGTTAATAAGGTTGCCATTGTGTATGGTTAAGCTTTTAAATGAGTATTTTGATGTGGTGCCAGGGAAGGGTCACATCCTGGGGCCATCTGCTCACAGAGTAAGCCCTGAACAACTTTAAAAATGATCAGAAACAGTGTTCCAAGGATTTAACCTAAGGATAACAACACGGCGTCTCTCGCTGTTCTGGTGTCCCCAGACAGGTATTAGCCAGGAAAAGGCCTCTGGTTTAAGCCGGAGCTAATCGAGGAGGTTCCCCAAGGACAGGGATGTTGCAAGCTGTCACACTTAAGCACTGACTGGGGCAACAGTAGGATGTGATGCAGTGGCTCTGGCCTCGTGGGGAAGAGACCTGAGTTAAGCCAGATAACGCGCGGCCAGGACCACAGACGCTGAGCTGCTGGGACTTCATCTCCTTCACCTGAAAGTGACAGACGAGGCTCCCATCTTTCTCAGCTCCAAATTCAATCATTTCATTATCAAAATGCAGGTAATGGATTACAAAAGTGCCCGGTTCTCATGAATGGCTCCTTCAGACAGCTCATGTGCATAGATTCAAAAAAGCTCTAAATATTTTACCATGTGCCTCGTTGAGATTTACCAAGTTAGCATAACTCAAAGGCCATGGTTTTAGGAGCTGTTGGTCTTTTTGTTTAATGTCTGTAAATATAGTTAGTGGTGAGTTCTTACAGGACTATCCAGTGTAGCTATGACATCTTATCACTGTAAAGAAAAGCCTGAAGCCATCCCACTTCGCCCTCGCCTTTGCTTCAGGTTTTGGGATTGGTCTGTTTTGCTCCCTCTCTTGTGGAGACATAATCACCCATAACCTGCTGCTTCTCTCTGCAGCTCAGATGTTGGCCCCTCTGACTTTTGGACACTATTTGGACATCATGACATTGGCTGGCTGCCTGTGAGTCAGACAGGCTTCTGGATCCTCAAGTCCCTCCCTGCCACCAGCTAGGTGGTGAGGGAGAGTTTCCCCTTCCCTTCTTAGGGCCATGTGGAACTAGCAGCCACATAATCTTCATGGCCCAGGCACCTGGCACAGAGCAGATGTTAAACCTTTACATGATGATTCTCTTGCTGATTTGTTACTCACCATTGGTGCTTCTCAGTATATAATACACCAGGAAGCTAAGCTCCTAATAACTAAATAATGAACTAAACATGGGTAAGAACCCATTTTTTTCATTCATTGAATAAACCCACAAAGTGACAGGTGCTGAGATGGCGGGCACAATCTTCACCCTCCAGAGTTCGCCATTCTCAAGGAGAGAAGGTTGTTACCATGCAAGTAAAAGAGTGCCATAGGGGCTCAAAGAGTCTCTGTGTGAAGTGGGGAGGCCATCAGGTACCACCCTGGCAAAAGATGATTCCTGGCTCTGTAAAGGGCAAGCAGAAACTGGGCAGGAAGAGAAGTTCGGGATGGAACAGGCAATCCAGACAGAGGACAAGTATGTGCAAAGCATCAGGCATAGCAGTTCACCCTGTTTAAAGAGGAGCATATGGGAGGCCTGCCGGGGGACAGAGAGCAGGGGATGAGCATGGTGGGGAAGCTGAGAAGACTGAAATTTATCCTGAATGCTGTAGGGAAATATTGAAATCCTTCCAGAATTTTAAGCAGAACAATGACTGTGTTAGTCCATTTTCACACTGATGATAAAGACATACCCAAAACTGGGCAATTTACAGAAAAAAAAAAAAAAAGAGGTTTAATGGACTCACAGTTCCACGTGGCTGGGGAGGCCTCACAATCATGATGGAAGGCAAGGAGGAGCAAGTCACGTCTTACGTGGATGGCAGCAGGCAAACAGAATGAGAGCCAAGTAAAAGGGGTTTCCCCTTATAAAACCATCAAATCTCGTGAGACATATTCACTACCATGAGAACAGTATGGGGGAAACCGCTCCCATGATTCGATTATCTCCCACTGGGTCCCTCCCACAACTTGAGGGAATTATGGGAGCTACCATTCAAGATGAGATTTGGGTGGGGACACAGCCAAACTACATCGGTGATGTTTTAGAAACATCACTTTTGGTCACAGTGTAAAGAAGACTGGAGTGGACTGGAGAAGGACATCTCTGGACACTGGGAGACCAGATGGCCACACACTGCTCAGCCCCTTTGCTATGTGATGTCCCCAGAGGTATGTGCTTCCACACAGCCCTGCTCAGGGGGAGGCCACTGGACAAATGAGGCAGGTGACCCTCATCTGTAGTCCTTGAGCATCTTGGAATCTCAGGGCTCTATTTGACAATTGTCTTTTCCTTATATTCTTTTCTAAATTATGAATGTAATGTGTGATCATTGTAACCAGAGAAGTATATATTTGATTTTTAAAGTCCATGTTTTTATTTTTAGAAAACAATATTATGCCATAAAATTAATTTGCAATTTGTTTTTTATATTTAAAAAATACCATTCTTTCAAGTTAACAGATATAGATCAAACTTTGTCTTTTAAGAGCGGCATAATATTCCACAGTGTGGATACAGCACACTTTCTTTAGCCTCTCCCTAGTGATAGACATCAAATAGTGATCTAATAAACATCTTTGTACATACACCTTTAGGATAGATTCCCAGATGTGAGAGAGTTCCGACAGAGGTTTGCATGTTTTTCCTTTAATAACTATTTTTGAAGTACTTTCCTAAGAATGGGAAGTGAGTCAGGTTCCCAGTAGCAATGTCCATTTCCCAGCATCATCCCAACACCAGAGACTCCCTTTAACTTTCGTTCATCTGCTGGGTTTAAAACAGCGTTTCATTGTTTCCACCTGAACTTTCCTATCCACAAGATTAAGTCCTTTTTTATGTGCTTATTGGCCATTGGACTTTTCTTTCTCTGAATTATTTATTTTCTCTGACAAGTTTTCTATGAGTTGTCTTTCTCTTATAAATTCACAGGAGCTCTTTCTATATTAGGAGATAAAAGCCTTTGTTCATTATATGCATTGCAAACATTTTCCCTAATTTATCAATTATATAAAACTGTTTTATATAATCAAATATGTTTATCTTCTCATTCAGAGTTTCTAGGTTTCTGGTTTTGAATAAAGAGTTCCCTTCCACCCAAAGGTTTAACAGATAATGTATTAAATGTGCATATGTGTTGGTTAATTTTCTTTCTGACCATGATGGGATTTGTGCACTTAAAATGCTGATATACCTTGAAGGAACAATATAAAACCAAGGCTCTCCCACTGAAACTACCACTGGGGCTCTTTGAAACCCTCCTAAGAAAGATGGAGAGGAAATGAAAAACATCATTTTCTAAATATATAAAGGAGAATTACCAATATTATTCCCTCCAACCTCATCAGGCATGAGCCCTAAAGGAGAGTCACTCTCCAGTCTCTGCTCTTTGTATTCTGATTTAAACTGAAAAATTTAAAACAGTAATTAACTAAAGTCTGAGTCCTGTAATCCTAGAATCCATACCACTGAGCCCCATAACATATAAGGCACTTTGGAGATGAGTTAAACTACATTTCCGTCACCAATGGGTGATATTGGTACCAACCTCATGGAGCTCCAAAGAGCTTGCTAAATGGATGCCAAATATGCAGTCTGGATTTGATGAAGATTGTCACAGGTGCTTGTCTTCAGTGTCAAATAAACTCAAGGCACAGCTTATATTTTTAATATGGTCCCTTTAAAAAGGCCCCACTCCCTCCAGTCCACCAATCCCCCAAAAGATCTCTAAAGTATGTTCCTCAAGGGTGGGACCTTTGCGATGCTCCCAGCACCTCCAGCCTGGCATGGGGCTTGGCCCAGGGTGGACATCAGTGAACATGTGACTGAACACATACCCAAACATGGCGACCAGCAGGTTGACCAGCAGGATGTTGGTGGATAACATGTAGATGCACACCAGGGGGATGGTGATCCACTCGGGGAACCGGGGCAGGTTGTGCTCATCCAGCTCCACACACAGTGGCTTGGACTCATTCCCAGTGAAGGTGCAGTGGGCAAAGTCATACGTGGTACCTGAGGATGTAGAAACCAACAGGCAAAGTGAGGACCCTCTGGAGGGGTGAGAGCGATGGCATTCCCAGGGCCACAAGAACATGTCAGTGGTCATGAAATGTCTTAGGCCTTCGTCTAAGGCACTTTGTCCAAACAAGTCATAGTCCTTAGAATCACCTGTTCATCCACTCAATGCATATTTACTGAGCAGCTACTAAGAACAAGGGGCTTTGTTAAGATCAAGATAAAAGGAAGGGCCAAGTGAACATGTTCTTTGCCCTCAAGAACGTTCCAGCCTCTTTGGATAGGCAGATAATCAACCACACACATTTAAAGTCTCAGTCCATGTAAAGTGCTAAGAAGGACACGCACAGTGCTCTGAGAAGCATAAACTGAGACAACTCATCCAGGAGCAGCTTCCCAAGAAGGAAGGGTCTCAGAACTGAGAGCAGAGGCTGAGCAGCAGGAACATGAACTAATGGGGAGGTTGGGAGCCTAGAGCACCCCACAGAGGCAACAGCATGGGCAAAGGCCCCGTGGTGGGGGTTGTAAACATCAGTGGAAATGGGAGAATAAGATGTGCACGGAGCAGACATATTAATTTTTTACATCTTTTTTTTTTTTTCAGACAGAATCTCACTCTGATGCCGAGGCTGGAGTGCAGTGGCACTATCTCGGCTCACTGCAACCTCTACCTCCCAGGTTCAAGTGATTCTCCTGCCTCAGCCTCCCGAGTAGCTGGGACTATAGGCGCATGCCACCATGCCCAGCTAATTTTTGTATTTTTAGTAGAGACAGGGTTTCACCATGTTGACCAGGCTGGTCTTGAACTCTTGTCCTTAGGTGATCCGTCTGCCTCGGCCTCCCAAAGTGCTGGGATTACAGGCATAAGCCACCATCCCCGGCCTATTTTTAAAATCTTTACACTGAAGTGATGGGAAGCCACAAGGCTGTTTTAAGCAGAGGAATGACACATCAGATTCCCTTTTCCAAAGAATCGCTCTGGCAGAAGCACAGATCAGAAGGGGCTCGAGGGGAAGGAAGGTGAGGAGGTTGTGCCTAAGACTCAGGCAGGCAAGCGACGAGGATGGCTCACGGGGCGGCAGTGGTGATGGAAAAAACAGATTTCAAAAAAACATTTAGGAGATAAAAATCAACAAAACTAGTGGATGAATTGAATAGAGGGGAATGAAATCTGAGAAGGTGTTAAGGACAACAATGAGGCTTCTGACAGCTCTGTTCACACAACTGTGTGGACGGTGGCAGCAGACCTTCACAGGAGGGCATCGGGGGAAGTTTGGGTCTGGAAGTGGGCATCAAGACCCTTTTATTAGGATGTGCCAAGGTGCGTCTGAGAAATCTCAGAGGAGGGGGCAGTGGGTACAAACGTCTGGCCTCTGAGAGCTGCTCCGTGCCAGAGATCCTCATCTGAGCATGTGTGGGGTCACACCGGCCAGTGAGAGGCCCTGTAGAGAAGATGGTGCTTTACCAGTTGTGCCCATGAAACAGAGACAGCAAAATGGAGTCACTTCCCGGGGGCACACAGCACATGAGTGGCTACCCTGGATCTGAACCCCGCCTGCCAATTCCTCTTTAGATCCTCATGGAGCTAAAATGACGGACGTGGAGGGTTGTTATGAGGATGAAATGCGTCTGCTTCTGTAAAGCGGCAGGCACAGTGTGCAGACTGGGAGTGACAACACCAAGGTGCCTTTCCACCACTGCAGGGGAAAAGAGCTGTTTCTAAGGTCTTGGAAGAGGCTTTAGCAGATGGGGCCAGAGAGACTTACAAGGCCAGGAGGATAACAGAGAAAACAACAGGAACAAAGAACTGTGACCAGGAGGAGCAGGCTCTGGCTCAGGGAAACCATCAGGATGGTTTTATCGTGGTAGGGTAGGAAATGACAAGCCAAGGCTATTGTCAGCATCCTAAAGATGCTTCAGCCCGTCCATCCAAAACACACAATTTACATAGCCCCTCACTTTCCTTCTGTAAATCGGGTGTGGGCAAATTAAAACCATCTGTGCCACCATCAGCCTGCCTCCAAAAACCAGTTGGCAGTGGGCTAACGCACGCCAGAAGTCTAAATTCCAGGTTCCAATGTGGATTTTCCAATGTTGCTCTTTTTGAAAGAAATGGGAGCCCAGCCACTCTGTTACATCGATGAGTACAACTCACAACCCTGGTTTCTAAACTAGTAAGTCTTGTTGCCTTCAATTGCCACATTGTTAATTGAAAATACCAGAATCACTATTTTTAAAAAGGTTTAAAAATTGAAATGTTGGGCACCATCTGCAAGGCTGATGTAAAATCTTGCTTAAGAGCAAAGAAGAGGTTTTGAGGAGTGAGTTTTTACTCTGTTATGTTGGACTCCGTTTCACGCGCGTGCTTCTGAAGTGCGGTCTCCGGGGCAGCCCTGGGGGTTGGTTCAGGGAGCAAATGCCTCCTCCAAGCTGTTTCCATCTGAGCCAAGTCAGGCTTACCATCCACGTCACTGGGCACCTGGCCGAACATGGCCAGGTAGGGCTCGTAGATGACCGAACGGAATATCCACCTCCAGCGCTGCTCATTCTGCCTAAGGATCCCTTGCCTGGCCACGCCAAAGGCCACCATCCACACCGCAAAGAGGAACAGGAAGAAGAACACATCGATCAGCTGTCAGGGGAGGACAGGAGAGCGGAGTCAGGACCGTGCCCACAGTTGGCAAGTCCCCCCGGCCCGGCCGTCCTCAGTGGACCATGGAGAAGAGCAGCGGTTCCAGGGCTCAGAGCATCTAAGTCACCCAGAGTTCACTGACTAATTGACAAAAGCGGTCATCATCATCTTTGGATCTTAAGACATCTATCTTCCAGAGTTAAAACCGGTTTGATGCATTTTTGCTTGCTGATGTCCAAACCAGCCCAGCAACAGCAGCTTTCTGAGTGGGAGCCCAGCTCTAGAGCAAAGGAGGAATCTAAGTTTTGGAGGACCTCTCTGTCCCTGTACCTCATGATTTTGATACACTTTTAACCCCAAAATTATTTTTGTAGTTTGTTGGTTTATTTGCTTGTTTGGAAAACAAAAGCTATCCTTATTAGACAAGAATGGACCGTTTAATTTTTTTTTAATTTTGTGCACACATAGCATGACTTCATGATGACTGGATGTCCCAGAAATGCTTTGAATTAAAACCACAAACTCAAAGAACCTCAGTGTTGGAATGGAGCTTCCAGATGAGCTCATCTCAATGCTCGTCTGATTTAAAGACAGAAACAGGGGAGGTTTGGGTCATCTGGAAAACAAGTTTAGGAAAGCAACACCATCCATGTGTAATTCTTTCTATTGCGTGTATATAACGAGACTGCTATAGCCTTTCCCTGTATCTATATTACACAGTTACATGATTCAGGTTCCAATCCTCACTATGCGTCTAGCTCACTGCTTGTCTCTAGACAAACACTCCTCCTTGGACTCAACTGTCCCCAGGTATCAAATTGGCATAAAAGTCCCTCCCCTGCCTACACTCTTAGCAAACTGTCAAGACTCAAATGAAAGTAACTTGTGAAGTATAAAATCTAAGTAAGTATGAGGTTATTTGTTAACAATGCACTAAATGACACTGTTTGCCCTCACAACCATCTTTCATTAAATTTTAACCTGGGAGAGGCCCCTGATGAAATACATCAAAGAAAGCGAATGTTACTGATGGTGAAATGCAACAGTCGTTCTAAGGACAAAATCCTCCTATCGACCATTAAAAGAACTCTGGGCCCCGCAAGAAAAATGATGACTACAAATATTCTTGACTCTTACCATCCTCTGCAGCATTATAATCTTGGGTCCTAAGTTTCTGCTTACAGTAAAAATGTGGATCAATCTTAGAGTGAAAATAATGTAGTCCAGACAGAAAATGACTCGTCCAGAATACAAAGAGCTTTTATTAGAAGAGTGGAGCCTAGGGGGAAAAGAAGGAACAGAATTCATGAGATATTGACAAAACATTCCAAAGTTTTGTTTCTAAAAATAACCCAATTTCAAGAAACAGGCAAGAGCTGGAAGGTTGAGTGAGTGAAAATAGGCCAGAAACACCACCCAGCAGAGGCCATGATCTTCCGCTTTCATGGCCTCAAGTAGAGTCAAGGACATGAAAAGACATGAAAAGCAAAGACATCTCACCAAACTGAGCTCTCGGAGGTTCCTGTCTCTTTAGCCCGCCATCCTCACACACTACAGCAGGAACCTAACCGTGCTATTGCTAACTTCCCTGGCTCACAAGGCTTCTATAACGATGCCAACCCCCAGCCCACCCCCATAACCACTTGGGACTTCACCCTGCCAGCTTTCCCCTAATGAAACTTACCTCATTTGCACCAGATCATTTGATTATCTAACCACCTGCTAATGTGCTCATTGAAAGCCATCTGTGCTTTCTAACTGGAGTGATCTAGAATCATATCCAACCAACTGTGGCTCAAATGCTGAAACCTTAAACCCAACCAGAAAGGGAGGCTATCTGAAGAGGAAATTGATGTTTTTACCCCATTCAAATTGGAGGGCGAACACTCATTGTAAACCATCTCATTCTGTATAAGTGTAAATATGAATGGTTAAGATTCTTTACAAAATGACATCATTTGAAAGTACTACTCATATATAATTGCTAGCCTTATATTTTTTAAAAAATTGAAACAGGGTCTCACTATGTTGCTCAGGCTGGTCTCAAACTCCTGGGCTCAAGTGATCCTCCCACCTCATCCTCCCAAAGTGTTGGGATTACAGGTGTGAGCCACCATGCCCAGTTGCTAGCTTTATCTTAAAAGCTATTTGGGGACGACAGGCCAGTTAGGATGCAGGCTAGGCAATGCAAACCATGGTTTGGGGCATACCCTAATCTCTCTACGATGTGGAATACACATTGTTTTTGTGGTGGTAATTTGTGGTTGGTTTTTCTAATCCCACACTCTGGCTGTGCCATTGAGGAAATACGCTTGTAACTGGAAGGGCAGACTCCACAGCCAGCATTCAAATCAAAGTTCTCAATTTCTATTTATTTCTCCCCATGATCAGGGGCAGAGGCTCATGTCTGTGATCCCAACACTTTGGGAGGCTGAGGCAGGTGGATCCCTTGAGCCCTGGCATTTGAGACCAGCCTGGACAACATGATGAAACCTCATCTCTACTTAAAAAAAATAATTCTCCCCAAAGTCTTTAAGAACAAAGAGAAAAATCATGCAGGACCCCTTTTAAATTACACATCAGTGGGAGGGGGAAGAGAGGGGACTCAACTTCACGACAACCAAGGTGTATCTCTATAAAGCAGACACCATGGTCTTGTGTAATAATCTCTAATGAGTAATAGACTTCCCTTGGGTTTGAAATGTCTGCAGAGCTTTTCTCCACTTTTGTAGTCAAAACACAGAAAATTAGGAAAAGTGATGAGACTACTTACCGAAATACAATTCCTGCTATGAAGTAAAAAAGCCCCAGCGTGTCCATCACATTCCACAGGTCAGTAAAATAATTCACCCCATTTACGTACCACTGCGTACAGAAAGGGACAGAGAGGGACATCAGCAGCTTGGAAATATCAACCATTTCCAGATTTTTAAATGTCCACTCATTTTCTTCCAGGTCCTTTTTGAGCCAATGACGTGTTTGTTTATTCTTTCATATGCCAAGTGAGCCCTACCACGTGCCCCACGCTAATCCAGGAGGATTGGAAAGTAGGTAGCACACTGGCTGTTCTGCTCTTCATGTCTGCTGGCAAAGTCAGGAAAAAGGATGGATGTATCCTCACCATTTTTTCAAGAGGAACCTGCAGAGGGTGAGTACACCCTCCGTAGGCAGATGTAGACTGTCCAGCCACCATGTACAGTGGTACAGGCTGTGCACTACACAGTCCTAGAGGGTATTACTCATATTGTTGTCATCATAGATTTGTGTCATTACTGTAAAAATTTTCTGCCACATGGCAGTAAAACATCTTGATTAAAAGAAATCTTTTTTTAAAAAAAATGTGCACATAAGTGCTGTATATAACTTCTGTGAGGACAGATGTGGTCGCAGAAAGGACTGACAGGAACAGTGTGCCTCAGGGACCGACGTGTATGTATTGGTCATGATTCTTTGGAAGAAAGTATGTCAGGAAAACACTGAAATAAACAGAGAGTATCCTTTCTCTTTTCGCATTTTCCCGAAGAGGGAAAGGAGAAGACCACATCTGGATGACTCCTAAATCAATCCATAAACTGGATTTGGGTAATTCCAGAGTGACCAGCTAATCCTTTCATTTGTCCATCCATTCAAATATATTTACAGAGAGCACATGGAATTCCAAACACCTGTGCCAGGCTCCCGGCACACAGAAACACTGGATTAGGTGCAATGCTAATTCTCAAGGAATCTACTGTTTGGTGGGAAAGACAGATGTTAAACATGTTGAAAAGAAACGACACGAAGATCGGTATGAGGATGAGACCGAGGCCCTACGTGAATTCACATATGGAAACCAACACTTGTGCAAGGCGGGGAAATAACATCAAAGAAATGTCACCAAAGCAAGAGGGCACTTCTTAATGTTACTAAATGAACTCACCAATAGGAGTCCATCTGATATTTAGATATTATATTTCCTACTTTGCTGCCAAAATCACAGCCTAGAGAGGCTAAGGAACTCGCTCAGCAAGTGGCAGACCTCATGATTCTGAGCCCGAGTCAGTTGCTTCTCCCCACATCACTCTGCTTCTTCAGATCCCACAGAGGTCCTACAGTCTCAGATGTGGAAGGGATTCAAGACACATCATTAATTTCTCAAGAAGCATTTCCTTTCCTTCATTTATAAATTCGAATAGCAACTTGAGTGGGCCAAGGGGGTGAGGGCACTATGAAATCAAGCACCCAGGAAATGTTAAAATCCCCCAGGTTGGGGCAGCACCGTGGGGTGTGTCAACAGTCCAGTCACTGTGTGAAGGCTAAACTCTCTCTCTTTTTTATTCAGTAAATAGGATGTTTATTGCAGCATTTTTGTTGCAGGGAAAAGCATAATCTAGGAAAAAGATGTGGTCCATCATTCAAGGAATATTGAATATACTACAATCATGTTTTTAAAAAGGAACAGAGTGATGTCATTTGTCTTGAAGAGATTTCCACAAAGTAAAAGAGAAAGCAAAATGCAGAAAAGTATGGGAAACAGAATATTGTTTTTGTAAAACCAGGAACGAAGAAAAAAGCCCCCAAACATACATATGCCTACCCTATTTCATTAAACCTCAGATTGTAAGAAATTGCAGTTTCAGAGATGTTAAAAAGTGAAAAAAATGACATCTCAGGTTTGATGTAATACAGTGTGTGTACATAGCACATGGACCAAATAAAAGCAGAAAGAGACACAGCAGTTTATTAACATAGCTTGAGAGGCCTTGTCTTTAGAGTAAAGGTTGAGAAAGTCCGTAGGGAGACTAACAAAGAAGGAAAAAAAGGCTCAACTTAAAAAGTACACACACACACACACACACACACACACACACACACTATAATATTCCATTTCTGTGAAATACGTGTGTTCACAAGAAACTAGGCTGAAAACAAGATCTATGTCTAAGATTAACTTGCAGGAATGCCCATGAGAAATTCTAAAAAAAAAAAAAAGCAAATTGTAAGGTGATGAACACAGTAGGATTCCATTTGGATAAAAACAAACAAAACACCTGCATACATTCATATCTTTATGGGCATGAAGAAGGTCGTGGAAGATTATACTCTAGATTGGGCAGGATTATTCTTTATGTAGTCCCACTTGTGATAAGCATTATTACTTTGTGATTTTATACAACTAAATAAAATAAAAATGGACAAAAATCGAGGGGAAACAGATACATCTTGCCATATAGCTAAAATATATTTGATATTTTCATTTGTGCTACAGTTGTCTCTGCCAATAACCATTATTATCAGGACCATAATGAAGGACAAGAGATCTGCTAATGTATTGTCAACATTCTTGTCACCCTATTCACTCAGTTCAAACATTCTGCCTAGGCTCAGAAACCAAGGCAGGCTCCTCGGGGGAGGCCACAGGAACTGTCCGCTTTGCTGGTGCTAGCAGCCCCAGGGACCCCTCACCAACAACCATTTGCTCTTCTGGTGCCTGGTAAGATAAGGGGGATTGGGAAAGGCCCTCCCTGCTGCTAGCTCCCCGCTTAATGCCCTGCTCTGGGAGGCAGGTAGGCACTGCCCCAGCCCAACCTCAGCCCGGGAGACTTGCAGAAGCCTGACCTACATGAAGAGCGACGTCGGAAATAGGTCAATCCTGAGGCTCCAAGTTACCATCGCAGGGAGATAATGTGTTTTTAAAGGAAAAGAGGCCTCTTCTCTGAGCAGAATGCCTGGGATAAGCTGTATTCATAAAATCCCAGGACACTATTTCATCATATCTGTCAGGATTTGGAGATTCAACGTGCCTCAAAATTGAATGGTGCCCTCCGTGAAGGCATGATGGGACTCATCCATTTTAAATAAACATCCCCAATGTCTGTTTAACAGACCCAAGGATTATTTAGCAACTGTATTTGCACTTATTGACTGCCTCGTTTCAAAATTCCAAATCAGCATTTCGACATCTGCATTCAGGCAAAGGGACACAGGTACACACGGAAGAGCATGACTTTTTGACACAATCTAAATCAGACACAATCTAAATCAGGTCACACCCTGCTTGGGTTCTTTTTTCTTTTTTTCCCCTAACAAGTGTAAACTAGGTTAATTAAGACAGCACCAGGCCAGCAGAACTATTTCTTAGAGGAAAGCAATCCCATTTAGGATGTCAAATGCATGAGTCTGCAGACCAGAAGAGAAACAGTGACCCCAAGTGTCGGATTATTTTAACGATAAGAATCTCCATGGCTATGTTCTACAGACCTGTTCATGTACCAGAATCAGAGTTGTAAGGCCAGAAAAGCCCTCGGATGGCAGAGCCACCTGGAACACACACTGCTGACCCTAAGCACAGGGTGCTTCCCATACTGTTGCTTTCATACCCAGGATTGCTGAGTTAAAAGTGGCCCACTCAAAGATCGTTCTTAAAAATAACAAGAAGAGATACTTAGTAAGCATCCCCCCATAGCCAGCATCACCCACAATGAAAGCAGACAGAATAGGTAGGGGTCAGCCAGACCCCCACCCTTCCTCCCGCAGCCCCTGGGAATTACTCACAGCACGTTGTCCTTCCTCAGTTCTCCTGCGCACCTGCCCCTGTCTACTCCCACCCCATGTCCCTGCCCTGTGTCCTCCCTGAGCAAAAACACCTCATGCTAACCCTGCCCAGGGCCTTTCTCCAAGGAAAATGTACCTCTCCTGAGTCTCCTCCTGCATGACCCAAACAGGTGACTTAGTAGCTAAATGCACACAGGAAATTGGCACAGAGTTGTCTGTGATTTACAGACTTCGGATTTTACTGTTGCAAGTCCTCTGGGCCAACCTCCCAGTAAGTGTAAGACTCGCCCACTTAGTGCTGCTTGCCGATGCTCATCTCCTCTCCTCGAAAGCTCCTGGAAATCATCAGGAACTGGTAGAATGCTCCATAGGGGAAGAGATCTTCGTCTGTTTGGTCCATTGCTGTCTAGAACAGTGCCTGGCACAAAGTAGGGGTGTGAAGTATTTGTTGAAAGGAAGAATGCATGAATGAAATATTTGGATGAAGCCAAGACAAATCTCCCTGCAGCTTCCATCCAGGCCAAGGTCTGCCTTCCAAAGCAACCCAGAACAAGTCCTCTCTCTCAGATTCCTGGGTTTTTGTGTGTGTGTTTTTTGTTTGTTTGTTCATTTGTTTTTGTTTTGTTTTGTTTTGTTTGAGGTGGAGTCTCACTCTGTCACCCAGGCTGGAGTGCAGTGGTGCAATCTCAGCTCACTGCAACCTCTGCCTCCAGGGTTCAAGCGATTCTACTGCCTCAGCCTCCTGAGTAGCTGGGATTACAGGCACGCGCCACCATGCCCGGCTAATTTTTGTACTTTTTAGTAGAGACGGGATTTTGCCATGTTGGCCAGGCTGGTCTCGAACTCCTGAGCTCAGGTGATCCGCCCGCCTTGGCCTCCCACAGTGCTGGGATTGCAGGCGGGAGCCACCGTGCCCAGCCTCTGGTTTCTTTAGATGCCTAAAGGAGTCAAACAACGTCTGGACTTGCACAGCAGCTTCCAAGCCTTAATGCAGCAAGGGAGGCAGGGTCAGGGACAGGTAGAGAAATGTTTGGGAGCCTGAGGGGTGAAAAGTAGCAGAAAAAAGACTTTTGACTTTTCATCAACCATTCTGAGAAGAGGCCACCAAAGCGCCCTCTGCCCTAGAGAACACCCTTGAGCTCCTGGCTGTGGGGCTGTGGGCAGGGTTCCTCTCCAGCTCCCCAGCGCTGGTCTCCTGAGTGTTACCATGGCCACTCCAGGGCACACAGCCCTTGAGTTGAATTATGAAGACCGTGCTTCATCAATGCATTTACTAAAAACACACATGCTTGTCAGAAACGTGTCGGTGCCAACACCTGTGCTAGCCCGAGGACCAAATGTGAATAAGAAATAAACATCTAAATCAAATCATTCCCATGCCACGCAATTCTGAGCAACAACAGAGTATGTGTTAGGAACTGGAAAAGCTCAAAGGACCTCCCAGTGGGGTTGATGCAAGAAGAGATGCACTAGGGCACCATGCCAGACGCCCATCCTCTTATTCTCTAAATAACCTCTTGCAGGTCAAAAAAAATTCAGTAAGTTACTATTGTACCAGCCATTTGCAATTCCAGATGGTTTTTTCTCCCTCCCCACCTCCACATTTCTCTCCTCTGCCTCTCTCTCTCTCTGTCTCTCTCTCTCTCTCTGCTAATTTGTGCTCATGACTCATTTCCCCACCAGGCTATGAATCCAGTGTCACTTGATTCTACTCAATGGCTACCTTTGAGATGTCAGGCTGGTCGCCTGAGTCATGCAGTGTGCTGCTCCAGTTCCTACAGATGCCGTGCCTCTTCCAGCAAACTCTGCTGCCCCCACAGAGCTCAAGATCCTGCCTATGAGTCACCACCAAGGGTTGGAGGCCTGTGTGACCTCCCAGGTGGTCCAGCTGCCTCTCCAGGAAGCTGTGCCAGAAAAGGCCTGCCAGGAACCAGCGGGCTGCCCTCCAAGGTTAAAAATTTCCACAGACCAGTCAAAACCTTTTGGTGGCCGAGCGCAGTGGCTCACACCTATAATCCCGGCACTTTGGGAGGCCGAGGTGGGTGGATCACAAGGTCAAGAGATTGAGACCATCCTGGCCAACATGGTGAAACCCCGTCTCTACTAAAAATACAAAAATTAGCTGGGCATGGTGGTGCGTGCCTGTAGTCCCAGATACTCAGGAGGCTGAGGCACGAGAATCACTTGAACCTGGGAGGTGGAGGTTGCAGTGAGCCAAGATCACGCCATTGCACTCCAGCCCGGGCAACAGAGCAAGATACAGTCTCAAAAAAAAACAACAAAAAAACTAAAAAACAAAAAAAATTTGGCACTTACCCCACTTGTGGGGCAGACACTGTCCCAGTTGTTCCCAGTCCGTGATAAGACATCAGCCAGTCCCTCAGAGGGAATGAGAGGTAGGGGGTGTTGGGACACTTCCCCCTCCAGTGCTACAAAACCCCCAATCTCACCCTTTCAGCCCCTCCCTCTTGCAAAAGCTAAGCTGGGAATGCTGTCTTTTTGTCCCTGAAATGCCTTTGAAAAGGGTCTTTGTCATGGTCAACTACAAGTGAGAGTGGAGGAAACCACGCCAGGTCGGGAGAAGGGAAAACGCAGGGCCTCACCCAGAGTGAGCTCCCGCACCGTGGCTCCAGGGCTCCTAGCTGGATGAGGGCTGCTTCTCTCACTTCCTCACTCTGGTCTGGGCCCACCCTGTTTTAAATGATGAATCTCCTTCAGTCTTTCTCTGCTTCCCTCAAACAGACTATTCCCATTCCCTCGCTGCTGCTGACACATACATAGCAAGGCACAACACAGAGCTAGGAAGTAGGATGGCAGCTAAGAGAAAGAGACTCGTTTTAGGTGTTACAGGTTAAATTGTGTCTCCAAAGATTCAAACATGGAAGTCCTAGCCCCCAGTACCTTGGCATGTGACATTGTTTGGAAACAGGGGCATTGCAGATATAACTAATTAAGTAAAGAGGAAGTCATGCTGAAGTAGGGTGACCCCTGATCCAGTACGACGAATGTCCCCAGGGAGAGCGGAGATTTGGACACAATCACTCATGCAGGAGTCACCCATGAGGACAGGGATCAGAGGGATGCATCGACAAGCCAAGGAATGGTGAAGCTTGCCAGCTGGCCGCCAAAAGCTAGAGGAGAGGCTAGGACAGAGTCTCCCGCACAGCCTCCAGAGGGAGTCAGCCCTGCTGACAGCTTGATCTCAGACTTCTGGCCTCTAGAACCATAAGGCAATGAACTTCTGTTATTAAAGCCATGAGGTCTATGGTGCTTCATCTTGGCAGCCCTACAGACTAATACCGAGGGCATGGCCTGGGCAGAGCTGTGACTTCCCAGGGCAGTGCATGGGACTCCCATGGGGCTGATCCAAAGTTGGGGAAATTCCCTGCACATAGCAGGGCCCCGTCCTGGGGCAAGAATTGCTGGTAGGTGAAGCCTGATAATCCTGCTGTTCAACACTGACATGAGTCATTTACCTTACGCTTCTGAGAGGTGACAGCGTGCTGGCAGTCCTCACAGCCCTCGCTTGCTCTCGGCACCTCCTCTGCCTGGGCTCCCACTTTGGCGGCACTTGAGGAGCCCTTCAGCCCACCGCTGCACTGTGGGAGCCCCTTTCTGGGCTGGCCAAGGCCAGAGCTGGCACCCTCAGCTTGCAGGGAAGTGTGGAAGGAGTGGCGTGAGCGGGAACCGGGGCTGCGTGTGGAGCTTGCGGGCCAGATGGAGTTCCGGGTGGGCGTGGGCTTGGCGGGCCCCGCACTGGGAGCAGCCGGCCGGCCCTGCCCGCCCGGGCAATGAGAGGTTTAGCACCCGGGCCAGTGGCTGCGGAGAGTGTACTGGGTCCCCCAGCAGTGCCGGCCCACCGGCGCTGCACTCAATTTCTCACCGGGCCGTAGCTGCCTTCCCGTGGGGCAGGGCTCGGGACCTGCAGCCCACCATGCCTGAGCCTCCCACCCCCTCAGTGGGCTCCTGTGCTGCCCGAGCCTCCTCCACGAGCGCCACCCCCTGCTCCATGGCGCCCAGTCCCATCGACCACCCAAGGGCTGAGGAGTGCGGGCGCACAGCGCAGGACTGGCAGGCAGCTCCACCTGCAGCCGCGGTGCGGGATCCACTGGGTGAAGCCAGCTGGGCTCCTGAGTCTGGTGGGGACGTGGAGAAACTTTATGTCTAGCCCAAGGATTGTAAATACACCAATCGTCACTCTGTATCTAGCTCAAGGTTTGTAAACACACCAATCAGCACCCTGTGTCTAGCTCAGGGTTTGTGAATGCACCAGTCGACACTCTGTATCTAGCTGCTCTGGTGGGGCCTTGGAAAACCTTTATGTCTAGCTCAGGGATTGTAAATACACCAATCGTCACTCTGTATCTAGCTCAAGGTTTGTAAACACACCAATCAGCACCCTGTGTCTAGCTCAGGGTTTGTGAATGCACCAATCAACACTCTGTATCTAGCTACTCTGGTGGGGCCTTGGAGAACCTTTGTGTGGACACTCTGTATCTAGTTAATCTAGTGGGGACCTGGAGAACCTTGGTGTCTAGCTCAGGGATTGTAAACGCACCAATCAGCGCCCTGTCAAAACAGACCACTCAGCTCTACCAATCAGCAGGATGTGGGTGGGGCCAGATAAGAGAATAAAAGCAGGCTGCGCGAGCCAGCAGTGGCAACCTGCTGGGGTCCCCTTCCACAGTGTGGAAGCTTTGTTCTTTCGCTCTATGCAATAAATCTTGCTACTGCTCATTCTGGGTCCACACTGCTTTTATGAGCTGTAACACTCACCGCAAAGGTCTGCAGCTTCACTCCTGAGCCAGCGAGACCACGAACCCACCAGAAGGAAGAAACTCCGAACACATCCGAACATCAGAAGGAACAAACTCCAGACGCACCACCTTAAGAGCTGTAACACTCACCGCAAGGGTCCGCGGCTTCATTCTTGAAGTTAGTGAGACCAAGAACCCACCAATTCCAGACACACTTCCTCCACCTCCATCCCAGCTCCATTCCCCATCTGCACCTCAGACCTACTAGGCAAGGAAAGTCAGACACAGGGCACTGGTGTCAGGACTCTTCCCCCAGGTCATACCCATGGCAGACATCACTAATCGATCAAAATGCTCTCCCGCTGAGAACAGACAGACCCTTGGAATCTTTCTCAACCCAGGACGGCTAGAAGTCACTAAAAAAAGTCTGTCAGAGTTGGCATGAAACTTTAAGCCAACTTAGGATTCTTACACGAGTCAGTGACTCTGTAAGGGCAAGAACAGCACTCTTTGCCCCCTCCAGATCTATCATAGCACACGGCATTGTACCTCGGAAACTGTAAGTGCCTAGCACACACTTGCTGAATTGATGTATTTTTGCATTTAGGTTCAGAGGGGACAACAGTGACGACAACAACAGTAGTTGTCAAACAATTTGTAAACTGCTAAGTGTGAAAAGATTTTCTGGGATGACTTTTCATAATGGTTTAGGGATAACACCACTTTCACCATCAATATTTATTTTTTCAACCATTACTAATCAAGTGCCTGCTACACATGAGTCCTGAGCTAGACTTCTGGGTTCAACGGTAGAGAGACGACGCCAAAAAATGAAGGTCCCAAGAAACTGCAGAAAAGCACCATGAATAATTCACACCAGCTCCCTGAGACCCACAGGGACTTACACAACTTTAAAACATTGTCAATCTGACATGCTGGGCATTAAGATGCTCTTAGCTCAAAAGTCCTGCCAGCTCCCTGCCACTTATCATGCCACGGTAATGGCAGGAACACAAACCACTCCTGATGACAGCAGTGGGTTTATCATCCAGGGTCTCTCTTCTCTTTGAACACTCCCCCATTCCTGACTAATTCATCTCCATCAATTAACATTCATTAGAGAGCAAAGAATAAACTTGGTACTAGGAGACCTTACTGAATTACTAAGGGTATGAAAATGCACCTTCACACTCATGGACTAGCACCCAAAGAGAACATTTATTTTGGGAAAATAGTGACTTTTGAACTTCAGAAGCAACTTCTATTCCTCTTGGCTTTAGAAAGATGCCTCCCACCGAGGAAGCGAGGGGGTTCCTGCTGTCATGGCAGCCCTACCTGTCTCACTTCATCACAGAAGAGGACAAAGACCAGCGAGTACAGGACCAGCTCGGGGGGGTGTGGCACCGAATGGAAATCCATGAGCAGCACGTAGGCAAACAGCAGGAGGAAGGCGATGTAGAAGACCACATTCCAGGAGAAGACCACGAAGGGGGAGGTGAAGAACGCCACATAGTACCAAAGCAGCTTCTTGTGCTTGTCGACAGGTTTCTTCCTGGACCCAGAGATAAGGGCATCGTCAGCATCCTTGCAAGCATGGGACGGGCACAGCCCTCCCCTCCTTCCAAACATAGATAAATACAGACCCATAGCCAGGAGGAAGAGACGGGAGCAAAACCGTGTCCTAAGATGGAACCAACCCCAATTAAATCCTTGGCATTTTGCAATTAACAAATCCACATTCTGCCCCAGATATTAAAGACACAACCCCACCCCTACCCATTTAAGAGGAAACCCAGGAAAAGTCAGGGGAGAAACAAGACCAAATTCATAGGCAACAATGTAAACATCATAAGTTCCAGGCTTTTTAATCATTTACATGAGAGCACACATATGTGGATGCATGTACACACACTGGCACACACACTCACACACGATTATGTGCCTTGGTTTGTACCTAAATGATACAAAGCCACAGCCCACCAAGGGTATAATAAACAGACACAGGATAATCTTCCAGTTCTTGGTGTCTCGGGAAATCTCTCCATACCATTGCTTAGAAAGAAAATTCTACAGGGAAACAAAGACAGAGAACAAGGTCCTTATTAACACAATTGTATGCAGGATGCCATGCAAACTTTCTTCCCCGCCCCACACTTTCCCCAAAATACACAGCTCTTTGAATTAATGTCATTATTCTTTTATACCAGTTGCCTGGATTCTAAGGGGCAGTGTTAAAAAAAACAATTTAAAACTTGGTTTTTTGTTTTTTTTCTTGAGACGGAGTTTCACGCTTGCTGCCCAGGCTGGAGTGCAATGGTGCAATCTCAGCTCACCACAACCTCCACCTCCCAGGTTCAAGCGATTCTCCTGCCTCAGCCTCCCGAGTAGCTGGGATTACAGGAATGTGCCACCATTCCTGTCTAATTTTTTTTTTTTTTGTATTTTTGGTAGTGACGGGATTTCTCCATGTTGGTCAGGCTGGTCACAAACTCCCGACCTCAGGTGATCCACCGCCTCGGCCTCCCAAAGTGCTGGGATTACAGGTGTGAGCCACCATGCCTGGCCAAACTTGGTTTTATTTTAAGTCTTTTTCTGAGTTGCATTATGTGCACTTTAAAGTAATAGTTGTGTACGTTCAAATTCAATAAACCTAGGAATTTTTATCCAACTCTCATTTTTATTAGGTAAGTTTAAACAAGTATCTTTCTGGCTCCTTTGTCTTCAATGATCACAAATTCACAGGCACAGCCAGTACTACCTGTAGGGTCCCCAACGATTCATTTCTGGAGAAAGACAGGTGATGCTTTTGTCAGGAAACTAAAAGGAAGTTCGGAAGGGAGAGACTGTTGATGTCTTGACATCAATTCAGGCTGAAATGCATGTAAAAGCTCTCCCCAGACTGTATCAACCCTTGACGTTGGGACAGAAGGGACTTTCACAAAGGTGGAAATTAGAAAACTCACAGTAGCTCTGAGAGTTAGCAGGGGAGCATAGACTCGACCACATCAAAGGACCCACATCTCTCAAAAAATAGCCCGTCAAGCAGAAGGAGTTTGGTGTGTCTCAGGAACAGAGGAAAAGGGAAACCCAGGGCCTTCTCAGTGCTAGCTAGGAGGGCTGGGACTGACATGCACCCCTCTGGCCCTGGGCACCTGCCCTGCCCTTGGAGGAGGATGGCTGCTTCTGAGGGCCCCTGCCTAGGGCTACTCCAGCCAGGTGCGTGCTTGACCCATGAGGACTAGTGTCCTGGAATAAGGTGTCAGCTTTCCACAAACAACCAATTGCAGTTGGTGGGTAAATGGCCGACTGCTTTGCACTGGGCCGGGCAACACTGAAGCTGGTTCTACAGTTTCCCAGAGGTCCCTGGCAGGCTGAGCCCCGGGTGCCCACAGTGGCAACCTCCTCATCAGCACATCTTGTCTGTCCCTGTCCCTTCCCTGTCTCACTGGTGCCTCCTGTGCTTCCCAGGTTCACCTCCAGAATAAACTCCTTGTATTGACATCCTCACTTTGGGGTTTGCTTCTTGGGAGGGGGTGCGGGGGTGGCGGGCAACGGAGACAGGCAGTGCTTAGTCTTCCTCACTCTCCTATTCTGCTGGGGTGATGCAGACGCCAGGCCATCACTGAGCATCACCGTCAGGCCCCAGTCACGGAAATTACAGCACTGGGTTGGGTTCCATGGTCACTGGCAGCATTCTGACCCCACACAGCACCCTGACTATAGAAAGAAAACTCCCTGGCCAGGCCCACTGGGTGATCCTGTGGCCTGGTAGTAAGATTTTCAGTGAAATGAATGACCTGGCATCTGATTGAAACCTCAGGATCTGTGAACCTGGACAGGAGTAAAAGCCAGACTCCCCAGGGCCCCAAGTTCTGGGACACAAGCGAGATAGGGTTTGGGGCCCAGGAAGACATAAGTAGAGTGTGACCCACCTGGGAAGCCACCCCAGCCTCCCAGGCACACCCCGACTCCAGCACCAGCCTTACTTCTACCCACTACACTGCAGCAGAGGCTAAAACTGAGCAATAGCAAGACGCTCTCCGCATGCTCCTTGTCATGGATCAATGCTCTCATTTAGTCTAGCTTAGTTGCAGTAGTAAATGGGTTTTGTTCGTAAACATCTGGCTGTATGATATCATGGAAAGTCTAGGACATGAAAGTTGCAGGCAATCAACATGAGAGCCAATCCTAGTGCTGCTACTTCACAGCAGTGCAAGCTGGAAGGACATTCCAGAACCTCTCTGAGCTCCTGCATCCTCCTCAGTGAAATGGGATGGCACCCATCCCCACAGGTGCTGTGAAGATGAAATGTGGCCTAGTGTATAGCAGCTGTGGCTGACAAGCGTTGGTCTCTCCATCTCTTCCTTTTCCCCTCCCCTTCTCACACCCACATTTCTACAACTGGAACTGTGGGTGAAAAGCTCTGCTCTGCAGCCTAAGACACCAGGTGCAAACTACGATTCATTCACTTCAGTGCAGAAAGCCTCTAGACAGCTTTTACCCATTTCACAATAGTTTCCCTACTGCTATCACTACTAATAATAACTGCAATAGCAATAGCTAAATAAAGGACCAACACCTTTCACATATTATCTCCTTAAATCTTCACAATAACCCTTTATCTGCTGCTATCCCCATTTTGTAGATGAGGAAACTAATACTCGGAGAGCTCATGTAACTTGGCCCATCATCACACACTTCATTAGGGGTACAGCGGATGGAGACCCAGGCAGTGGGATCCAGAGACACAGCTCATAATTATGATGCTGTGTTGTTTGCTTAGTGGAAACTCAAAGAATATTCTTTGTCCTGCACCATCTCTTAAAGCATGGATTTCGACCAATGCCTATACTTGGCCATCTCCCACATCATCACCAAACCACTCCTTCTATGGCTTTTATATTGGAGAATAAGGTTTGTTTTTACTATTGTTTAATGCTGCTAGTAGCATCTGACATAAAAGCCCCATTTCTGGCCGTGTGGTCTGGTGGCTGAGTATGGTTTACCTGGACCCCAGGCTGGGCGATGAAATGCTGGTCTGTGGCCTCCACCGCCAGCTCCAGACAGTTGCTTCCACCCCAAGCTTCACAGGAATAGACCAGCAGCTGTTCTGCCAAGTCTTCATCGCTGCTGTAACACTCAGTGAACAGCTCTACAGCGACATCAGCACAGAGAGAAGCTGGTGTAAGAGCTGCACATGACCGAAACTGTCCTGCTTCCACCCCCAGCCAACCCCTGAATCCAAAAATAGCCTGTGCGTGAGTCCATTCTTACAAAAGGCATAGAAAATGCCATCACAACACAATTTGTTACTGAATAGCAGAATTTTCTGAAGGCAAGACAAACCCAGCAGAGCTCCTGATGGCAGCAGGTGACAATAACTGCTCACTGGATTGAGCTGCATTGGACAGAGGGAGCCCCTCTCTTTGATGGGCTTCCATCTGGGCTCAGGCAGAAGAGCCTCAGCCACTGAGAAGGGATCTAACCTTCTGCACCTCCCCACCGCCGCCCCCCGACCCCCCCGTAATCAGAGCAGCCCTTCCTCCATCTCATTTGAACTCTACGCCTTCTTGGCAAGGTTGTTTGGCAGATAAGGCACAGAGGAAAAAAAAGGTTGGGCGCAGTGGCTCACACCTGTAATCCCAGCACTTTGGGAGGCCGAGGAGTGTGGATCACCTGAGGTCAGGAGTTCGAGACTAGTCTGCCCAACATGGCAAAACCCCGTCTCTACTAAAAATACAAAGAATTAGCCGGGTGTGGTGGCATGCGCCTGTAATCCCAGCTACTCAGGAGGCTGAAGCAGGAGAATCGCTTGAACCCAGGAGGCGGAGCTTGCAGTGAGCTGAGATCACACCATTGTTCTCCGGCCTGGGCAACAAGAGCGAAACTCCACCTCAAAAAAAAAAAAAAAAGAAACACTGATCTATTGCATTAGTGTGTGCTTACATTTCATCACCTAATGACAAAGAAATTGCAGTGTAGATCCTCAGGGAAATTTTTTTACAGTAAAACTATTAGGAGCCATTGCCTAATTATCCAGAAATAAACTGCTTTGAAATTTTAATAAATTAAAAGAAATAATTAGACATCTTTTTTCCAACATGGACAAGCTAAACTCATGAGCATGTTTACATTTGATAAGACACTAGACAAACCTGGATGCAAATACCTCGTTGCAAACTTAAAACTCAAGTGAAAATGGAAAAAACTGAGCAGGCCTGAAATTCTCATTTAAAATGCTGTTTAGAGGTAATCGGTTCTGGATTTCTCACCTTCCTGAATGATCGAGGCCTCTGTGCAAAGGGCACTGGCAAGCTTTGTTCGAGGACTGAATAGCAAACAGCAGTCAGGCGTCCTGAGACATGCCAGGAGAGCAATGCTTAGTGCAGTATCGTCCACTCCAGGCAATAAGTAATCTCAGCTGCAGCCCTGATAGAAGCTCAGCATGTCCTAACTTCAGGGAGCTGCAGGGCAACTGTTATTCGAGTTACCCCTTGGGAACCGAGGCAAGGGGAAGCATCCCAGATGCTACTCAGGCTGCTGCTTTTGCCATGAGTAAGAAACCATGAGTGTCGCAGGCCCAGGGGCTGGGTCCTCTGGCAGTGTGTGCATATGAAACTGGCAGGCTAACTGGTTAGGGCACAAGTCAGGTAAAATCTCAGCCCTGTCACAATGTTGTAACGGCATCCAGAAACACCCCCCCCCCCCACAAAAAAAAGTAGTCCAGTGCTCCCTGAGTTGCTTAGAACTGGGCCTGGGTATGGCCCTGGGTGGCCATGGGATCAGAGAGCCCAAGATTTCCCACATTCATTCTTGGAAAATTCCATATGTGCCAGGACCAAGGAGATTGTCGCATCCAGACCTTGTGGTCTGCAGCCCTCAATCAGACTGGGGAGCTTGGACATGCCACGGACCTCCACCATCTGGTCTATGAGTGCCGCTGGCAATGTCTGTGCCACATGGCAGATCCGCGCCCACCACAGCATTCCACACTGTGGACTCACCAACAGCCCGGGTCTCGTACTCATTAGCCAGCTCCTCGGACTCCCCAGCAGCATTGATGTCGTTCTTCACTTTGGCCAGAGTCTTCAGAAGCTTGCTGGCTCCCAGGGCTGCCAGAGTGCAGCCCCTGGTCTTTTTAGGGGGGTGAAGAATTTTAAGGTTAATTCTTTTTTTTCCTTTTCTTTTTTTTTTTTTTTTTTTTTTTTTTGAGACGGAGTCTCACTCTGTGACCCAGGCTGGAGTGCTGTGGCACGATCTTGGCTCACTGCAACCTCCACCTCCCGGGTTCAAGTGATTCTACTGCCTCAGCCTCCCGAGTAGTTGGGATTATAGGCACCCACCACCATGCCCAGCTAATTTTTGTATTTTTAGTAGAGACGGGGTTTCGCCATGTTGGTCAGGCTGGTCTTGAACTCCTGACCTCAGGTGATCCACCAGCCTCAGCCTCCCAAAGTGCTGGGATTACAGGTGTGAGCCACCAAGCCCAGCCTAAGGTTAAGTCTTAATCCCTTGAAGTGGTCAAGTCAACATTAATGTCCAACAAGAACATTCATGGCAAAAGCAGGAAATAGTAGAATCAATTTTATGGGACGGGTTAGAGAATATGGTCAACACGTGCAAATGGAAACTGCTCTGGGGTCAGGGAGCCCGAAGCTCAACCTAGGAACTATTCATAATGATTCAAAGTAAAATTTTTAATGAACACAAAATAACTTGGAACCTGAATATGTTCACAGTCTTGAACATAGAATTACCATATAAAAAATATTAAGACTAATGCCATGAGAAATGACAGTAAGACCGTGATAGTGGGAGGTCTAATTCACTCTCATACTGGAATAGCTCAAAGGTTGAGTGGGGCCTGGGTAAGAACACAGAAGACCTGAACAATGTAACTTTAAGACTGAGTGTGTGAATTCAATATTCAATATCTAAGCTTATCTCTCAAAATAAAGTAATGTGAGTGTCCATAAACCATTTACAAAAGTCCTTACATGCTAAATCACAAGGAAAATTCTCCATAAACTTTCCAAAGCGGAATTTTTTACAGGCCCTACCTCCCGTCCATAATGCGATAAAGCTGGAAATTAATTTTTAAAATCAAATGTGAATACCTTTTCCACTTGGAAAACAATCACACACCCACACACACCTGAGAAGCAGGTGCCTACTGGACTGCCCCCCAAGCCTGACTACTTTCCGGGGACGGTCCCTCCCAAGCACTCCTTCACCAACATGGAACAGAGACCATGTTCATCTGAACTCAGACATCCCATTTCACTGATGATGTTTTATATTAGGCATGCGAATTTTGAGAGGATCAGAACTGTTATAACAAAGCATATATTTGGTGTAAATCTGATGTGGGCTTGGGCACTTACCTGCTCCCAAATGACTTTGGAGAGTTCCTTCTTATTCTGAAGAATGGCCCAGATGAAGAGAGCTTGCAGGGGGTGCCGAGTAATAGGAGACACGTCCTGGGGGGTTAGAGCATGTGGTCAGCATGTGCAAATGGAAACTGTTCTGGGATCAGGAAGCCCTAGGAGAGTAGCCCATGTTTGGAGGGCTCTGTGGCTTTGTGCATGACTCCATTCTCACAGTACAGTGATGGGATTTTCATCTCTGCAACTCATTGGGTGGTCTAATTTTGACACCAAATCTTTCATCTGTCATAAAAGACAAAGTACAACTAGATGAAAAGGTATAAAGGGTGAAAAAAGCCTTGAGAGCAATTTGAAAACTGAATGACTCCTGACAGGCTGACAGAAGGCAATTCCTTCTCATCATATAACTCTGTTTCTCTTCTAGAAAAAAATTCTTCAAACTAGATTCCAACTTTCCTATGGCTTAAGTTCAATTATCCCAACATAAAACTGTGGCTTATTTCTTTGGACTGTTATTCAAAGATTCGATGCCTAACCTATCAATTAGAATCCCAGCTCCTATTCACCATTCTGTACCTTTCAAGGGAAACTTTTCAGGTAGAAAACAACTAAATGGATATATATAATATATTCCTTTTCAACTTCTTTACAGGTTTTACCAATGTATAAAATGCACGAGGCATATTATGCATATTGCAGAGAAATTTCACATGAATATAGTCGAACAGAGGCTCCCTAAACACTTCCAATTCCTGCAAATACCTAATGCATTTAGATTTTTGCAACACACATACACGCACTCTAAAAATTCCATAATTACAAAGGATAATGACCTAGTTTGGGTTTCCCCAGAAGAAATCTGAGACAAGGATTTGAGGCAAGTCGTTTATTTTGGACACGATCTCAAGGAAACCAATGGAGAACTGAGGAAATGATACCAGAACAAAAGGGAACCCCATAAAAAGTGCATTATCAAGTCAATTCTCTTGGTGGATAACTAGAGATTAGCCCCACTAGCCAACTCTAGGAGCCAGAGTAGAGCACAAACCTTAAAGTCAGCTCCTTCAAGTGGGGGTATTTGTACGCTACTGGGCTCTGATCAGGACAAACTTTCGGCAAAGAGTTACAGGTGCTGGCAATTGGAAACTGGGCCTTCCTATACTTAAAATGAGAAGTTCTGCAGGATTATAGGTGTTACAGCCACAAAATTGTCTCAAGTGAATATCCAGATTTATCCCTTTGAAAATATCCACTTCCCCTTTTACTCACAAAAGAACACGTGTCCATTCTTCAGTCCTTCACACGCATGGGCAGCAGGCAGCTGTTTTAAGCAGATCATAGCTGGTGGACTATGACAGGAGCATGCAGCTATTTGTTTGCCCCTATTCCCTGTTAGATACCTTCAGAAAGTATACCACACTAAGCTCTGCAATTAAGAAAACCTGAGGCCGGACACGGTGGTTCACGCCTGTAATCCCAACACTTGGGAGGCCGAGGCAGGCAAATCACCTGAGGTCAGGAGTTCGAGACCAGCCTGGCCAACATGGTGAAACCCCGTGTCTACTAAAAATACAAAAATTAGCCAGGTATGGTGGCTGACGCCTGTAATCCCAGCTACTCGGGAAGCTGAGGCAGAAGAATCGCTTGAATCTGGGAAGTGGAGGTTGCAGTGAGCTCAGATCAGGCCACTGCACTCCAGCCTTGGCAACAGAGTGGGACTCTGTCTCAAAAAAAAAAAAAAAAAGAAAAGAAAAGAAAAGAAGAAAAAAGAGGCCGGGCACGGTGGCTTATGCCTGTAATCCCAGCACTTTGGGAGGCCGAGGTGGACAGATCACGCGGAGAGGAGTTTGAGACCAGCCTGGCCAACATGGTGAAACCCCATATCTACTAAAAATACAAAAATTAGCCACACGTGGTGGCAGGTGCCTGTAGTCCCAGCTACTCAGGAGACTGAGGCAGAAGAATTGCTTGAACCCAGGAGGCAGAGATTGCAATGAGCTGAGATTCGGCCACTGCACTCTAGCCTTGGTGACAGAGCGAGACTCCATCTCAAAAACAAAAAAAGGAAAACTGCAACTAGTCTGAAATATGGTATCATATAGATCATAAAGCAAGATATTAGAAATAGCAGAGACTCACCCTATAGACAGACACCTTATCTTAAATAAAGGGAGTTAAAAAAATTAACATTGTCAGTGTGTTAAGTATTTTATGGCAATAAGATAGGGAGTAGGGAAAATGGAGATATCTTATGAGGGAAGCCTCAAAATATCCGAGAACTCAAGCAGGCAACTCTCCCAGTACCTACGTGGAGTTCTATGTCCATCTCGTCCCGGCCATTTCTGTCTTCCTTCCGGAAGCCTCTTCGGAAGTTCGCAACCAGTTTCCAGACAAACGTGAGGAGGGCATCATTATAGGAATTCTTGGCGATCTGCAGATTCCGGTACACAAGCGTGCTGAAGTGGTTGGAGAAGAGTTCAGTGAGGACATCATGGGTGAGAAACTTCCGTAGGTTCAAGCCATTCTCCAGAAAGAGGCGGACAAACTTGGGTCTGTCCTTTATGAGAGCCGTAAACATGACTTCTTGAAGGTCAGCAGACTAAGGAGAAAGAACAGAGACAGTACTAACAATACTATAAAAATATGGTAAGGAAAGCACTAGGCATTTTTCTTCCTCAGTAGCACTGTATTTCCAGCCACAGAGTAATAATATCTTCAACTTCTCTTTCAATCCTGTCTTGAGAATGAAGTTTATCTTTTTTCCGTTTTAACACAACAGAGGATTACAGTTCAAACCTCTAAACAGGAGAATGGCATGGTGAAATCTTTGTCATCAGCCAGATGTGAATTTGGATGTGACTTGGCCCCTTGCTAAAATGGAGATAAATACACCCATGTAGAGATAATGTTGGTCAAAAATTTTCCCCAGTATGAGACATAGAGGAAATACTCAATCGGGGGTGGGGGTGTGGAGGTAGTAGTAGAGCTGGAACCACCTCTTTGAAGTTGACAGCAGATACCAATTATGACCCAGCCACCAGTGCTGTCTCTACGCTGCACTGTGGGATCTGCTGCCCTTCACAGATGCCCAGGAACCTTCTATTATGGTGACTGCATTCTCAAATACAGGTGTTAAAATAGAATGCATCAAACTATATGCAAACCACATGCCACCAAACCAATGTCTGCTCTTGTTACATACCAATAAGTCACTGGAACATTTGACAATAATACTTGATTGTTGTCTATCTCTAGCTCTACATTCTGGGCTTCTGATAAAACTTAGCCCATAGGAACTTACGGATAATCTTAAGAAAGATCACCAGCATTTTGGGAGGCCAAGATGGGAAAATCACTTGAGGTCAGGAGTTTGAGACCAGCCTGGCCAATAGGGTGAAACCCCATCTCTACTAAAAAAAAAAAAAAAAAATTAGGTGTGGTGGCACGCACCTGCAGTCCCAGCTACTTGGGAGGCTGAGGCACGAGAATCACTTGAACCCAGGAGGCAGAAGTTGCAGTGAGCCAAGATCACACCACTGCACTCCAGCCTGGGTGACAGAGCAAGACTCCATCTCAAGAAAAGATCATCGATGTTTACTTCAGACACAACCCAGTGGACTACAGGCCACTCCAGCTCTCAGTCATGTTCTGTGTGCCCTCTATAGCATTTCTTACAATTTTATTCCATTGCCAACATTTAAAAATTAGAAAGTTCATCAAAATCTACATTTCCAGCATTAAAATCTCGAGTTAACAGTAAAAGCTGCCAGGCACAGTGGCTCACACCTGTAATCCCAGCACTTTGGGAGGCCGAGGTGGGCAGATCAATTGAGGTCAGGAGTTTGAGATCAGCCTGGCCAACATGGTGAAACCTCATCTCTACATCTCTACTAAAAATAAAAAAGTTAGCCAGGTGTGGTGGCAGGTGCCTCTAATCCCAGAATCGCTTGAACCTGGGAGGCAGAGGTTGCAGTGAGCCAAGATTGCACCTCTGCACTCCAGCTTGGGTGACAGAGTGAGACTCCATCTCAAAAAAAAAAAAAAAAAAAGGCTGGGCGAGGTGGCTCACACCTGTAATCCCAGCACTTTGGGAGGCTGAAGCGGGTGGATCACCTGAGGTCAGGAGTTCGAGACCAGCCTCGTCAACATGGTAAAACCTCGTCTCTACTAATAACACAAAAATTAGCTGGGCGTGGTGGCGCACGCCTGTAATCCCAGCTACTCCGGAGGCTGAGGCAGGAGAATCGCTTGAACCTGGGAGGCGGAGGTTGCAGTGAGCTGAGATCATGCCATTGCACTCCAGCCTGGACGACAAGAGCAAAACTCTGTCTCCCGCCCCCGCCCCCCAAGAAAAGAGTAAAAACCAGCAGCTCCAACAACATCAACATGGGAACCATCAGTGGGAGCCAAGGGGCAGCTGCTTCCCGGAGCCTTGGCTCTCCAACTCCCCACAGTCCCCACCACTCCTCCCTGGGACCCACCGGCCCACTTACTCTCTTACATTGTGTGCCTGATCCCTGGTCTAGGTGGATGTCTTCTGCCCACAGCAGCATTAATTAGTTTTGTTCCTGCCTAATGTTGGTCTCATGGGGATCACACATTGCCTAGAGAAGGAGTTGTCAAGGGTCCCTTGAGTCCCCACATTGTGGATGCAGCAGAGCTCAGCAGGGGAAGAGGGGGCTACCTCTGGAAAGATGGCAGCTATGATTTCTCCTCTGTCCTTAAAGGAAGTGTTCCTCATGTCCAGCATTTCCCTTTTCTTTCTAAATCCAATGGCCTTTCCACTGGTCACACACTTGCTAGCATAGGGCAGTGGTTCTCAAACTTTAATCAGAATCATGTAGAGGGCCTGGTAAATGCAGAATGCTGGGAGTCAGTATTGGAATTTCTGCAAATCTGAGGTGGAGCCTGGTGATTTCCAAGGTAACAAGTGCCAAGGTTATTCCCAGGCCGCCACCAGTCCAGGACCCACACCTTGAGAACCACCAGCATATGAGAAGAGGCTTTGCCGTCAGTCACATCTTTGCTCTCAACCTTGATTCTACCATTTTCCAGCCATGTGACCTGGATTATTGTGTCTCTGAGCCTCGGTTTGCTCTTCTAAGAAATAGATGGTTGCGAGGATGAAATAAGCTAACACAGGTCAAATTCCTCTCAGAGATTCAAGTTCAGACCAGGCCCTCAAAAAACTATCAGCAACTCCCCCTGCCATGATACCGATGGAGCCCTGATTTAATAACCACAAAGGGGATCATCCATGTTGTGGACTGGTATGACAGGCAAGTAAACACACACAGAGAAACTGCTTGGGCACTGTAAAAGGTCACAGAAATATTATCAGCATTCCAGATATTTTTATTTTTAAACAAATAATGCTTCATATGTGCCAATGTTCTAAGCACTTTAGAAATATTATCTGATTTAATCATCATAACAGCCCAAGGAGATAAGTACTGCTATTATCGTCATCTCCATTTTCGGATGATCAGTTGGGTAACGGTAAACACTGAACCATTGGTTCTCTCAAAGAAAACAGAAGTCCTAATTTGTAGTGTTTGCTGATTCCTATGGTGTAAATACTCCCATTGTCGCCAAGTTTCAGCTACCAATGTGACATCACTAAATATGGAATCGGGAAGAGATGTGGAGTGGCTCACCATTGTATAGCATCTCCAGCTTCCAGATACAATATACACAATTGGCCTTCAGAGCAAAGGTAGTAGTAAATGTAGACAAATAATTAAAAAATGATATCTTTTGATTATTGATTACCTTTGTAATTCTATATTCTATATTCTATAAAATCTATGTAATTCTAAGTTTGAATAATTTAATTTTTTTGTTTTTTTGTTTTTTGGGTTTTTTTTGTGTGTGTTTGTTTGTTTTGAGACAAGATCTGGCTTTGTTGTCCAGGCTGGAGTGCAGTGGTGTGATCTCAGCTCATTGCAACCTCCACCTCCTGGGCTCAAGCCATCCTCCCACCTCAGCCACCTAAGTAGCCTGGACTACGGGTATGTGCCACCATGCCCAGCTAATTTTTTTTTTGGGGGGGGCAGAGGTGGGGTTTTGCCATGTTGTCCAGACTGATCTCAAACTCTTGGACTCAAGCAATCCTCTCGCCTTGGCCTCTCAAAGTGCTGGGATTACAGACATGAGCCTCTATGACCAGCCAAATATAACTGATTAATAATGACTGTATTTAACAACCAACTCAGAAAATCTCTAAAAATTTAGCAGTTGGCTCTTGCAAGCCAATACAAGCTGGCTCTAACATGCCACTGGAGGAGGAAACTGAGGCATAGGGAGGTTAAGTAATTTGCCCAAAGTCATGCAGATGGGCTGGCTCCAGAGTCCATTTCCTTAGCCATTGTGCCCTTAACCCTTAACCATCTTTAGCTGAGTTAGTAAAATTAAATGTACCATTCACGATGTGCCTAAGTTTATTTGTACCATCTGACCTCACTTAAATAGAACATTTCACACACAGTAATTCATTTATGAATCAATTGACTGGACCTACTTATAGTTCCACTTTCCCTCCACTAATTAAAGCCTTGCAATGTGCAGCGGGGTTCATTGTGCTGCAAACACCACACACAAGATAATGTTTGCTAAGGGAATGAATAATTTAAAAATTCATAAGCCATTACTTTATTTATGCTGCTCTCATTAAAACTGATCGCATGTTAATATAAATCGAGTCTTAGTCTTTGATTATACAACAATAGGCCTGAAAGTGTTTTCTGACCCTGTCTGCCAAGAATGAAAGTTATGAAATATATGCACCTTCAAATCTATACATACATGTATAAAATTACATATATTATCACGGCCCCCTAATGACTGAAATTAACTTGGAAAAGCTGAAAACAAAGAAGCAGCCTTATAAAACTGAGTGTGATGGTTTATAATAATTTTCATTGAACAAGGCTCCTAGGGCTGACTGCACTTTAGTTGTACACGGGAGGATACTGCTGGAAAATGCAATCCTAAAACACTAATCACATTGAAAAGTGAGAAAATGCAGTTTGCTAGAAAGAAAAAAAACACTTTTTATTGCATGTGCAACTTCCATATTGAAGGTACTCATGTGGCTAGGGGAAGTCCTGAGTTTCTGGCTCTAAAACAGCAGTCACCAATCTTTTTGGCACAAGGGGCTGGTTTCCTGGAAGAGAATTTTACCATCGACCAGGCTGGGGGGATGGTCTTGGGATGATTCAAGAGCATTCCATTTATTGTGCACTTTATTTCTATTATTATTACATTGTAATATATAATTAGATAATTATACTACTCTCCATAATGTAGAACCAGTGGGAACCCCAAGCTTGTTTTCCTGCAACTGGACAGTCTCATCTGGGGGTGATGGGTGGCAGTGTCAGATCATCAGGCATTAGGTTCTCATAAGGAGCACACAACCTAGATCCCTCACATGCACAGTCCACAACAGGGTTCACGCTCCTATAGGAATCGAATACCGCCACTGATCGGACTGAAGGCGGAGCTCAGGCGGTAATGTGAGCAATGGGGAGCTGGTGTAAATACAGATGAAGTTTCACTTGCTCGCCCACTGCTCACTTCCTGTTGTTCCTAACAGGCCATGGACCGGCACCCCTGCTCTAAGACGTTCACTGGGGAGCGTCAGTCAAGTTGTTCTATTTGTCTCTTATGTATCTCACTACGGACGGTTCTCTAATCAGAATTTGGCTAGGCAGGTGGGGGCAGGGAGCAAAAAGAGTGCTGCCGTCTGGATTTATAGTTGAGCTACTTTCAATCATCTAGCATATATTTTTCCCATACTTCTGCCCACACACATCCAGAAGGAGATCTGCATCTCTACACCCAGATGGAGAATCACCCTCACTTTGCAGCTGAAGGCAATGTGGAGTTGATGTTATTTTATACCATTTATTTTTATTATCTCTTCACAACAAACCTACTAAGTCAATGTTATGATTCCATGCTGCAAACAAGGAAATTAAGCCTCAGCAATCCTGATATTCTGGAACAGAACAATCCTTTAAGAGATTTGGTATTGAAGACCTTGTTGGAAATGGATCAGACATTGCCCAGACCACTGTCCAGACCCAACACTGGAATAACCCAGGAGAGCTTCGTGCTTACCTCCCATCGGCGGTCATTGGTGAAAATCTCATCATTGGCTAAGTCCAGCTGGTTCCACTCCAGCAGAAGCTTCAGCTGCCCATTCCAGTTATCCTTGTCTTGCTCACTGGTGCTGAAGGCTGTGAGAGGGCAGGAAAAGACTCAACTCACCAAAGGCTCAGAAATAAGAGTGAGAACCATTCAGTGTGGCCAATTATCAGAGCTGTTTATCACAGGTAATGCTGATCATGTTCTCTTACATTCAGACACTCAAACTGTCATTCACTCTATCTTCACTCATTCTTAACCACATTCTGTATGTCCCAAAGTTTATAATGGGGATCAACTCAGGCTACAGTAATGTTTTTCCATTGCATATCCTAGCAGTGTAATAATGGTATAGTAAAGGTTTTTTCCATAGATTCAGATTCCATAGTATTATATTTCAAGGCCATATCTGACTTATGCTACATCTAAATCTACGAAACAATAAGCCACCTTACAACAATGTCATTCTTGTCTTTTCCAGAGCTAATATTTTATGCATCTATGTATCTGTGCAGATATAATTCCATTTTAATAAATACCTTTATAACCAAATGTCTGGCAAGTACAATAAGAATGATTCTAATAAATTGCTGATGCTTTAAATGCACTTCCAACGTGCCTGGCTCTACTCTAGCTAATTTATATTTATCAGTCACACAATTCAAGTCTAGACAACCAAGGATCTATTTACTATGGGTAACATCCACTTTACGGAATTCTAAAGCAGCAAAGATCATGAATGAGAATTTTTTAACCTGAGGTTCATTCATAAGCCTCAGGAAATTTGTAAACCCCTGAAATTAAATGCAAAGTTACTTAGGTGTGAAGTATGTGTGCATATGTGTACAAATATGTAGAATGCTAGGACAAAGATCCATAGTTTTGCCATATTCTCAAAGGAATCTGAGGCCCAATAAAAAAATTATTTTCAACCACTGTTAGAAATAGCTCTTTGGAGACTACTGCGATTTTGTTTGACCAGTATTTTAATGACATAAAAATTATTATTCTATCAAATACATACAACCAAGGAGATTCACCTCACCAGGACAAGCGTAGTTATTCTAGCTTCCAATCTAGGATCATCAAAATTAAGTACAAGCTTGCCTTTCAATAAAGCTGTTTTATAAAAGAAATGTAAGTCATGAAAAGCCACAGAAGGCAACACAAAGCTGACACTTCAAAAGGAGCTATTTTTACTCACCTTTGTATAGAGCGTAGGAGATGGCATTGCTCACAATTTCATCCCCAGCTTCTTCCATTTTAATAACTGTTAATAGGTGAGAACATTCGAGAATTTCTTTGAGCTGGCGAAATTAAAGAACAAAGTGTCAGCCAACAGATTTTAGGCATGAGGAGCATAAACTTCTTTCTTTTTGTGAGAGATCTTTTTAAAAAGACCACCTGTAGTGGAGTTCCGGATCAGCTTCTCATTTCTGAATTGCAATGAGTCCTTGACTACAGTGAGAATAAAGTATTGGTTATACACGTATCAAAAAGCCCCTATCAAAAAGCTGAGAGCCTCATTTGACTAGAGATGTGTGCATCTGCGTGCAGGTGCTGTGTGTGTGTGTGTGTGTCACAAAGCCTGGCACATGGCAGATGCTCAGTTATTAAATGACCAAGTAAATAAAGAAGGGACAATAGAAGACTGTAGACACCATCCAAGTGTGCCCATAAAGATTTAAACAATAGGAAATAAAAGCTCAAATGCAAACAAGAAAGAAGGCTTGGAAACTGGAGAAACAGATAAAGAATTTTCTATATTGTCCTTTGTTATTTTTCTGTAATGTTTAATTTTAAGACGTTTTAAAAAGTAAATAACCCTGTAATTTCAAGGTTACAAGCACTGGCGAGCCCAGCTGGAGCTTGGTGAGAAGGGCCCCTTCTAGCCAAGGGAGCAAGTCTGGTTTCCATTAGACTGAGTTTGAGGCAATGATGGGTTTCCCTGGCAACGTTTGGAAATAAGGATCTGGAACTGCAGAGGCTCCGCTGGGTGGGAGACGAAGTCTCAGGGTCTGGCTGTTTGAAGGTGGCAAAAAGAGCCCTTGGATTTGGAAATTAGAAGGTGAGCTTTTGAGGCTGCAGCTGCCTGGGAAAGGTGGTGATGGAGGTCTTAGTTCAAAGCACCCAGGTAGGTGATGAGGAAATGAATGAAAACTGCAGGCAAAGACAAAACATGGAGATTTTGAAGGAGAGGGTGGGTGGGGATGATAGCATGAAGGAAAGGCTCTCTTCATCTGTCTGCAGCCTTTGTTCAGACTGAAGAATAGGGGTCCAGCTAGAACTGACAGGCGGGGAGGAGGGGTGAAGGTCCCAAAATTCTACGGCACAAGTGAAGGTGGGCAGTACCAAGGGGTTATTTTTATTTTCCTTTGAAATAAAAAGGAAGAAGAAGGAAATGAATATGGATAGCAAGTAAACCGATGGACCCCAGAGACGGCCACAGGAGTCCCTCCTAGCTGGGACTCCATCCTGCATACTCCTGCCTCCTCCATCCTCTGCCCCACTGCTGCCAGAGTGAGCTGTCCTGAACACAACTTCCATCTCGTTTTTTCCCTGCTTGAAACCTTTTAATGATATCCCATTACACTTGAACAAGACCAAACGGGGCTCAGGGAGCCTCCTGGGCTGGTCCCTCACAAGTTCTTGAGCTCCCACTCACCATTCCCACCCTCACGGCTGTCTTTCACTCCTCAGGCGTGCCTCCCACCTCAGGACCTTTGCACATGCTGTTCCCACCACCACCACAACCCCAGCCCCCACCTCGTTAACTCTCTCCATCCTTCAGATCTTGGCTCCCACATCACTTCCTCCGGGAAGCCTTCCAGAAAGCCCCACACCAGGCCAGGCTCCCTCGGCACCTGCCTTTTTGTATCCATGTTACCTTTCTTCCAAACACCCATTTCGACTTGCAATTACACAATGCACTGTACTGTCATCACTCAACCTAAACCTTTTTTCAAATTCTGTTTTGTCTAAGAGGACACAGACTGTTTCTGTCGTGTACGCAATTCTTTCTGAAGTGCCTATTTCAGAACCCGGCACGCAGTATGTGCTCAACAAATATCTACTGAATAAATTAATAAATGAGAGTTAAAGATGAATACACGAATGATATCTAGATTGGTTGATAGACTGGAAGACTATGGAGAGTCAAGTTCTCGAGAAGTTGAGGAATAGGCATGGGGGAATAACCATGACGGCTTTTAGGAGAGGAAGGTGTGAGCCCAGTGGGAGAGGTATAATGCATCGCTTAGAGTGGTCAAGAAACTGGGAGTCCAGGTTTTGGGGCTGCTTGTCCACATAGTCAGCGAGGTCACCCAGGACTGCCCTGGAAGGTTGTCTAATTAATATTTGCCTGAATGTATACATTCATTAATTAATAATCCCACTCTTGAGCTTGGTCTTTTGGGAAATCTGTACCAACTGCAAAACCCTGTATGAGTGCCTAATTAAAATTCCAGACTAATTTTTATTATTGATGCATGTTTTCTGATTGATGTGATTGTAATTATAATATATCATTAGCATATTCAGTATGAATATGAATTAGCTATGAATTGCAGAAAGGATAATATAATCAAAGAAGGTAGAATGTGCCTTTTAGCCTATTTCAGATGAGTTGCCTGTAACAGTTTTCATGAAGCAGAAATCAAAATCCCTTATAAAGGGTGTGGTAGCCCTTCAGATGGCCTCTATTCGTTGGACATGGCCTGGTCAAGACCTGGCAAGCCAACTTGTACAAGGAGTAAGAGGAAGGTCACTGAAGTGGACCTGGGGCCATCTTTGGTGAATAAATTAAGAGTCATCCGTTTCTTCCTCTATGGGGATCCCTGAACTGACCACTGAATTTATTCCATCCATCACAGGAAATGACGTTGAGAGTGGCAGTCAATATGCAATCAATATGCAGTGTCTTACTTTGATATGTATACGTTGGAAAAGGCCTGCTTATATGCTTTTTTTGATTGTTTGTTTTTGTTTTTTTGCTGAGATGGGATCTTACTATGTCACCCAAACTAGAGTGCAATGGCTCCATCGCAGCTCACTACAGCCTCAAACTCCCTAGCTCAAATGATTCTCCCACCTCAACCTACCAAGTAGCTGGTACTAGTGCTATAGTCATATGTCAGCATGCCTGGGTAATTTTTGTTTGTTTGTTTGTTTGTTTGTTTGTTTGTTTGTAGGGACGGGGTCTCACTACATTGTCCAGGCAGGTCTTGAACTCCTGGCCTCAAGCGATCTTCTTGCCTTGGCCTCCCAAAGGGTTGGGATTACAGACATGAGTCATTGCACCCAGCCCTGTTTATATGTTCAGAACTGACTCGAAGTAGTTAGGTATGAATGTTTAGAGAATCAAAAATGTATAAGCACTTTGGAAAGGGAGTGCTGCTTTTCCCAACCAACAGAATTCCATGGGGAGGAGCCTCATCAGAATTAGGCACCTGGTCAATCTCCACTCTTTCACTTAGCCCTACTCAGGGTTGGGGAGCAATATTGGCCTTGCCCAGCCAGCCCTCTCCTTCTCCTCTCACTGGGCTTTGCACCTTGCAAAGCACTAGTGCCCTGGTCTGCAGCTGCCACGTCTAGCCCAGCAGGGAGGTCAGCAGGTGTCCGGCGCTGCCTGTGTCAGGGTGGGCTTATCTGTTTTATTCTGAGACTTAGCATATGCAGTCGCAATGTTCTGCACCTCAAGCCACCTCTTTCAACTTTGCCTTCATCATCAGTAAGGCTGATATGTTTATCTCTTTTTGTCAGATTCTTGTGTCTCTCTCTCTCCTGGACTTGAATAAGATATTACAACATCCCAGTAAGAACATTGATATAAAACCATCAGTTTTCCCTTTTTTAGTAAACTCTGAAAAATGCAATATCTCAAGTACAAATATCACACTTGGTGAGTCACGTATCTTACTGAACTTCAGTTTCCAGCAAGACACCTGTTGAGCCTCAAAGGCACGGAGAAAATACCAAACACGTGCAGCTGCTGGTGGAGTTGGGCGTTTAAGGCATTCTCCCTTCTCACCAACTTGTCTTATTTTCTCAGCCCTCAGACATGGTCCCGACAACTTACCCATTTGATCCAACTCTCAGTCTCCTCCTCAGGCAGCCGGGACACCGTGCGGGGTAAAAAGCGCACCAGCTTCTCCTTGACGGCAGAAGATGTCAGGGCATCCTCCACCTCCACCAGGCTAGCGATCACATCAGCGATCTGGCCCGAGCCTTCCACCACCACACAAGGAATTTTATTTTTGATGGAGGTATTGATGGCCTGGAGGAAGGAGACAGAGTCAGACAGATCAGAGACCTTGGTCCACAGAACCCAGCTCTGGACTAAGGTTCTGAGCCAAGCTGGAGGAAACACACGGACACATCCCTACACGTTTTCCTTTGGGGCTTTTATTTTAAATCAGAAGCAAATCAAATATTGTCAATTGCTTTATGAATGAGAAATGTAATCTGCTTTATGAAATCTTGTCCCCACAACAAATTCCATAATAAGAACACATTATGACTAGCTTAAGTTTTCTATAGATAAGTGCTTTAAAATATCCCTGTACACAAAATTGATCATTCCAAGTACTGACATAATAGATTTGAGTGACATGTATTAAGACTGTATTCAGCATTATTGTTGATAGCTTATCTGAAACAGGTTAGTAGTAACCAATACTCATACTTTTGAGGTGTGAAAATAACTTTAAAACAGCAGCCACATGTTTTATGTGATGTTTACTCACATATTTCCCTCCTCAAATAATTTCCCCTGCTCCTGTTATTAAAAAAGAATAAAAATATATTTTCTTCCTGGATAAACACCTAGCACACTTTTATGACCTTTGTAACAACTGCAGAGGACAGCAGAGGGGGATCATATTTTAAGGATTTTAATCACTGGACAGCAAGATATAGTGATCTACCTGGAGGTACAAAAAAAATTGAAAAGCACTTGTTTTTAGGTCTGAGTGCTTTCCTTAGAGAAGACATCACCCAGGAAGCCAGATGTGTGGTGCCATGATTGAAGCCCACAGAGGGTGAGAGTCACAGAGCAGGCCGGGATCCCTCTGTGTGCCTCAAGTGTCTGCACCACAGGTGGTCGTGGGTGTGTCGATGGGGAGTTAAACCAGGAAGGGATGCAGAGGCACCAACTGGGTATTTTCTTTTCTTTTTCTTTCTTTGTTTTTTTGAGACAAAGTCTTGCTCTGTCTCCCAGGCTGGAGTGCAATGGCGCAATCTCGGCTCACTGCAACCTCCAGCTTCTGGGTTCAAGCGATTCTCCTGCCTTAGCCTCCTGAATAGTTGGGATTACAGGCACCTGCCACTGCGCCCAGCTAATTTTTGTATTTTTTAGTAGAGACAGGGTTTTGCCATGTTGGCCAGGCTGGTCTCGAACTCCTGACCTCAGGTGATCCACCCTCCTTGGCCTCCCAAAGTGCAGGGATTGCAGGCGTGAGCCACTGTGCCCGGCCCTGGCTGGGTATTTTCTCCTAGTTCACCTCACCTCTCCTACCCCCACTACTGTGGGTTGTTAATTGGCTGAGCAGACGGCAGTGGAAAATGCCATAGAAATGCAGTTCCCTAGACCAGCAGCAGCTCTCCAGTCTCCCCCTACCCCCTAGGCCAAGAAATCTTCATTCCAAATCTAATATTTGATCTGGTAAGATAATAAATGTAACCATATTTCAATGACTTTTTCTCCACCCCTCTTCCTCTTTGATGTGGCTGCTTTTGCAGATTTGAGCCATTTATGCTGGAGCTTGCAATTTTTTGAATTTTTGGCGATCACCTTGGTGATGACCTTGAGCAGTAGGATATAAATAACTCCCACATGCTTAGTGTTCCAATAATGGAACACTAGGCATAAAAAGGTTTTAATACACTGACAATCACACACTGAAAAAAAATCTCTATTTTAATGTTTCCCTGAATATTTTTATTTAACCATGATCTCAATTGTAAATTTCATAGCGGGTACTCAATAAATATCTGTTGAATGGATGAAGAAAACAGCCATTGTTACATAAAAGAATAATGAGAAGTACTAGATGATGATTCCAGATAACTTTGCCAGCACTTACTTTTAGCTCCAGGTATCTTTAATCTATTCCCTGTCTTAGAGGTAAAATAGGATGGGTAAAAGGAGGAATATGCAAATCATTGCGGAAATTCATGAAAAAGATGAGTTAAAAATGACTTTCTTGTAATGTGCTATTCCTAGAAAAATGAGCTCTTGAAAATTGTTTACAATACTTACTAAAATGTAGTCACACTAACTTTTTTTAAACTACCTATGGGGTACTATGCTTATTACCTGGGTGATAAAATAATCTGTATGCAAAACCCCTGTGACATACAATTTACCTATACATAAAACCTACACATATACCCCTGACCCTAAAAGTTAAAAACAAATAAATAAATAAAAGGTTTTGATTCAAGTGGATTATCAAACAAAAACAAAAAAACGTCAAACAGAAGCCTGACTGCAGGCAAGATGAACTCAGTAATGAGTCCATACAGATTGGCTGGGAAGTCAAATTCTTGCTCAGTTGCTCAGTGTTGCAGGTGCAGAACCATTCAAGAAGTTTCCATGATCTCAGAATCACTTAGGGTTTGGAATTCCATCATGCAACATACCTGCATCCCCAGGTGGCATATAAATGGGCCTTAGGTGGTCTGGAAACATCTGGTTTGGGGGCAATCTGTGTGTGTATGATCACAGCTCATCTCAATGCAGATAGGTTGGCCATAGCTTTCTAATATATATGCCGGTTACAATCTTTAAGTCTCCCGAATTAATGTCAACTCTTCTCTTTGGCAGGTTGACTGTCAAGGCCAACACTAAGTACACAGGTTATTCATGTCACTGAAATTCTCCTCCCAAATCTTCTTGACTGAGGAATAACCGGAGTCTGTTAGGGGAACAGTATGTGGAGGGAAAACACTACCTACTTGCTGCAGTAAAATCAATTAGGTTAGATTAGATGAGCCCAAATCCTTGAAAATACAAATTTGTTGGATAGGCTTATTAGCCAACCTTCTAGAAAACTAAATCAGGACTCACTTTCAAAGTCTCTTTTCCACCTCCTTGGGCAAAACACACAATGGGGATCTTGCCACCATAGTTGGAATCTGTAAAATATAAAAAGTAAAGCATATTTTGAGCTCATTAGAAATACTCACCTACCTCTGTGAAAAGTTGGACCAAGAGCTTCTGCCCTGTGAGCCTAGGGTGTGGAGAGATAGCTTCACATCTCACGGACTTGAACATTATCCACTCATTAAAGACGGATGAGTCTTTTTGCTCCACACTAGTAATAGCATGACATGGGTCATGTTGCAATTTGTCATTGATATTTAAAATACATATTTGAATACTGAAAGCCTGTGCATGATTTACCATTGCACCTATAAATTAAACTAGGTTTAAGTTTATCCTTATAATAATGATGCTTTCCTATAATCCTATGCTTGCTTGAGTGAGAACTTTGCATAACTAGTGGTCTTTCAACAGTTTATTGCATATATAGTTTCTTCTTTCATGTATGTCCAATTGTGAAAGGAAAATAATTGACAACATTTCCAACAAGTTCCTGTCATTATGTCTATCATTAAATCACAAGGTAATCTTGTTCCACAGCAGGACACATCTCAATACCCTGTCCACAGGAAGAGAGAGAGTACATGTCACTCAACCACGGCAAATAATGGCTTTCACTCAACTGTTGCATTCTTCTCTTGAGACCACTGTTTTCTGTTACTCAGAAGTAGCCAAGATTCAAAAAAGTAAACCATACCATTGTTAAACTAGCAGGTTGGTTTTTATCTTTTCTATCCTAGCTAATTGCGTTGTTTCATAAACTCATATTTGTCATTGTAGATCGTATTTGTTCTTAAATGGTATCTACCAGAAGAAGACAGCCAGCTTTTGATACTAACAAACCACAATGGAAGATGGCCGTATTTATCATTGCCTTTAGCATGTTAAAGGGTACATACCACATTGACCCTGGCAGAAGCATTCCTGATGTGTTGGAAAAATTAAGAGAAATAACAGTTCTTTGGCAATAAAAATACCTGATCAGGTGTGTTTCTCACGCATCACTCAATAGTTGGTAGTGATTGTTGTTGATGCTGTGGCTGCTGTGGTTATTGTACACTTCTAGTGTCCTACCTCCTAACCACTGACCTTGAATAGTGCGCTCAGAGATATACTTCTCTAGCTGATTCCGGAGCTTTGCTTCGACAGTGGGATGTCCATGACAGCCATTGTCCACGAGCAGCAAATGTGTGTGGTTGTTGTCCAGGATATACAGTGGATCTCTTGTGAAGTCATCCATAAGGTACTGGGCTAAAAAATAGCCCTGAAAAGTACAGGGAAACTTGTCTTTGAGATTGTATTATCAGTCAAGATACATGATGATATTTTTCTATATTCATATGAAAGCTAATACTTTGGGTTCAATCACATTATGCCTCCTCCCAGATTCCTAAATCCAGAGGGGTCTTAGCGATCTTATAGTACAGACTTCCTTTTAAATATGAGGAAATGGAAGTTCAAAATGGTTGTGCCATGTGCTCATTTTCTCATAAATGGCCAGTGACAGTGTAAGGATCAGATTCCCAGTCCCATTCTTGGTTCATTGCCCTGTGCTCTTTTGCATAAATTCAACGAAATTCAAATTCAGCATTCAGGAAACCATGTATGTGCAAATGTGTGTGTGTGTGTATTTGTGTGTGTCTGGATACAGGTAGAAGCAGACATTGAAATGCACACATACATAGCTGTCTGGAATCTATCATATGCCGTGACCCATGCCAGGATCTAGGGATTAGAAAATGAATGAAACAGTCTTTGCACTTGAGAAGCGCATAGCAACAGGACCACAAAAAGAAGTAATTAAATGGATACTTTGTTCCCAAAATACCAGAGAATAAAAAACTGCTTCAGGAACATAAAGAAAGGAATCCTTACCAAAAAGGTTCCTCACTCTCAAGCTCCATTCAAAGGCATTTAGGTTTTAAAGTATCAGCGTTGCATTAAAAGGTGTTTCAATCTTAACTCCAAACATAGAATTTAATAAGTTTGAACAATAATATCACCACCAAAATTCAAGGAGAACAGAAGGAAAAAATAGCATTCAGAAAGAATTCAGAGTTTTGCTGGTGATACTATTTTTTAAATTTATTAATCTGAATACTATAGTGGTTAAAAGATTGTGCACCATGAACCTGCCACTAACTAGATATGTGCATTAAGAAAGTTTCTTACTTTCTGTATGCCTCACTTTTCTCGTTTATAATGAGGGGGGAATAGTAGTACTTACCTCATAGTTTTGTTATGAACATCAAATGAGTTAATATATGTAATACACTTAGAATAGAACCTAGTACATAGTAAGTGCTATTATATAAATGTTAGGTTTTGTTATTATGATTAAAGAATTATTTATTACTTTTATTTTTACTAATAAAGGTATATGGCTATGCATTTCACTTTGAGTGCAGCTTTGGCCATACTGACATATTGACATATATTCTTAATATGTAATGTTTTTATTTGCATTGCTTTCTAAGTTATCTATGATTATATTTTTGAAAGATCATTCTAGATCCAACATTTGTTTAGCAGATGGTTGGGTGGTTGGTTGTTTCTTAATTTCCAAATGATTGGCACATTCTTTAATCTTTACATATTCATTTCAAGTTTTACTTGTTGCCAGGAAATGGGCTCTGTAAACAGCCTCTAGGGAGACTTTGAAGTCTTTTCTCATTCCCATTCAGAGGTAAAAATACCCACATTTTCAAGGTTTTTTGTGAGTCTGTGAATTAACATATGCACTGCATCTACCGTGGGGATAATTATACAACACTACATTGACTCCTATGCCCATTACAAATATTGCTAATAGATAATGGTATTCTTTCCCATTTAGCCTGCCATTGTCCTCAAAAGCCTGCTCTAGGCCACTCTCATCCCTGAAGTTGGCATTTGATGTGAAATCATTTTGCCATCTCCTGTTGGGCATCTAGTAATAATAATAGAAGCTACCATTCACTCTGCACAATTAGATAAATCAGTCCCATAACAATACAGGTTATTATTATAAAAGCTTGAAGAAGGGAACTGGCTCCAGACTATGCAGCTAGAAAAGGAATGGTTACTCCAACCCCAACTTCTCTGTCTTCAAAACGCCTCCTCCTCCCCCTCTACCATGCTTCCTCCTTGAAGATGCACAAAAAAAAACACCTCCCACTCTCCCCTGCCCCTTATATATCTCAAAAATGGTAACCAAGACACAAAAATAAAATAATTCTAAAAGAAGAATCACAGCAATTCCAAAAATCCTTAACATTTGCCGCTTCTAAGGAGCCCAGATGGGAGAAGGTGTAGCTTAAATGTGGATTTCTGAACATTTGGTCCAATGCTTCTGGGCAGAGAACACCTGTTGCTCAAGAAGTTCCTCAACTACTAGAAATGTTGTTTTCAAAATTCTACACTTGATACAAAACCCCATATGTCTACCTTGTATTTTTAGCATGAAATGCTCATTACTCTCTAAAAATGTTCACAGGAAACATTTGCAGGGGGCGGGGGGTGGTTGTCTCACAGCCTTCTTAATGCCCATTTAACCAAGGACAATATCCATTGATTTGAATTTCTGTGAGTGTAGCCAAGCAATCAAGATATTGCAGTTCTCATTGTTCAATTCCCACCTATGAGTGAGAACATGCAGTGTTTGGTTTTTTGTCCTTGCAATAGTTTGCTGAGAATGATGGTTTCCAGCTTCATCCATGTCCCTACAAAGGACATGAACTCATCATTTTTTGTGGCTGCATAGTATTCCATGGTGTATATGTGCCACATTTTCTTAATCCAGCCTATCACTGTTGGACATTTGGGTTGGTTCCCAGGAAGGGGAACATCACACACCAGGGTCTGTTGGGGAGTGGGGGGAGTGGGGAGGGATAGCATTAGGAGATATACCTAATGTTAAATGATGAGTTAATGGGTGCAGCACACCAACATGGCACATGTATACATATGCAACAAACCTGCACGTTATGCACAAGTACCCTAAAACTTAAAGTATAATAATAAAAAAAAAAACATAGCCATCCTAGTGGGTGTAAAAAAAAAAAAAAAAAAAAGATACTGCAGTTGGCTTTGAGCCCGCCTGAGATGGATGTAAGCCATAGTTATGAAGAATAAAGAACCTGACTGTGATATGAGATTGCTGAGAACACATTTTAATGAACAAAACATTCATTGTTAACTCTTTCCCAGCAGTTAATTAGGTACGTCATCCTTGTTTTCAATTCCTTTAAGGTCCCAAAGGCACTCCTTGAAAGGCAGACTTCCCCATGATCTGGCTGGCTCCATCACAGAGCCCCAGGGTTCAGGCCACAGGCCCATGCCATGGTCTTTCTTCCATGTGACCTAGCAGACCTCCTCCTGTCCCACCGGTACCTCAGCATCGCAATTCCTGATGAGGGTGTCCCGGTTGGAGACCATGCCCCAAGCTGCTATGCCAATGGCCACAATATTCTCCTCTGAACTCCTGCTGATGGTGTTATCTCTCACCACCTCCCCGATGTACTTCATCAGGCCATAATGGGTGCCTCCCGTGAGAATCCAAGCACCTGTCAACAAATAGGAAGAGTAAATGGTCAAGTGGCACTGGGCAAAGTTTCCATTCTGGGCTCACAGACCCCTAAAATAAAGGCCCCATCCCTGTAGGCATCAGGACACAGCACTGGCAGCTATGTCGTATGGCAAGGAAGGAGAGGGGACCTCAGACAGTTCTCCTGAGAGGTGTTCACTTAAAAATACAGATCCTTGGCCAGGCGCAGTGGCTCTTGCCTATAATCCCAGCACTTTGGGAGGCCAAGGCGAGTGGATCACGAGGTCAGGAGTTCATGACCAGCCTGGCCAAGATGGTGAAACCCCATCTCTACTAAAAATACAAAAATTAGCCAGGCGTGGTGATGGCCGCCTGTAATCCCAGCTACTTGGGAGGCTGAGGCAGGAGAATTTCTTGAACCCGGGAGGCAGAGGTTGCAGTGAGCCGAGATCATGCCACTGCACTCCAGCCTGGGCAACAGAGTGAGACTCCATCTCAAAAAGAAAAAAAAAAAAAAAAAAAAGATTCTTGACCCTATTCCAGATCTGCCTCATCAGGCTCTCTGGGAGGTGGGTCGAGGGAATCTGTCTGTATCTTTAACCAGCCTCTAGAGGACTCTTATGGACAATGAATGTCTAACCAGAGCCTCTAAGCAAGTTAGGCAATGCCACCATGGTAAGTCGGGCACTCTGCTCCTGGACCCCCATATTGGTTGGATTCAAGTGAATCTTCCTTGGATGGCTTTTGTGTCAATAACTTTGCTTTATAAAACACAATTTTGTACACTGGCCTTTTTAGGGTTTAGATCTGATTATCTTCTCAATGCTAAGGGTTATACAGGGTTTTATTGCGGCGGGGGGCAGCAAAGTACAACAAATACAATACCTAAAAAATATTTTTTAGCATAAAACTGAATCTAAAGTTGGAAATGACCCTAGTGTAATATGTTGCCCATGTAGGAATCTACCCTCAGAGAGGTCACTGGCCTCTTTGGATTAGCTCTTGTAAGAGAAGCGTCAGGAGCTGAGAGGCAGCCCCCTCCTCCAATCGTTAGAAAGCCCCTTTGCTGACTATCTCCATTCTCTAATTTTACTACGGCCTCAGAAATGAGGAACAATTTTAGTCATCACCATATCAAAGTCATTCTAATATTTTCAGGTAAGTACGATGTGATCCTTAGAAGTTTTACACCTGCTTCTTTTAACCAGCTCTCACGGGGCATAAATCCAGCCTCTCAGCACCCAGTCTCCTTCCTCTAGACAGATTTTGAAACTGAGAGCTAACCTAATTAAGCCTGCCAAACTTCACCTGCCTTGCTTGCTTTTAATTGCTTCCTTCTAGTTGATTTTAAAATCCGTATAGCTAAAAGTCATGTAGCCAAACAATATATAACTAAATCACCACTAGTTTCCTTATAGATAACATCTCTGACATATACGTCACTATGATAATAGTTGCTTAAAGTTGTTTTTCAGGAACTAGGGAGCTGCTCTGATCCAGTTCAAAACAGCTGAGACCATTGACTCTTCAACAGGGCGTGCACAAATGCCCAAGAGATGACCTTTCGAGGTCAGAGGGCCAAAACTCCTCCCTCAGATCATGCTAACACCTGCCATTTTCTGGACAGGTGTCCTATGACGAGCCATGAACCCTGACTACACCTGCAAAAACCACCAATTACCTCATTCCTTCTCCACTTCCTATCACCTTTCCCCACGCCATAGAACACCTGCCTCTTTACTCCTTAAATATCCCTAATCCTTATCTTTAAGGAAGCAGATTTGACAACCATTCTCCCATCTTCTCACTGGGCAACCCTGTGAATAAATCTTTTCTCTTTTGCAAAACCCATGCTTGCAGTGATTGACTTACTGCATGCACGTACAGCGGGTATGGCTTCATATCTACTTCAGCCATTAACGTTCCCTTTTAAAATGAGACAATGGGAAGTGAAGGTAGCACTCCAAGTGGACAACTAGCAACAATGAAACTATTCAACTTCCTCAATCACTTCACTTCATCTGCATAGAAAGAGGCGCCCCAGCCCAGGGACTTTTTGTCCGTTTTGTTCTGCTGTATTCATAGCACATAAAACAATTTCTGGTACATAATAGGCATCCAATAAGTGTATGTTTAATGAACGAATAAGGTGTATTCAGGATTTAGTAGCAAGGAAGCTGAGTTGCTCAATTTTGTAACAAAGTGACAACCCACAGTGTTCCCTCTGGTTGGTAAGGAAACTGAGAAAAATAAATGGGAAAAACAAAACAAAACATCTCAGTTTCTTCTTGATATTAAAAAAAAAAAAAACCCATGTCTAGATTACGACACGTTTCCTTAGTTCTACCGGTCAATATTAATTCTGCGTAAAAGAAGTTTTTTAAATGTTAAGGTTAGACAAACTGAATCTAATCACGAGAAAACATCAACCAAATCCACAATGAGAGACAGTCTACTAAGCAATTGGCCTACACTTTTCAAAAAACGTAATGAAAGACAAGGAAAGGCTAAGAACCAGTTCCAAATGTAAGGAAAAAAAAAAAAAACAAAGCTAAATCGATTTGGAATACAAACTGAGAAAAAAGAATGTTTACTCTAAAGGACCTTGTTGAGATAATTAGCAAAATTCGAGTATGAACCGTTAGATAGCAGTACTGGTCCATGGTAACTGTTCGGGTTTGAAAATTGTACTGGGTTATGTGAGAAAACCCCCTCTCACAGGAGGGGCATGCTCATGTGCTTAGGGGGTTAAGGATCATGATTCCTGCAACCTGCTTTCAACGGTTCCCCCCAAAGTCATACGTAGATATTTATGGAACAAGTTGAGACAAACGTGGGGAAATGTTAACAATTGGTGAATCTAGGTGAAGAATGTACAGATGTTCATTGCATTATTCTTGCAACATTTTGTAGATTCAAAATTTTTTAAAATATAAAGTTGAAAAGAAAATGCTAAGTGTTTCAAGTAACAAAGGCTTAGTTGCTTTGACCTCAATCAGACACTTCTGTGGTGCTCACAATTTCTCAGGCACTGTCACTACTTTCAAAAGTGCATCACCGATCTCACAATTACAGAACAAGCGAATTACAACTGTCCTTTCCAATTCCCCTGAACCGAAATTCTGGGTAAAACTTTACGTGTGTTAATAACAAAATGAAAATCTTACAAGATTAAAAAAAATTCCCCTAAGGAAGCACCTTAACGCTGATTTAGAGTTACTGTGTGAAGCTCCCCCGCTATCTGCCAGAGCTCCGTGTCCATTCATTTGAGGATATGGCTTTCAATAAGATAACGATTAATCAGATGCTTCTAGCAGCACCCGGATTCTCCGGAATTGCACACGGGAACTGCCTTCTCTGCTCCCCAAACTTGGTGCAGCCCGAATGGAAGAACCCGCGGTCGCTGCTCCCACCCTCACCTTTGGACTGCGCGATGTAGATGAGCCGGCTGAAGATCTTGCGCATGCGCGGCTTCAGGGCGAAGTTCTTGGCGCCCCCGGTCACAGAAATGACCAGGTTGGGTGTTTTCAGGTGCCAGTGCTGGGTCAGCAGCTCGTAAAGGATTTCCGCGTCCGTGTCGCAGGACAGACGTATATACTATGGGGAGAGAAGCAGAAGTATCAGGATAGGCCTGTGTTCTCCTGAGGTCGGGGTTTAGCATTCCCTCCCAACTTCCAAGCCCACGCTTGCCTGCTTCTAGAAGAGGGGCGGGGTGGGGGCAGCAGGGATCGCGGCATTGGGGGTCCCAGGCGGGCGCCGTGCCAAGGCCCCATGAGGAAGTGGAAGTGTGAAAGGAAAATAAATCTTGGGGCCCGAAAATTCAAGCTAGGAACTGCTTAGGGCAAACCTGCCTCCCACCGTATTCAAAGTCACCCCTCTGCTCACCGAGATAAATGCACATCTGATTGCCTCCTTTGGAAAGGCTAATCAGAAACTCAAAAGAATGCTACTATTTGTCTCTTATCTACTTATGACCTGGAAGCCCCCTCTCGTTTCGAGTTGTCCCGCCTTTGCTTCGTGAGTTGTCCCACCTTTCCAGAAGGAACCAGCGTTCATCTTACATATGTTGATTAATGTCTCATGTCTCCCTAAAATGTATGAAACCAAACCGTGCTCTGACCATCTTGGGCACACGTTGTCAGAACCTCTTAAGGCTGTGCCACGGGCATCCCTCCTCAACCTTGGCAAGATAAACTTTCTAAATTAACTGAGACCTGTCTCAGATATTCAGGGTTCACAGAAGGAAAGCAGACTGGGGGGAGTGGGGGTGCTGCACGGGCCCTGAAAAGCCCCACAGGCGAGGTGGAGAACCTGGGACTTTGTCCTGAAGGCAGAGGGGTGACTTGAGGCGTTTGAAGCCGGGTAGGAACAGGGTGGGCTTTACATTTAGGGAGTCCTCCAGCGGCCATGCTGAGGCCACAGGGAGGTGGGCAGAGCTGCGGGCAGCAAGAGAGTGTGCCGGCCCATTCCAGGGCAGAGGCCCTGGGGGAGTCAGCAGTGGATGGGGCTGGGTCACCTCCCAGGGATGCCATGGGCTGGGTCACCTACCAGGAATGCCATGGGGGTTTGGGAGATGAGAGGCCCAGGCCCTGCAGGAACAGCCTGTGGACGGTGCTCTCATTGAGACTGGGAGCACGGAGGATGTAGGAAAGGCTATTTCTGATCATTAAACACCTTTGTGAAACCTTGCTGGAGAGCTTGCACAGTGAGTATGAAGGGAATGCATATTCAGGGCCATATGTACCTCAGGAGTACGCAGAGCTAAGCAGTAGGGTTCACAAAAGCATTCATGGGGCCCTCAGTAGCAGTAGGGCTCAAGGTGGATGTGACGTGGATGCCTGCCTTGCGTGTGGACACAGGAGGCTAGGTGATAATCCAGTCCTTAACCTGTTGAGTTTTCCTGTTGAGCATAGCCTAATAACTGCTTTTTGGCTTTTACAAGATGTATCTTTTTCTGCAATCGTTTTTGGTGTTTACTACCCATCTCTCCTGCCTCCATCCTATTAGACAATTCCAAGTAAATCAAGGTAGCCCAGGTCACTTTGGCCTATGAATTAGCTGCCAAAGTAGAAAACCATTGCTTACCTTCCCTTTCTTCCCCAGTGTCTCAAACTGAATATCCCCAAAGGCGTCGGTAGGAAATTCCTTGGTGTGTTTCTTGTAGTTCCATTTCTCACTTTGGTTGATCTGGGTGCCTTCCATGTGCTGGCTCTGGGCATAGCCACACTTGCACACATTCTCCCTGATAAGCACGATGGTGTGGACAGGAAGGAAGGATTTCATTGAGCCTGCTTATGGAAACTGGTATTGTTAGCTTAAATAGACACACAAAGGATACCTTCAAGTCTTATTTTCAGACTGTTTTCATCATCTTGGTTGTGTAGAAACTAGTTTGATGTGGACGGGTGCGGTGGCTCACGCCTGTAATCTCAGCACTTTGGGAGAGTGAGGTGGGCGGATAACTTGAGGTCAGGATTTCAAGACCAGGCTAGGCAACATGGTGAAACCCCATCTCTGCTAAAATACAAAACTCAGCTGGGCATGTTGGCAGGCACCTGTAATCCCAGCTACTCTGGAGGCTGAGGCAAGAGAATGGCCTGAACCCAGGAGGTGGAGGTTGCAGTGAGCTGAGATCGCGCCACTGCACTCCAACCTGGGTGACAGAGCAAGACTCCCTCTCAAAAAAAAAAAAAAAAAAAAAAAGGAAAGAAAGAAAGAAACTAGTTTGATGTTTTATCCCTGGTGTTTATTGTCCCTTCATGAACAAGCTGGCTCTGTGCTGATAGGACAGAACAAAGCCCTGCTGTCATGGAATCGATCTTCTGTCCATGGGGCTGTTATGAGACTGAGTTTCAGAAATCTGGAAACTTTATTCAGCTTCTCAAACAGTTCATAACACACAGGAGCCCTGAGTTGGCCTCAGTGCCTCAGCACCAACCCTGCCAGTTTGCCCAGCCAGTAAGGCTATTCTGAAGTGAGGTGAGACATCCTTCCCATGGGCTGAACTCACTGGGAAGATGCATTCCCTTGGCAGAGACCCAAAATGTTCCAGACTCTGGAGAGATCATCCTTTCCTTATTGGACATTAGCTGCTAGAGAGACTTCCAATAATTTGGGGTAGATGAGGACAAACTGTGCGGTAAATGAACACGAGATCTTCTCGTTAAAAATGCAATGGAACTAAATTCATCCATTAGGTGACACAGAGGCATAACAGGAAATTGGAAGAGGATAAAAAGAAACGCAGTCAGTGGTAAATCCTCTTCCCTTGTGCCTTTGCCAACATACCACCTTCATTCAACAGATACTGACCGAAAATCCACTCTGAGTCAGCCCTGGGCTGAGCTTCACAGCAGCCCAAGATGAGCGGGATGTCCTTCCTGCCTTTAAGTTGGTCTCTTAGGAATAGCTAAGCATGACACCTGGCAAAGTGCAGAGAAACAAACAAAACACCTCCTTTTACTCTCGCACAGCCCCTCCCCTGTCAGGCTTGCCATGAGGGTTGGAAATGATGCACAGTGTTTCGCTGGGCCTGGAATGTGGCACCTGCTCCATCAAGGTGACTTAGGCTATTGTGGTGCCTTACATGCAAATCAATGATTAATGAGGGCAGTGACAACAGAAAAGAAGCAAAAATGCAGTTAAAAAAAATCTAAAAACACATTCTATGACTATTTGACCTCTCTATCCAGGGCATCCTGAGAGATGTGGTCTCCAAAGACAGGAACAACAACCACCAAGATTCCCATTTAGCCAAAAACAACTCCCACTCAGTGAGGCACTGTTCACCCTCCTCCCAGCTTCCTTCTGCCTGCCCCACCCACTTGGTTCTGCATCCCTCCCTGCTGTCTCTCTGACCAATCTTAGGGCAAGATCCAAGGGTGCTAGGAATTCAAGGGGGCCATGGCCAGTGGAGAAGGAGAACAGAGAGTTCTGTCCTGAGAAGGCTAGAGAATAGCAAAGTGGGAGACATGTTTGGTCACTGAAACAGGCCCTAAGGGCACAGCTCTCCTTTTATCAGTGGGTGACTCAATGTTCTGATTTGCCCAGAATAGTCTCAGTTTACACCTGTTGCCAAAGTCCTGGTAAGATCAGTGCCTCCATCACTCTTATCCGTGTTCTAGACCCCACAATAAAGTTTGTGGTCAGCCATTCACCACTAACCTACCAGAAAAGGCATCCCCCTCTGGCAGATGTGGGTCAGCACCAGGATGCAGGGTCAGATAACAAGATTCAGCCCCACTCACCCCAGCATCCTTGTGCAGTGCACAGCCCAGCAACCATACATGGTGACTCTGGAGCAAGGATCCCCTGCACAGGCTGAACCAAATAAAGATATACAAACTGAGGAAATCCTGTTAGCATTTGCTTCCAGCTGGACTCTTTATCTTATATTCTCTGTCCCCATGTTTCTGGCACATCAGGGCATTTAGCAAATGTCCTTTGAATGAATGAACAAATGAGCAAATAAATACATTGATTGGTCTTCTTTTAAATGGTTTGTATCCTCAATGATTTTTGTAAAGTAGATATGTTTTCCTTCCAGAATACAAGCTTAAGTATACATAGCTGTTCATGGCCAGAGAAAGGCTGTGTTTTCAAGATCTTCTTTACTGTTCACCTTATTTAACATATGGCAAAATGTAGGATTCATTCTAAAAGCACTCTGTGGCAGGAGGTCACATTTTCATTTACAAGATGGTAATAGTGATATGCATTTCTATGACTTTTCTAAAAACACAATAGGAGCAGAAATGAGTTGCTTTATGGGCAAATTTTATGACCAGTCCAGAAGCAGATGGATTCCCAGCCAAACTGTGGCCAAGTTTCTGCTGCCTGAAAGCAATTGGCTTCAACTGGAGTTGCTCTGCTGATAGTGATCTTCTTGAAGTGCTGGAAGCCCAGGGTAACTACCAAAGCCACTCAACAAGGAAATTCTATAATGAGGAACAAATGCTTCTCAGCAGCAATCCTCATGAGCAGCTTGCTCTCCTGGGGGTTGGGGATGCTGCTGGAGATACATGGAGGCAGGTCCCTGCTAGAGATGGTGCATTGACGTGGACTGCAGTGAGACTGTCTCTTCTCTCCAACCTCATCTACACAGTAGGATCAAGATGAGCCTGTTCATATAACTGAATTGTGGAAATGTTCATAATTGACAGGCTCAAGGATGGGAAGTTAATCCAGGATTGACATAGGCATCCCTTTCTTAAGAATTTGAAATTAGGACCAAAAGAGCTGCTCCCGTCTCTCTGTAGGTCTAGGCCTGTGACATGGAAGATCAGGCACCACAGCACAATCATAGCTACTCTGAGAAAGAAGAGAACAGGTGTGCAGGGAGAGGTGGAGGCAGGAACGGGCAGAGGGGACCTGCTGAGTACCCCCTCATCAGTCACCGTTTCTAACCACTCCAGAGGCCTGGCCACTCCCTGATCTTAGGTGGCATTTCTTTTTCCTTATAGTAAATCCCCTCTTTAAGTTTAGGTAGTTGAGCTCCTTGTAACCAAAAGTCTTAATTACCACACAGTATGGAAATGATTCCTATTCCAAATATTTCTCAAGGCATTTAATATTTTCTAAAGCTATAACGATTGAGCTAGAGACTGGATCCAAAATCACCCTCCAGCAGCAAACTCACCTCTGTTTTGGAACAGTTCCCAGGGCATCACTCAGTGTGGCCAAGATATGTCAACCAGAATTCAGCACAATGTTCTTAGCCCTCTCTCTTCCTAAGTGTTAGGGCACTTCCTGAGCCCAGGCTACTTCCTGATGTTCCTCTTCTCTCTCCATAGCTTCCACTGTCCCACCATCCTTTGGGATCTGTCCACCCACCCAAGCTTATTGGAGGATGGGGGAGAGAATTCCCCGCCCCATCTGTTCTTGCTATAACTGAAAACAAACTGTTGGGCCCTTTTCCCTGCTAAGGGTAGGGGTGTGTCACAGGTGACCTTGACCAAGAGAGCTGCCTGGCAGCTCTGGTCTATGGGCTGGTAGCCCTCTAAGCACCAATTTGTATGAACTGGTTTATAAATGGAGAAAAGAAATTGCCAGGAAGACATTAGGAGTGCAGATACCTGAAGGAGGAATAAGGATGACAGACAGGAGAAATGAAGAGGACAGGAAAACATCAGGACCCTAGTTCTACCCCCTTGGACCAAATCTGAATCCTGTAGAACTACACCGTCCAATATGGTAGCCACTGACCTCACGTGGTTATTTAATTTTATATTTAAGTTAAGTGAAATTAAATAAATTAAAAACATTCCTTCGTTGTCCTAGCCACATTTCAAATGATCAATAGCCAGATGTGGCTAGTGGCTACCGTATTGGATGGTGCGGACATAGAATATTTCCACCAGGGAAGAAAGTTCTGTTGCACAGTGCTGCTGTTGTGAAGGTAGCATTCTTTCTGTTTCTACCTGGAACCCAGCATGGCCAAGGAAGTGAGAAGTGACTAGAGCAAAACCAGACCTAGGAGCTTACTACCCATAGTGTGCCAGAAGGTGGCTCCTAAGCTGGCAGCACATTTCAGAGGACACAGCAGCAGGGGCAAAAGTGCGGCACCATCTTGCAGTAGCGTCCACAAGAAGTTAGAGTAGAGAGGCAAGGGTGGGTTGGGCTTAGCACTAGGGTGGCAACCCTGAGAACTCTCAGGGGAGACTTTGGCAGCTTAGGTCATCTAGTGTGGCAAGTAACAGCAAAACCAGGGTATCAATAAAATTAATCATCACTTCATTTGATGCCCTTGTCTGATGGGTAACTTAGATTACATGGAGTGATCCCACTACCTGTGGAGAGAGAGAAATAATAAACATGGGGGATTCAAAGATTATAGAATCCTGCATCCTTGCATACCTTCTGAGATGGGAACTGGAAGACCCTGAGGTGTTCCTGTGCTCCGCTTGTGTTGCTGAGGGCTGCGGCTGCCCACCACATCTCCCTTCATTTTGACCCAGACTTGAGCTGTAATCAAGCACTGTAAGGTGAACAGCCACAGGTTTCCCTAACCTGCATCTACTTCCCCTTCCACTAGTAAGTGCGCCCTGATTTTCCTTGAGGAATCATGCCTTTCTGCATTGAGTTCACCTGGACACATCTCCCAAGCCTTGCCAATCAACATATTCCACTGTCCCTCAACTTCCATCCTCCAGCCCCAGGGATTAGTTTAGAGATAGGCACATGCTCCAAGCAAGACCATTAAGAGCCATAAACATCAGCCCAGGACTTTTGATGGAATTGCTAGGAGCAAGGCCCTCTTTGCTCTAACTGGCAAATGGAAAGCTGATAACGCACAACCAACAATGACCATTTTGCCTCCAATAGTGAAGAGCCCATCCATCAGAGAAGGGCAGGAACAACAGGTGGAAAGAGACAGAGTCTCGGCGACGTTGTTGAAGCCCTGGATCTGGCTGTGCTTTTCAGCCACAAGATCCCATTATCACACCCCACAGAATCCCTGCTCCAGCTTCCACTTATGCCAGTTAGATTGAACATATGTAACTGAGAACGTGTTGAGGAATTTGTTCTGCCCAAAGCAACGCCATTCTTAGAAAGGGAGGCAACTGACGGTATAGAGAAGGCACAGCCTTGGAATCAGAAAGCCCGGGCTCAAGTCTCTCATCCATCTTCCACTGCACATGTGACCATGGGTAAAATACTGAACTTCTCTGGGCCTCACTTGCCTTAAAGGTAGCAACAGCTTCCTTGCAAGGAGGTTGATAATATTAGCAATCCAGTATGTAAGTCCCATTCATGAAACATACAGGGGATAAATAGTGGTCTTACAAAGCTTACACTTTGTCAGAATGACTCATGATGCGTATGTTTTTACCAGTGACAAGGCAGAGATCTCTTAGTTTTTCTGGTGTTCATTTTCTAATTCACATGAAGTAAGAATTATGCTCTGAAGCATTATGGTAGGTATTTTATATGCTGCGTCTTGAATACCACAACCCATGAGGTATACTTTTGCTAGATTTTTAGGATAAGAGAATTAGCTTTAGAAAAGAGAATAATTGGCTCAAGGCCACACAGTGAGGAGTCAGCCAAGTCAAGGTTGAAACCAAAGCTGGTTCTAAAGCTTTTTTCCTTATTTCTATATCCTTCCTCTGTTCATTGACCCTGTTCAACAGAGAGTCTTTTCATTATAAACTACAGCAGCAACTTGCAATTAATAGCTAGACTCTTTCTTGCATTGCCAGCCAACAGAAAGGAAGGGGCAGAGAGGAATAAGGAGAGTGGGAGGTAGGACGAAAATTGTTTAATTAGATTCAAATGCATCTTCTACACAAAGGGTGAGCACTAGTCGACCCATTCACTCACTCACTTGCTCATCAACAGTTATTGAAGAACTCCTGTAGGCTGAGCTGGTGAAGCCTGCTTTTGTAACCCAGCCTTAATGTTCCAAAACACATGAGACTTAGAGCAGATGAACACTCAATTAGAAGGAAAGACCTAAAGTCAACAGCAGGGAAGAAAAGCCTGACGGAGGAGCCAGTAAGATGGACATATGTACACATGCATGGTATTGCCAGCCAACAGCTGTAAAACAACTTTCATTACCAAGGTCACTCAGGTGGGTTCCCAATCTCATGGGAATACTGAAGAGAGTGACAGCCTCCCTCAACGACTTTTCCAACTATGGCCAAAGCTGAAAATACCAAACAAAATTGTATAGCTCTGAGTAACAACTATAAGCTCCTTGCCAGATCCTTCCTGCGCAAACAGTGTTTCTGAGAATTATAAGACGAAGACATCTTTAATAATGAACTAGGGAGCATTTGTTTGTTGTAAGGGTGGCTGATAATTTTTTTGAACTTGGAAAGCAAAACTGGAGGGAAAATAGTAGCTTACGTGGCCTTGGAATCTTTGGTAAAGAAGACACATTCTCGTTTCTTAAAATTTGCTTGAATAAAATTCACCAAGTCCTTTGGAGAGAGAACATTGAATAACACATTACTAATTTATTCTCACCCCTTGCTGATATTGATGAATACTAAATATGATGTAACCCCACTTCAAAGGCTTTAAGAATTTACCACATATTCATAGCATCCAGCATTTGTTCATGCCTTTAGAGTATACAAAATTTTTTTTAAAGATGCAAACTTTAAAATTTTTATAACTAAATGGAAAATTTTTCTAGAAGTGATTTGGACTTATCTTATTTATAAACAGTATTATATACATACAAATTATGTTTTTCCACCTCTAAGGCTACCAGGGAGAATATAGGCATTGGATGATAGTTTTTCATAAATAATATATCAATGCAGATTCCCATTCCTCTTATCCTTGCTGTTTAAAAGAAGACATATTCCAAAAACCGTTCATAAATGTATTTATCCCTCCATGGGAGAGGTAGTTAGGCACATCTGGGACCTAATTCTGACAAAAAACCAAAAGCCTTTATAAACCAAAAGCTTCCCTTAAGTTAGCAGAAGCAAACTATTTGGAAACAAAGGAAAAACTCCTTTAAAAATACCTACACTCCTCAAAGTGGAAGAAGGTATTTGCATCATGTATGAAACATCATAAGATTGATAGCCAGAATATATAAGCACTGTACATCAGTAAGAATGAGACAGACAATCCGATGGGAAAAAAATGGCCAAAGACAAGAGTAAGCATTCATTGAAAGAGAATAACCCATAAACATATGAAAGGAAGCTCAACCTCATTCAGAATGAGCAAATGCAAAGGAAAACCACAGTGAGATCCCATTTCACACCCACCAGGTTAGTAAAAATATCAAAGGCAATAAACACCCAGCATAGTCGAAGGGGAGAGCAGTAAACAGATACAACCGTTCCTGAATATTGTCCACTATTGCCAGTAAAGTTACCTCCCTGAGGAAGAGTCTCTGGTGGAGAAAGGCAGAATTGCCCCATGAATGACTTGCACACCCAGAATGCCTGGCAAAGCTGCCTGGCGATAAATATTCAGCCTCAGAGGGCTGCCTTTCCCTGGGGAGGTGGGGCTGCTAGGAACTTCCTCTCCCCAGCAATCCAGTGCCACTTCCCACAGGTCACCAGATACTGGCAGCTGGAGTTCTCAGACAACTTTACACACAGTTGGCCTCATAAGACAGGCCACTGGCACCAGAGCCAGCCCTGACTTCTTATGCCCTGCAGCAAGGCTACCACCAGCCATGCACTGCAAAGGGGGATGTCCCTTCTCCTGGAATGAAGTTCACAATGTGCCCCCTTCCCTTCTCACCTTCTGCCCCTGCAAGTCCTGTGGTATCAGAGAAGGGTGACCACGTGCCTTATCTTCCCAATCCTTTGAACATAAGTTTCCCCATAGGTCGTATGTCTTAAACCCAGACCCCATGAAAGAGGGATGTTTACCTTCACCCACCAAGCCTCAACTCAAATAATATTTTCCAGTTAGTCATGACTTCCACATCTAAGAATGTTACAAGTGGTATTGTTGTTCATAGCAAAGACCAGAAATCCACATACCATCCCCCTTAGGCTGAACAAACATAAGCACACAGTAGGACACAGCATAGCCATGAAATAAATCAACAATGGTTACACGTCTCACCGTGGATGAATCTCAAAAACAGTTTTGAGCAAAAAAATAAAAAAAAAAAGAAAAGAAACTCACAAAAAAATACTCATAGTACAATTCCATGAATGTTCAAAACAGAACAAAACTAAACAATGTATTGTTTAGAGAGATACATATACTCAAGTCATAAAATTATAAATAAAAGCAAGGAATGGGTAACAAAAAATTCAGGATAGTGGTTATAACCTCTGACAGGAAAGAGGAAAGCCAACGGGGCGGCCACATGGGGGCGATATGCTATTTCTCAAGCTGGTGGTGGGCACAAGAGCATTCTTTTCAATATTCTTTTTAAGCTGGAAATTCACCTGTATACATTCTTTTCTTTGTATCTTTCAACACAAACATTTTGAAAGCAAAAATAGCTTCAGTGCTCACCTGTACAGTTTTGAAAGTCTGTGATGCCCATTTTTACTTGTAATTTTTTCATCCACTTAACTAATTTCAAGTCTACTTAACAGGCAGGAAGAAAACAGCTGTGTAATCTGTGTAATCAATGATCAAGGAAGAAGGGTGATGATTTTTTAAAACTGCTTTGTTGCTTAAAAAACCCTCTGAAAATGCACTTTGCAGAGGTGTGCATGTGCTTAGGGGGCAAAAAGGAACCCCCCAGAACTGAGATGCTCTTGCATGGTCTCAGCAGTTCTACCCATAGGGATGCCTGCATCTGGGAGGGGGTCACCCGCAGGGGCTGAGGAGAGGAGACCCATCCAGCAGGAGGTCACAGTGGCAGGCTCAAGAAAGAGTCAGCCTCGGCCAGGCGCAGTGGGTCACGCCTGTGATCCCAGCACTTTGGGAGGCCGAGGTGGGCGGCTCACGAGGTCAGGAGATCGAGACCATCCTGGCTAACACAGTGAAACCCCGTCTCTACTAAAAATACAAAAAATTAGCCAGGCATAGTGGCGGGAGCCTGTAGTCCCAGCTACTTAGGAGGCTGAGGCAGGAGAATGGCATGAACCTGGGAGGTGGAGTTTGCAGTGAGCCGAGATCTCGCCACTGCACTCCAGCCTGGGCGATACAGCGAGACTCCGTCTCAAAAAAAAAAAGAAAGAAAGAAAGAAAGAGAGAGAGAGAGAGAGAGAGAGAGAGAGAGAGAGAAAGAGAGAGAGAGAGAAAGAAAGAAAGAAAGAAAGAAAGAAAGAAAGAAAGAAAGAAAGAAAGAGAAAGAAAGGAAGGAAGGAAGGAAGGAAGGAAGGAAGGAAGGAAGGAAGGAAGGAAGGAAGGAAAGAAAAGAAAGAAAGAAAGAAAGAAAGAAAGAAAGAAAGAAAGAAAGAAAGAAAGAAAGAAAGAAAGAAAGAAAGAAAGAAAGAAAGAGACAGACTCTGTCTTCCAGGGCTCTGATGCTGAGGCCAGGTGGACCCCTCCAGAAGGGCCCTCCCAGAGGTGCTTCGTCACTGGGGTTGAAGGAAGAGAGCAAGGGGGTAAACGCTGGAAAAGCTACCACCACCCTTGGCCCACTGTTTGCTTCTCCTGTGGCCAGGACTGAGGTGTGACTGGGGAGCAAGTGCAAGGAGGTGCTCAGTCCCCCAAGGCATGCAAGTGCAGGGGCAGCCCCTGAGGGCTGGCACCTCCTTAACTTTTGCATCAGGGGTGCCTCACTTGCCTAGCCCGGGCCCTGGGAGGTAGACCCAAACTGGGGGAGAGCAGGTTTTTGCGTATTTGTTTGTGTGTGCGTGTTCTTACAGCTCAATGATAGATCACAAAGTCAGCCCCCATGGAACCCACCAGTGAGATCAAAATCCTAAGCAACACCCCAGAACTGCCTCCCACCACCAATTCCTACTTTCCAAAGCTAGCCGCTATCCCGACTTTTAACACTGTAGTCCATGAGAACTGGATGTCAGGCTGGAATGTTGTCTTAATTTCTTGACAAATGAGAGTGTTGGACAGGATATGAGAGTGTTGGACAGGATCTGAGAGTGGGTGGAAAACCTGCAGGAGGGAACTCAGCCCAGTGTCAGCAAAGCCAGGCAGGAAGAGGTAGAGAGGTGCTAAGGACACACCTCCCGCTGGCACCCAACCCCGACTCCAGCTCACCCAAGAAGCCATGATTGGGCACGTCTGTGTCCTGAAGGCAGCGTAGAAGCTGGCCTGGAACCAGGAGAGACAGTGTGAAGGAGTGCAGCTAGGAGGCCATTACAAGAACAAATGCAGATGGACCCAAACTGAGACCCTGGCCATAGAGCTGGAGAAGGGACTGTGATTCAAGGCTCAGACCGGAAACAAGAGCACTGAGCATTAAGTAGTGAAAGGAATTTTAAAGACATGGCATTTAAAATGTTCTAAAAGTCAATGTGCAAATGCAGGATTTGACGGCTTACGAAGGTTACAATGATAACCTTTCAAACAGGTGATGCGCATGACTTACGCTTTCACTGTAAGACAAGTCTGTGCTCCGAGACGCGCTGGAGTACAGGGTCCGGGTGCTGTCCAGAGTGTCATTCCTTCTGTTCCTCATGCTGAGCCTGGCTGCCCGAAAGGACATCTTTTCTGTGACGATGGTTGGAGGGGATAAGTTTGGGTTACAAACAGTAACAGGGCTTCCTTCAAAGCTTCACCCCAATGCCGTTTTCCCTCCACCCTCTCCCCTTTGCCACGTGCAATGTCCCATGCTCCATTCGGCCCACCATGGTCATTGTGCCTCTGCCCCTAATTCCTCTTTACCCTCCAAGACCCAGATGGCATTTCCACCCCTCAGCCCATCCTCCCTGGCCCCTCACCCCTGAGTCAGGATCCCCTCCTGGGCACCCCCTCTTTGCAGTGGCCAAGTGCATGGCCCCACCAGACTGCAAGCTCTGAAAGGGCAGTCTGTAGCACATGCATCACAGTGCACTCCATCTGAGGGGCTTGCAGTAGCTACTTGCTAAGTAATGAATTGAGGATGAAGGGAATTTACAGAGCAGACTATGGCTAGCAGCCTGCATTGGCCAGAGGACTTGCACCTCAGGCAGAAAAGAAGACCCCTGCCCCTGAAGGGTGGTGGGTAGGGCTTGGGGGTCAGTCTGTCCCAGGTCATCCTGAGACTCTAACGCCCAAGACTTCCCTCTAGGGCTCTGGAGCAGGCTGCTAGCCTGGGCATTGCAAAACCTTATCTGTCATGCAATGCTTCCCGGGGTCCCTGCTCTGTTTTTCTCACTCTAATATGCCCCCATCCCATACTTCAGGAGGCCCCTCTCCCCTCGTCTCCCAAAGTCTAACTCAGACCCACATCCGAAGCTCGAGACAAAACCCGTCAATGCCTACTCAACCTCTGGGGTTGTCCTGCTGACACAGTAAATGAAAGCACTGTCCTTCCTGCATACCGTGTCTCCCTGAGTCCCCTCCTCCTGGCTCCAAGCTCCTCCCTGTCTGTCCCACCACATCCCAGCAGCAGTCCTTCCTCCTCACCCCTTCCAAGGCTCTCGCGTTGTCTCTGCGCTCGGCCCTGCTGGTCTCCACCTCCCCGGCCTGACTGTGCCCACCTCCCTCTCTCTCTGGACCTGGCTTTCCTAGCTGGGGTCCCACCTTCTGTCCAGAGCCCTCTTCCCCATACCCCTCCAGCTGTCATCTCCTGCTCATCCTCCAGGCTCAGCTCACTCATCATTTCTTCAGGGAGATGCCCCACAATGCCCAGGCTGAGCAAGTGCTCACCTGCCTGTGTAGCCCCTTCAACCTGCACCAAGCTGTGGGCATCATGATTTGTTTAATGATCTGTTTGACCCCTGTTAACTTGCTGAGGCCAAGGACTGTATCTTGTTCACCACTAGACTTCCAGGGCCTGGCACAGTGCATAAAGGAGATCTGCATATTTATTTATTGGATGAATAGTTTGATTGAATCAATACTCCCTTGCAAATCCTCCTTCGGTTTGCTAACTATTTCCACGTCACCTGTTATAACTCCCGAATGCAGAAATGTCTAAGACACAGAGCAGACCCACCACTCAGCCACACTCTGCTCTCAGACCCTCAGCCCAGGGGGCCATGACTCCTCCATCCAGATCGCCCCTCCCAGGCCAGCCACAGGCCTCCCACACCTCAGAGACTGGCACTGCTTTAAAATGCACTCCAAATGGTTGGTCTAGACTGTTTAAAACAACAAGCGCTTCTTTTACTTCTCTCCCCAGGCATTTCAAAGAGAAGCTGAGAGTATTAATTGGCACTTTACATACATCATTGCAAAACCACAGATCAATCCTGCAAGGTATTCACTATGATTCCCTTACAGCAAACTGCTTCTAAGTAGGGCACCAAGGCTTAGGAAGTGACTTCATTTGCCTTGAAATGAAAAACTGTTTATTTCGCTGCAACAGAAAAGGGGTATTTTTGCCTTCAAATCACATTTCTATCAAAGAAAACATTGGGAAGCCATTTAAGAGATGCAGCAAATAGCCCTCCTCTGACATTCCGAATGCCTTTCTCAGCAGCTGGTAGTCTCAACTGGTTCTCTGAGACCAGTTGATATTCAAGTTGGTTGACTGGGTCTTGGCATACAGTCTTAGATAGCAGCTATCCCAGTACTGCAGGTTTGTTGATCTTCTAGACACATTGTTGCAGGACTTCAGGCTCAGAAGTAAAAGAAGCATTGGAAGAAGGAACTTAAGGCCTGAGGTCCAAGAGAAGCGATATGGGAAGAGAGCAGCTGGGTCCCTGGAGAGTGAGAGGAGGGGTCTGTGGAAAAGGAGATGCCCCTGAAAGAGATAGAACGGGAAAGGCAGGGGGAGAAAGCCGATCCCTTGGTGCGTCATGCGCCAGGGAGAAGTAACAAAATCACACCGCCAGATCCAGCGATCCAAAATTCCCTGGAAACAATGGGCAAAGGGCTGGGATGTCCATGCCCAGCATGAGTCCTTCCGCTCCTGACTTGCCCACCTTGGACTTATCTGTCAGTGTCAGGAGAAGGTCCCTGGGGATGATCTGAGCACACCAAAGCCTAGGAGGAACTTGTGAGAAGCTTATCATCCATGGGGATGTCTTCTTATTGCATTCAACACTTTCCCCCCAACACTGTAAAAGTAGTTGTTTTTATTAGAGTTTTGATCTGGTAAAGAAAATCCTGACTGCAGCCTCCCTGCTCTTCTTTCTGCCCAGCATGTTCCCCTTATTCTGAAGTCCTGATGGTTTACTGATTCTAACCAGATATTGGTCCGAAATTTTCACATTGATTGTAAGCCTCTTTACATGCAAACTCAATTTTGGCTGTTTTTGTTTTTTTCCAGCTCTGGACAGTTTGTTGTTGTTGTTGTTGTTTTATTGTTTTCTAGTTACAGCCTCCCCAGGCAGAAGAGAGAGTGAGGTGCTTCCCCAGGCACGACAGAAGCTGAGACTAGAAGTCTCAAGACCCATGAGTGAAATGCTTAATTGACAGTCGTCCTTACTTCTAATGAAGCTGGCACCCTAATCAAGTGTGGCAAAGACTGGCAGCACCGTGTGACCCCATGTCAAACCAGAGGATGTGCTCGAGATGTGCAGTGGATGCCGGCCCATGGAGCCCTGCGTGGTAACCTGGTGCCGGCAGCATTGGGCAGGCAGAGCACGGCAGCAGGGGACATGGGGCTGTGTCCCTCCACTTTAGCCCACCCCACCAAGGAGGGAAAACCTTGGTACAGCTGCACCACACCTAGCTGTGGCCATTGCTAGAGGAGCCATGGAGAACACTGGAGATTTGTCATGTCAGTAACAGGCCTTTCCAAAGAAAAGAATGTTCTACTTACAAGAGACAGTCATCAGAAAATCAACAGAATAAATCTTCCCCAAGATAAAGAAAGATTTGAGTCTTCACAATAAAAACCTCACTGGGTCTGCTGCCAAGCAAAATTAATAGGGCCAGAGGTATCCAGATGAAATCATTTAAGTATAAGAATAAACATAAAAATGGCCGGGCACGGTGGCTCACACCTGTAATCTCAGCACTTTGGGAGGCTGAGGCAGGCGGATCACGAGGCCAGGAGATCGAGACCATCCTGGTTAACACAGTGAAACCCATCTCTAACAACAACAACAAAAAAAATTAGCCAGGCGTGGTGGCGGGTGCCTGTAGTCCCAGCTACTCAGGAGGCTGAGGCAGGAGAATGCGTGAACCTGGGAGGCGGAGCTTGAAGTGAGCCGAGATCGTGCCACTGCACTGCAGCCTGGGTGACAGAGCGAGACTCTGTTTCAAAAAAGAAAAAAGAATAAACATAAAAACATACAAGCAATATAGCAGAAAAAAATTACTAAAGGAGAAAAACCAGGCTGGTATAAAACTTCTCTTCTTCAACACTATAAACTAGAAGAAAATGGAACAGTGTTTACATTTTTTTAAGAGGGAAAAGATTGTGATCTAGGAATTGTATCCTGAGTCAATTCAGCTGTGAGGGCAGTAGAAAGACACACTCAGGAATGGGGAACAAGGAAGGCAAACACTCACATAACTTTAGGCAGCTCTGGAAAGGGAGACAGGGAGGCTGGAGGGAAAATGTCAGATATAAATAATAAGTAGAGATGACGTGGTAGAGGTTTTTTTTCAGTTTAAATGTTTATATTTTATCTCAATGCAGAAAGAGTTGAAGAAACTTACTAAAATATTATGTAAAGCAAAGGAACCAAAGAGAAATAAATGAGCTGAGGATAAAATAAGAGAAAGAGACTGGTTAAGTGAGGAGCTTATCCAGCCACAGGGGAAGCCTGTTCCAAGGTCCTCAGGGGGCACTAGAAATCATGCCCTAAACTTACCAATGGCCAAAGCAAAGGGATTGTAAAAAGAAAATAAAATTTTAGGACCTTCCAGGTTGATTATGCCAAGGGGAAAAGTGAAGCTCTGAAAACAGAGTCACATAGCACAGCTATTTTTGCACAACCCTTGCTGACTGACTTTTGCAAGGGTTGTGCAAAACCAGATGGAGATGTTCTACCTTAACCGGACTCCCTATCCTTCATTCTAACCTAGACTTAATTGATGTTGGAGACAGAGACCCTTGCGACTGTAACCTCTTTACAATAGACTGTTAAGCAACCCCCTTAGAGTATAAACAGTAGTAGTCAATCAAATCTTACATTTGTACAGTAGCCTTCATACAGAAAATGTGTTTCTGGCCGGGCATGGTGGCTCACGCCTGTAATCCCAGCACTTTGGGAGGCCAAGGCAGGGGGATCACTTGAGGTCAGGAGTTTGAGACCAGCCTGGCCAACATGGCGAAATCCCATCTCTACTAAAAATACAAAAATATTAGCTGGGTGTGGTGGCGGGCACCTGTAATCCCAGGTACTTGGGAGGCTGAGTCACCAGAATCCCTTGAACCTGGGAGGTTGCAGTGATCCGAGATCACGCCCCTGCACTCCAGCCTGGGTGACAGAGTAAGACTCCATCTCAAAAAAAAAAAAAAAAAGAAAAGAAAAGAAAAAGAAAAAAGAAAAAGAAAAAAAAGAAAAGAAAAAAGAAAATGTGTTTCTGTTCGGCACCTCTGGCTTTGCCTGTATAAATGATTCTCCCTTTTCCCCATCCCAGGTGCAGTGATCACCATCCTTTGCTGTCATTCTGCTGTCTGGATGGCGGCCCTCATCTTTGCACTTGAATAAACTCTTTTAATTGGATCCTGAGCCTTTTGATTATTTTAGGTTGACAGGATGAACATAGTCAATTACAAGCTTCAAGGCATCCATAAACTAACTTCAAACCCACATTCCCTGATACAGAGGCCAGGGTGAAAAGAACTCCTACATTTGGGGACAGGTAGGATGAGGAGGATGGGGTGATTGTAAAGGGGCAGAGTGAAGGGGCTTTTCTAGTGATGGAACAGTTCCAAAATTCGGTTGTGGCAGTAGTTATACGAATCTACTGACGTGATAAAATTGCATTAAACTATACACACATGAATGAATGCATGTCCAAGTGGTGAAATCTGGGGCCGGGCGTGGTAGTTCATGCCTGTAATCCGAGCACTTTGGGAGGCCAAGGCGGGTGGATCGCCTGAGGTCAGGAGTTCGAGACCAGCCTGGCCAACATGGTGAAACCCCATCTCTATTAAAAAAATACCAAAAAATTAGCCAGGCATGGTGAAGGGCACCTGTAATCCCAGCTGCTCAGGAGGTTGAGGCAGGAGAATCACTTGAATCCAGGAGGCGGAGGTTGCGGTGAGCCAAGATCACACCATTGCACTCCAGCCTGGGCAACAAGAACTAAACTCCATCTCAAAAAAAAAAAAAAAAAATGGTGAAATCTGATAAAGCCTTTGCATTGTGCCAATGCCAATTCTCTGGTATTAATCTTGTATGATAGTTACATGAGGTGTCACCATTGAGGGGAACTGGGTGAAGAGTACACAGACCCTCTCTATGCTTTTTCCTCTTCCACTTCCTGTGAAGCTATAATTATCTCAAAATAATAAGTTAAAAGAAAAATGCCTATGCCAAAAGCACACTGGGCCACATAGTGGTAAATATCCCTGCACAGCCATGCAAGACTTACAGCACTAAACTTAGCCTGGCTATTTCTTAGAATGTCCTGAATGCAAGTTGAAGCTATGCCATGAAAGTAAAATTCAATGGAATTATCTCCATGGCAGGCCCAAAGGAAGGGACCTTCACAGAGAGATAGCTAAGGATTTGTCCAGTTCTAGGATTTACTTGTTTAACTATGTCAATCTTTGCTTTCATGTTTTTAATCAATAATCTCAATTATTTCTATTCATGGTCTTTACTCTCAAAAATTTCAAATGGGCCTGATGAATTTAATGGAATCTTAATGACCACCATAGAGATAACCTCAGTAAAAATTAAAATCAAGATGGACTCTTGAAATACCGTTCACATTTTTTTCAAAACTTCACGATAGACCTACCATACCTATCAGGAGAGATGGCAGTTACAAACTAAGGACCAACAGTTCCTACAGTTTCTCACACAGGAAACTATACGTCATCCTGCAGGCTGACTCACTGGACTTATTAAAACTCAGAGTGCTGGGCCCCACCTCAAGAGCATGAGACATCTGCAGTGAGCCCCAGATTCTGCATCTCTAGCAAGTTCCCAGGTGCTAATGAGGTGGCCTCAGGACCACCTTCAGAGGACCACTGGCCCACAGATCACACCAAGGACCCCCTTGTCCTTAAAGTGCAATAAAATGTTTCCAGAGCATATAATCAAATCTTTTCAAAACACATGCAGGTAACTGATTGGATGTTCAAGCGGCAATATCATGTTAATTTTGGCTTTGTGTTCTTGTGTAGTCACAACTTGAATGTCTGAACATTACAATTTGTCCTGCTTGCACATGAAACATACATCTCCATCAGACCAGGAACACCATCCAAATGTCAGTAATAAATAACTGTTATGTATTGTGTCATGTCTATTATGTGCCAGGCACTGTACTTGTAATAAAATAATAATCCATATAACACATGGCAAGATGGATCCATGTAAATACTCTTTACATGGATACGTTAAAGAGTATTTACATGGATCCATCTCCCCATGAGTTATATGGATTATTATTTTCTCCTTTAGATGGATGACAAACCAAGGCACAGAGAGGTTAGGTAACTTTCCCAAAGTCACACAGCTAATAAGTAGAGGATGCAGAATTCAAAATCAAGCAGGCTGGCCTGAGACCCAATCTTAAACATTAAGCTAATTTGTGCCACTTTAATACAGCTTTGAGAAGAAATAGATTGTCATCTTAACAACATTAGTACACTGCCAAAATTTAAACAAAGGGTTACAAACCTCATGTTGTTTGCTGAGGGGAGAGGTTGGCCGTGGTACTATTTTTATTATCAATGGTCATGAATAATTTTAAATAGTCTAGAAGTCACTCATGAACAACAGAATATTCATGCATCCTTTGAACTCAATACAAAAAAAATATTAGTGTGCTCTTATTATCCTAATAAAAAAAGGCTTCTGGCATGTTTTATAAGTTGCTTTTTAGCTCACCTATCACCATGGTCAAATCAGTCCTAAAGTGTCATTTTCAATCAGGATTGTCTAGTTCTAAGTCTCTTTCTGATTAAAAAAAAAATGGGGTGGGGGGAGAAACAAGATGTTTTCCTTTGCACACTGAATGAGAGAGGAAAAACTTGTTCATACTCTAAGGAAAATGCTCCAAAGGGCCCCACACCAAACCCCAGCCATCTCCACTCTTTGAGCCATCAATTATTCATGAAAATGGTGAGTATAACACTTGCAGAAGCTTCAAATATAAATGACACCATCCAGAGAGATCTCCTCCACTCTTATTTTGGCAGGGGCATGGCAGGGGTGCATACAAGGGTTACAATACCTGAAAAGGTCACTAGGCATCTGTGCCTCCATGTCTCAGTCACCACCAGGAGAGAGCTGAGATTTATTTTGTTGTAGGCATTATCCTGTTTTTCTAATTGCCTCTATCAGCCAAATTTTTTTCAGTTTGAATAGATGGATGAAAACTAGGAAAATAGCAAAAGCCAGTGGAGGCTCCCGAAGTCATTGACCCCAAGGTATCCTGCTCCAAAAAGTAGAAGTGAGAAACAGGAGGTAGATACAGGCAGCAGGTGATGCTCCAAGATGCTATTTGCTGAGACCCTCTTAGAATAAGAGGAAAAGCAGGGGTCCCTATGCAGCCTGGACCCCTACTGTCTTCACAGGTGCCAAGAATGATATCAGTTCTTAGGCAAAACAAAGATAGTGATAATTATTATTATAAATTGTAATGTAATTATAATTTATAATGTAATTATATTATTTCTATAACAATTATATTATTTGTAATATAATTATAAATATCTTATTAATAAATAATAATAAACAGCTTTTTTCCAAATTATAAATAAATATGCATCCAAAGTCACAACCTTGGAAGTAAGTCCTTTGCACTGTCAAGATTTTGACAAGCTAAAACTTCTCTCATGATCAGTATCTTTGTATTAGCACATATAGAATAGTCTTAAGGAATAACCATTTCCTTATGTTCAGCTCAAGAATCCTAACACTGAAAAAGTCAGCACTGGCAATAATGGATTGAAAATTAAATGGAAATAAAACCTTTAATTATTCATCCAGCCCTTCAGTGTTTCTCTCTTGCTTATAAATAATACAAATGATGAGCCTGTTTCAACAGGCTGGAAGAACGGAAGGAAACACAGTATGTAAAAACAAGCTAAATATACCCGCTCCTTTCATTATCAAAGAATATTTACTATTTGAATGCATTATTTCTTGATGTTAATTTACATTTCACCATAGTCTTGATTCAAGAAAAAACTTGTTTTATTATGTTCCCAATAGGATTGCTTCAGATAGTCAGTTGCAGAGTTCAGATGCCAGTGAATTTTTCATTAAAGCTCATTTAGGGAGTTTCTAACTCCTTCAATCAGAAACAGAAAACTGTAATTATATTTAAAGTCATTCAAAAATTCAGCAAATAATTCTACATTTCTAAATAAATCTAAGTGAGGATTAGATATATCTGTGAACCCGCATTTGCTTATGCCCACAACACTTTGAGGAATTTAAATTTTTGTCTTCCTTTAGTTTCAAATCTTCATAGAAAAACTAAATGATGCCCCTCCCAGAGACACAAACTCGTACTATTCTACAAGTTACAGCAATGGCAACATTTAAGGAGAAGCAAAAAGCAAAAGTTGATGACATACCCTAAGTGACGGTTTTTGTCAAGCAGGATTTTCTTTCACCCAAGGATCCTGCTGGTCTCTCCCCACAGGAGGAGGAAAGCTTTTATAACTGGAATCTTCTTAGCCCCGCCTTCTTCTCTGAGGTTCTTTTAAGCAGAGGAACAAAAAACTTAAGCCGCTGAAATTGCAAGAAGACTCCTAAAGCCTCCAAGCATAGCAGCAATTTAGCAGTGGAATACGAGTAGGGAATGGATAATTAGTGAACATGGTATTTTAAATGCTAATAAAGAAATGATACCAAATTCCTGCTCTTAGCTTGACAATAACACCATAGTATGAAATCATACTAATACTTAATTTCTGCAATTAATGGCACATTTTAAAAACCACAAATAAAATGGGAAATGCTCATTATAGAAAGTGATGACAAGATTAATTAATAAATTAAAAGCTCTTAATTAAGATTAGGAAAAAAATTATTAAATAGAGGAAATTTAACCAACATTGCTTTTTTGCAGATTTTGTGAACTTTCCTCATACCAACTAAATGCAGTATTGGGCCAGGCAAGAGGGCATCATGGAGGTGAGCAAATCCAGCTTCATTAATTTACAGCTATTTCCTGTCCCCTTTAAACTACACTTTGGAAGAGCTCTCCTCGAAGAAATAAGTAACAATTGTCAGTGGGCAACTTTCGGTCATTTTACTTAAATCACGTGCCACAAACATAACAGTTATATTATAACTAATGTTCCTCTGTTTTGGCCATTATTTCTATTTTATTTTCATATGAAGCATATGTCATAGAGAAATACAAATAGGATAGTGTATTTCAGGAACTGATTGCACAAGACATACACTTGCAAAAAGGTTAGAGATGAAAGAGAAGGAGTGTGAAGGGGTTTTTTGCAAAGGCAGAGAGATTTGAGCAAGGTCTGAAAGGAAGGATAGGGTTGTAGTGATAACTCCTGCAGAAAGCATGTTCAATTCAAGAAGAAAACCCCCTTAACAAAGAGAGACAAAAGACTCCAGACAGAGGTCTCAAACTCAAATATTCCAAGGCTCAGACAGGTCATAAAGATGAAGGGAGCAGCCAAGTGTTAGGTAGTAAGTAGGGAAGGGTGGGGGCTGTGGAAAACTGGAAATGATAGATTTGAATGAGGACCCGTGAGAGAAGAGATCCAGCTAGAAATAGAGAGAGAGAATCAGAGAAATCTCAGAATTACTCTAAATATGGGTCCTAGGACTAAAAACTCCCATACCCAGCATGGTCCCCAAGCACATATATAGCACTGCACAGGGGAGCAAGTCCATCTGAGGAGCGGAGCAGCAAAATGAGCTTTTTAGCTGTTAGAAATATTGAGCCAGCTGGGTGCAGTGGCTCATGCCTGTAATCCCAGCACTTTGGGAGGCTGAGGCGGGCCGATTGCTTGATGTCAGGGGTTCAAGACCAGCCTGGGCAACATGGCAAAACCCTGTCTCTACTAAAAATACAAAAATTAGCCAGGTGTGGTGGCACGTGCCTGTAATCCCAGCTACTCAGGAGGCTGAGACATGAGAATCCCTTGAACCTGGGAGGTGGAGGTTGCAGTGAGCCGAGATCATGCCACTGCACTCCAACCTGGGTGACAGAGTGAGATTCTGTCTCAAGAAAAGAGAGAGAGAGAGAGAGAGAGAGAGAGAGAGAGAGAGAGAAATATTGAGCCAATTAATTAAGCTCATGTGGACTTCTCTCATTCATTTTCTGGTTATTAAGCAAGTCTTTTGTTCTATCTCAATTTTCATTGTAAATCCAAACTTGTTTTATCCACAGCAGATAATGTATGATCTGGCCTGAACAAGTTGTATTCAAATATCTTTAGCAAGTCCTTAAAATCATACGTGAATGGATCCTTGCTGTAAGTAAGCATCCTCATGAAATGGGAGCGAGAGAGATGGAGATAGAGAGATATAAGTAGAGGTGTACATATATAATGTAAATATTTACCATTTCATCCAAGACGCAACAAAATGCCCAATTCATCTAGCAAGATAGATAGAAATTGTTTTGGTTTTTTTTTTAAGATGCTGGATTGTTGAACTATCTTTTAATGCCAGAAGGTGGCTGCCCTGAGCAACCTCAGTCACACACAGACGTTTTTCAGCCACTTACTCCTCAAAGCAGGTTTCAAAGGTGAATTAACAGCACTGTCCCTGCTTGTCCCTGAACACCTTCCTCCCCCACTAAGATAAGCAGAGCCATTCTGCATACTTCCAGCTAGATATGCAGACTCAGACTCTCAGCTTGGCTTCCCTATTTTTTGTGCCATGAGAAAACATTAAAACTGAACAAACTGTAGGTGGATGATGATGATGGTTACAGAGCAATGTGAATGCATTGATGCCACTGACTCTGCACTGCACTCTCTGGCTGAGTTTGCTGTACTGGAGCTGGTGGAAGGGACAAGGCTCTCTGGTCAGTGTGGAAGGCCTCCCACCCCAGGCATTCCATGAAGAGTCTTCCCCCATGAAGAGTCCTGTGGAGGCTGCACCGCAGCCACCCATGAGCCTGCCTCCCTCTCTTGACTGTATGCAGGAAGCTGGAGTTCTGGTTGGGTCCTGATCTTACCTTCTTGGCAGGAGCTCAGGCCTCCCCCTGAGGCCTTGATGAGGAGAGAAGCCTCAGGTACTAGTTGAGGGTCCAGGGGCCACTGGCTCACACTGCAAAGAAGAGGCTGCTTCCTACTACTAGAAAAAGGAGGACCGGCAGGGCTCATTCTGCTCCTCTCACTAAATCTTAGCCCTAGCCAAGTGTAGAAGAGAATTTGACACACTGGTAGCAACTGATGGAGGTGGGCACATACTCCCAAGTTAGAACTCTGGTCACTCAAGGACATCAGGTGTCTTTTACAATAAGCCTTGTACAGGAGGCACAGACACTCCCTGACACTAACTCCTGAGAAGAGCAGATTGCAGCTGATGAACACACAACTGGGAGGCACATCAAGTCATACATCCTTCCTCCCATTGTGCAAAGGGTGCAGTGGGTGCTACCCATAACCCTGTCTCTTGGCCTCTCCTGGTAAGAGACACAAGATCTCACCTTTTCCAGGAGAATTAACAACTTACCCTTTACTTCTGCAGGCTCCACGTCTTCTGTCCACCTGCATCCTCCAACCATCCAGCCACTGTTTTATAAACTTTAATATAGGTGTAGGTCATCAGGAAGAAGAAAGGTTACCATGGCACCAGAGGCGCAAATATGCAATGAATCTGTTGCCAAGACCCTGGTCCTTCCCAGTGAGTGTATTCAGCCTAACACCATGGGCTGACCACGCCAGCTCCTGGCATATCGAATGCTAAGAAAGCTCTGAGGGCAGTAAGTATAGGGCATCTGCTCCACCACAGTGGACTGGCTGAGGAAGCCTGCACACAGTGCTAGAACATTGCTTTCATGAGCAACACAGGCAGGTCCCAAAGCATAGCCATGGCCCAGGAGGAGGCTTGTGGCACCTCATCCACACAAAGCCCTTGAGTTCTCCAGTACATGTGCACAGCCCTTGTATCCAGCCTCTGAGCTACTCCCTCCCATGCCACAACACCCTCTAGGCCTCTCAGTGGCCCAGGCCTCCCTCACTGTTTGTTTGTTTTAGTCCCATAACTGCAGCTCCAACCCTTTTCCTGGCTGTCTTCAAAAATTACCTTGCTCTCAGACTACAGCCTTCAGTTCACCATCTCTGTTCTCTTTAATATTCTGTGACCTATACACTGACAGTCAAAAGGAAGGCAGATCCTTGGCTACACTTCCTATGTCAACAGCATGGCTGCTTCACTACCTCACCAACTCAACATTGCTTATGACTTAGGCAACTCATCCATCAAGAACACACGGTTCCATAGAAACTGTGGCCTGTACCTCAACTTCTCTGATATAATTTTGAGTCTGGACAAGTTTCTAGCTGATATAGTGCAAGTTAACATAGAGATCCATAGGACCCTCTAGCTTACAAATGAACAGTACAAATAATGCATTTATAGGTCCCAGAAGCAATGACCTGATGGGAAGCTCCTAGCATAAAGTGTGCTTCCAACATGCATAGCCCACACTTGCAAACAACCATGGAATCCTTCTCAGCCACTCAAGTGATCAATCCCATTATAAACCAAATCTATGCAACTCTACCCACCTTCAACAATCCCCTTCTGCCTTCAGCCCTCCATTTCACATCCCCAGTAATTCTGCAGTAGAATAATAAAAAGTGATAAATAATGCTTCTCAAACTTTCATGTACATATGAATCATCTGGGAATCTAGTTGAATGCAGATTCTGGTTCAGCAGATACAAGGTGGGACCTACGACTCTCCATGTCTGACAAGCTCTTACCAGGTGAGCCGATGCTGCGGGTCCACAGTACACACAATGATAGCAAGGGCGCAGGAGGCGCCAGACTCCTGTCAGCACCACGGTCAGCTCCAAGGCCAGCAACACGGAGAAAGGCAAGAACCGGAAGAGTGGTCCAGAGAATGCCCACCAGGCAAACCCAGGGCTTTCTGTGCCTAGGGGATAAGAGGTCCCTCTAGATTTGGTGCCCTTCATAAGTCTCCCCAGTCCCTGGAACTCTCCCCTCCCTGATGGAATCAGGTCTAGCCAGCTCCTTCAGACTCTGGTCTCTCTCTGTCTCTTCTGGCCTCAAGCAAGAAGCTCTTTCTCCAGTCCTGAGTTCAAGGTTCAATGGCCAGACGGCCATTGGCCTCAGGCTAGATTGCCCTGGGCCCCTTATTTAAGCTTCACATCTTCCCAGGTCCATTGTGGGTGACCTCACCAGGCATCTATGGAGCTCCATGCCTCTTTAGAGATTAAGTTTGTATTGAATAATTTGGGAATGTCAAAATATCAGTACCACCCCCAGAGAACTATCCTTCTACCAATGCTATAAAATCAAAAAACTCTCCATGAGCCTGAATAATAAAACATGACATTTTAATGGGTATATGAAAAGGACAGATGCTTTTATTCTATTACAATAGCTGTAATTTTAATGAGTTTTTCACAATTTGCTTTATTCAAGTGAGGGTTTTTATAAGATCATCCCAATTCCTATTCTCTTGTTTGATGTCAACCAATGTGATTTACTCTTTTCTAACTATAAATGAATCCTACTATTGTATTTACATAAATGTCTTTAACATCATTGTTCTTTCTTTTTAACCTGATATAGTTCCCATTCTGAACTCTATCTTAAGGAAATTATTTTCATCCCTTCATGAAATGTGAAAGAAAGCTGATCTTCTCTTGCCCACTGTCTTCTTTTTCCAAGGAAGAGAATGGAACATGAGAGAATGAATGGGGCCTTGCAGTAATAACCACAGATCTCAGTTTCTATTCTGATATGATTAGTTACTGTAGGAAAAACACCTCATTTCTCAGTTATCCAGAAGACATTCAGGGGACATACAATTTTTGTACTTAAGCATATTAAGGAAACTGCACAGAACAGACTCAATTGTGGTGAATGTTAAGGTGTGTATCCCAATGACAGCTGTCTTTAATAATTAACATATTGCTCAAAGGATTAAGCAATTGGCATCTTAGTGGGTCATTGATGGAACCAGGGCAGAGTTTTGGCTCTCTCTGATGTGTTGTATAAAGTAAGTTACCAGGCTTTATGTTGATGAGTCCTTCTGCTGTCACAGCTTTTGTGACACTGTTTCAGGCATGGTACTACAGTAATGAACATGGCAGATCACACCCCTTCCCCCAGGGAGCCCACATCCCAGACAGGGGGACAGACAGACAACAAACAAAAATGCCAGATAGTGCCAAGTAATATAAAAACTAAGACAGGGGAAAGGAATAGACAGCGGCAGGATGGTTTTTTCAGATCGACGTTCTGAAGAAGTCTTTCTGCAGAGGTAAGAAGTGGGCAGGGGGACCTGAGTGAAACAAGAGAGCCAGAAAAGAGGACCTGGTGGGGAGAAATGCAGCCCAGGCAGACAGGAGAGGCGAAAGTTTGGAGTGGCTTGCCAGGACCGAGTGAAGGAGGTGGAGAGAGGAAAGAATGAGTGGGAAAATAGCCAGGAGTCAGATTATATAGGACTTTGTAGGCCCTTATACAGATTTTGGCTTTTATTCTGCATATCATGGGAAGCCTCCGGGAGTTTTAAGCAGGGAAAGGAGTGATTTTGTGAGTCTTTGAAACCATCCTTCTGGCTGCAGCACACACAGGTGACTGGGAGGTGACTGGGGGACAGGTGGAGTTCTGTGTTGCCCAGTGGTCCAGACTAGAGATGAGTGTGGCTTGGACTTCCTAGGGTGGGGCCATGGAGGTGATGAAATGTCATCAGATTTAGGGTGGTTGTGATGGTAAAGAGCCGGCACAATTTGCTGATGAGTTGGAGAAGGACACGTGGATGACTCGTGGGGGATGGTATGTCATTCAGCTCAGGAGGCCTAGAAGAGAGCAACAAGAAAGGCAGAGCTGAGTCAAGACACCCAGGGGACAAAGCAGGAGCTTTCAACTCTTTCATGGTCATGAGGAGCTTTCCTCAGTCATCCCAGGTGCAAGGGGCCACATGAAGCTTTTCAGTGAACTTTCTATCAGGTATCCAAGTTGCTTCGCATGCGAGAACCCACACTAGAACTTGGAACAAGAACGAACAGTAGATGATACAGACAGAAATAGAGATGGAGACAGAAATGGAGTCAGAGACAGAGATGGAGATGAGAGTGGAGGTGTAGATGGAGTTAGGGATGGAGAGAGAGAATGGAGATGCCAATTAACAAGGACCAAGAATAATGCAGACTCCAAGACCAAAGTATTTGATGTCCACCTACATAAATGTGAATAATGACAATTTTCCCCATGCCTTTATACTAAATCTTTCAGCGTAAAGCAGAATGCCATAGTCATTAAGTGTTCCGTCTCCAGAGGCAAACCAGCCTGTATTAAAGCCCAGGTTCCAGGGCAATGTCTATAAGCCTAGTGTCTTCACCTCTGACAATAACACTGCCTGCAGAGATCTGTAAAGCATGGGCATCCTAAAGAGTAAAGAATCAGTAAATGTGAACCACTGCTGAGACAGAGGTAAACTCCTTATACAAGACTGTGTTTTAACAGCAATGTGTTAACATCCCTCGACTGTCAGACAAGTTCCTTGACTCAAGCTTGTCAATGATGTCGATAAGCAAGGAATTAGAAAGAGGAGATGAAATGTAAAGTAGATAATTTCAAAGAGGCTCAGAGGAAACTGCATTTAAATATCTGCATTCAAGTACTAGACAAAGCAAATGAGGTTAGGGGAACTGGGCTTTTGAGGAAATATTTTTGCCCTGACTGCAGCCCAAGGGTGCTTCAGCTTTTGAGTGTGGGAGAAAATGAAACTATTTTCTATATTAAAAATTCACATAGTCATCCATTTGGCCTATATGACCTTGGCCTACATGACCTCTATCCCAGTTTACAGCTCCGGGCACTAAGAACCCATTTCTTACCTTTTATCTGAATTACCGAAACTTGGATTGAGAAGACAAAATAAGATCTGAGTGATTTCTGACCACTTTTATGTGGTAACGGCATGGGAAGAAAAACACATTCCAGGACCACTCGGGTTAGCAGAACTGCTCCATCTTCCTTCTGATCTAGGGGACGAGAAACCCATCCCAAGACAGGGAAGATGCCGAATGCTACTTAAAAGCATGAAGGCTATGGGCAGTGAGGTGTAATGGAAAAGGGAACATGAAAAGCAATGAACAATTAGGATTATTAGAAATATTACCATCCCACAGAGTGGTCTCTGAGTGGAGATGGGTTCAAATGCCAGAGACAAAAACAGCCAAGCAGCCCCAGATAATTGAATATTTGCCCCCAAAGTAACCTGATGGGAAAGACATTTTCCAGAGGAAGAATGGGCTCCACAGAGCGCTGGCCCCTGTGAACCCTGTCCGGTATCAGCTGGCTGCCAGCCTCTGGGCTGGGGGCTGCAAATTCAGACATGATTAAGGCAAAACTCCACATGCAAGGAATTCAGTCTTGTAAAAATTGAGACTGTTAGGTAAGGAAGAAACAGGTACCTATTATTAGGAGGTTCGAGTCTGTTTTGATGCGGTATCCAACAAGCAAGGATCTGTTCAGCTTTTGCCCCTTATATCCATACTCTAATAGTGCTATCTCAAGCAGGAAGGTGTTAAACCATTTATCCAATAAAGAATTTCTATTTTTAACATTTCTCCAGTCACAAACACTCTCTACATTTATGTGCACGGGTGCACACTCCCCTGTGACGTTAGCTAACATTTGTTGAGTACTTGGTGTATGTCAGCACATTTCTAAGTGTTTTACCTGTACTGACTCACTGAAGCTCCCAAGAAACCTGTGAGTTGGTACTACTGGTATCATCAACCTCATTTTACAACTGAGGCACAAACAGATTAAGTAATTTACCCATGGTTACATAACCGGCGAGTGGTGGAGGCAGGCTTGAAATCCAGACCATCTGGTTCCAGGGTCTTTTTGCTTAACCTCTTTGCTGAACCTCACGAGGCGCACGTGTGCACATGCACACACACATACACACATGCACGTACTCAGAGTCACTCAGAGTAAGAGGTACAGGGAGACAGGTTGGCCCAGATGAAGCTCAAAGAGAAGTTGAGGCTGTTCCAGCTGCCTTCTTAAGCTATACCTTAAGCTTAAGGTGGGAGAAGTCATGTTTTAAGAAATCTCCAAGGATTATCTTTAATGTCTCCATTCTTGTGTCTAATAAGCACCTCTGACTTAATAGGTCCCAGAGTGTTTGATTCCAAGCCACACCCCCAATCCAAACCTGCATCTCTTCCCCACATCAGCTCATTACACTATTGGCCAACTAATTGCTCAGACCAGTATCCCGGAGTCATCTTTGGTTCTTCTCTTTTTCCCTGGCCCAGTCCACCAGTAACTTGTCATTTCTGCCTCCAAATCTGATTCAGTGTATTCCAAATCTGACCATTTCTCTGGTCACTGCTGCTGACCTCCTTCATTCAAGGTGCCACCATCTCTTTTCTAGAAGTTGGCGACAGCTCCTAGCTAGTCTGTTGGCTTCCAGTTTGTTCACAGGATCCATTCTCCACACCCTCTTCCAAAGTCATCCTTTCAAAATACTTCTTGGATTATATCAGTCCCCTTTTCAGACTGACAGGTGGCTTCCCATTGTAGTCAGCACAACCCACTTCATACGATGGTCTACAACAACCACTCCAAATGATGGTCTACAGCAACCCACTGCACATGATGGTCTCCAACAACCCACTGCACGTGATGGTCTACAACAACCCACTCAAATGATGGTCTCCAACAACCCACTCAAATGATGATCTACAACAACCCACTCCTTATGATGGTCTACAAAAACCCACTCAGGTGATGGTCTACAACAACCCACTCAGATGATGGTCTACAACAACCCACTCCCTATGATGGTCTACAAAAACCCACTCAGGTGATGGTCTACAACAACCCACTCCTTATGATGGTCTACAAAAACCCACTCGGATGATGGTCTACAACAACCCCCTCAGATGATGGTCTATGACAACCCACTCCCTATGATGATCTCCAACAACGCACTTCAAATGATGTTCTGCAACAACCCACTCCCTATGGTGGTTTACAACAACCCACTCAAATGACGGTCTACAGCAACCCACTCCTTATGATGGTCTAAAACAACCTACTCCAAATGATGATCTAGAGTAACCCACTCCCTATGATGTTCTACAACAGCCCACTCCCTATGATGATCTACAACAATCCACTCCAAATGATGATCTACAACAACCTATGACCCTGTCTAAAACAACCTATGACCTTGTCTCCCTATGCTCTCTCCCTTGATTCCTTCTTGGGCTCTTAGTGCTTTCATTTTATATCACAACTCCTTCCCCCAGATCTTCTAGTACCTGGCTGCCTAAAAATGTATAAGGCAGAGGTTAAGAGCTCAGGCTTCAAAAGAGGACTGCCTGGGTGAAAATTCCAAATTCACCATTTTACCTGTGTAATCTTGAGCAACTTTTGTAACTTCTCTGAGCTTATTTCTTCATCTAGAAAACAATGAAAATAATAATAGTATCTACCCAGAGTTCTTGTGAAAACTAAATGAGTCAACCCCATGTAAAGCACACAAAGCAATATTTTTCTTAAGAACTGTTCACCATTGTGATTATAACTATTAATATTATCAATATGATTATTAACAGCAAATAAATTATGATTTGAGTTTGGACTTTGAAGAGTCAGACCGCTGCTCATCATTGGCTATGTGAACTTGGTAACCTCTCTGTGCAAATAGAAAATAGAGTTTTCTTCTTTGTTAAGTAGCAATTTGGCAAATGTAAATGTAACAAATGGAAATTTACATCATCCTCAGAGATATTTAATTAGTTAATACAAATAAAGCACTCAAAATAGTGCGTGGCACACAGCAAGCATTCTGAAGTGCTCATCTTTTTTTTTTTTTTTTTTTTTTTTGAGACGGAGTTTCGTTCTTGTTGCCCAGGCTGGAGTGCAATGGCGTGATCTCGGCTCACCGCAACCTCCTCCTCCCGGGTTCAAGGGATTCTCCTGCCTCAGCCCCCCGAGTAGCTGAGATTACAGGCATGTGCCACCACACCTGGTTACTTTATTGTATTTTTGGTAGAGACGGGGTTTCTCCATGTTGGCCAGGTTGGTCTTGAAATCCTGACCTCAGGTGATCCGCCTGCCTTGGCCTCCCAAAGTGCTGGGATTACAGGCATGAACCACTGCGCCCGCCCCATCATCATCATTATTATATTCTGATTATTATTATCTTCTTCCAGGTGTCTGTTCAGCCATTCTATCATCCAGAGGCCCTTGCTCATCCCCCACCCTAGCCACTCTGTCATATCAGCTTGCCTTGTTTTTCATTATTGCATTGAGCACTACTTGACATTAGTATCTTCAGTGCAGTGTTACACATCATTGATGGTCTCTCTCCCCTTCTAGCCTTTTCACCAGTGTGTCCCCAGTGCCAGAAGCAGAGACTGGAACATGGTGGGACTCAATAAAAGTCAGATGAACAAGCGTCACATTTTTCATGTGTGGAAAGGCTCTGTTTGCATGAGGACTCTGTTCCCTGGGATTGTTGTTCTGCTATGCAAGTTCATGGCCAACCATCATTGCACATCAAACCTTAATGGAAGGTCTCAGTGATTTTTCCCTAAGTGCATTTTGCTGTTCTCAAGTTGCTGCTGCTCAAGCAGCTGTCTGCATAGAGCATGGACCTCAATGGCAATTCTCCCTTGGCTCATGTGCTCAGACACACCCTCTCATATTTACCTTCTCCTTTTACTCATTGATTTATTCTTTAGTTTATTACTCAATTCATTCATTAACCTAGCAGTGATTTAGTGCCAACTATGTACGGGCCTAATGCAGAGCACTGAAGTTATAAAGATTCATACGAATCGGTGCCTACTTGAAAGGAGTTACAATATAGCCAAGGAGGAAGATACAGAAATGGAGAATTAAAACGCAGTGGGTTTACTGATGGATGTAGGCATTGTTTCTATAGGAGTCCCCAAAAGGGACAGCAACATGGCCCAGGGGAATGAGAAAAGACTGCCCCTCCACCATGTTCCTGAAGGAGCATGAACCAAAACACAGGGTGAGGATCAGCAAATCGATGGGTGTGGCTAGAGCTTGGAGTAAAGGGTGGGGTGTATGTGGAGGACAGGAGATTGAGTAGGTGGGCAGGGGGACTTCTATGGCCTGGTAGAGGACTTTGGAACTTATCTTGCAAGCAACACGTAAGTACTGAACAGGCTTATCACAAGATCAATGCCAGATTTGGGATTTAGGAGATCGCCCCGTGTCTCTCTGGTGGTCAAGTCAAGAATGGAAACAAAGGAACAATATGGTCCCAACAAGAGGTGAGGAGAGTGATAATGATGATGGAGAGAAGGGATGATTTTTTTAAACATTAGGAGGCCTGGATGATTGATTGACATAGGATATGAAAGAAAAGGAAGAATTAGCCAAGCTTTCTAGTTCTGTCTTGGGAGACTGGTTGCAATTCCTTCTGACTCACTATCACTGCGCTCACTGTAATTGCAGTAGAAACTCTTACCAACACCATCAGAACCAGTAGTCAGTTTCTTTGAGGAGCATCAAAAAAGTTAGACTCTTGAGAAGGCCGGGCGCACTGACTCAAGCCTGTAATCCCAGCAATTTGGGAGACTGAGGCGGGTGGATCACAAGGTCAGGAGATTGAGACCATCCTGGCTAACATAGTGAAACCCCATCTCTACTAAAAAATACAAAAAAAAAATTAGCTGGGCATGGTGGTGGGCATCTGTAGTCCCAGCTACTCAGGAGGCTGAGGCAGGAGAATGGCGTGAACCTGGGAGGCGGAGGCGGAGCTTGCAGTGAGCAGAGATCGTGCCACTGCCCTCCAGGCTGGGAGACAGAACGAGACTCCGTCTAAAAAAAAAAACTGTAGTAGACAGAATAATGGCCCCCAAAAGACGTCTGCATCCTAATTCCTAGAACCTGTGAATATGTCAAGTCACATGGAAAGGGGAATTAAGGTTGCAGACGGCAGATGCAGACCACACTAAGGTTGCAGACGGCACTAAGGTTGCTAACCAGCAGATCTTAAAACAGGGAGATTATTTTGGACTATCTGGGTAGGTCCAGTGGCATCACAATGCAAAAGGGAGACAGGAGACTCAGTATCAGAGAAAGAAATGGAAGCAGAATCAGACAGATGCAACACGGCTGGCTTTGAGGACAGAGGAAGAGGCCATAAGCCAAGGAATATGGGCAGCCTCTAGATGTTGGAAAAAGCAAGGAAATTGATTTCCCCTTAGAGCCTGCAGAAGGAACGCAGCCCCGCCAACACCTTGATTTTAGCCCAATGAGACCTGTGCTGAACTCCTGAAGTACAGAATTGGAAGATAAGAAGTTTGTGTTAAATCAGTTTTATGATTATGGGGGACTTTATTTTACCATTTATGAAGCAATTTCACATATGCTAGCTAACTTGGTTCTGCAATGCTGTGAGGCAGGTTTTATGGCCCCCATTTTATAAATGAAGAAATTAAGGCTCAGAGAAATTAAGGTACTTGCTCAAAACCTCTCATCAATGATGTGCTGGAGCAGGGATTAAGTTCTGGTCCTGTGTAGGGCCCTTCCTCTGCCCTACGTTGCCTCTCCTATCTTGAGTGATGTTCTCACACTGAAAGCCACCTCTACGGATCAAAACGTGGACAAATGCAAGATGAGAATTTTCTTTTATTTGAATTCTGAATGTAAAAAGTAAGGAAATGGATAGCCGCTTCATTAATGGCAAGAATATTTATTTAAATGTTCTCAAAACCCTTGTCTTTCTCCCTCCATTCTTTCTTCCTTTCTTCCTTACTTCCTTTCGTCTTTCCTTCCTGATGTTAGGCACAGTGGAAGTTACAACAATAAATGAAACTACTCTTCCCTCAGAGGGTATAAAAGATAGTATTTGACCACAAATAGGCATGTTGTAAGTAGACTGTCACAAAGGCCAAGGAATCCAAGCACCTAGAGCACAAAATACAGTAGAAGAAAGCTTTGAGCTTTGTTTTGAACATATCATCTTTGATCAATCACAGACTGTGGATTAAGGATTAGCCCCAATTTATACATCTTTAGCCCTTACACATACACAAAAGTTACAACTCTTATGACAACCAAGACTGGACACACATCAGCATGGAGTCCTGGGAACCGTGGCTGCATTCGTGTGTGTTTTTACTTTTGTTGCCTTGGGTACCTTTTGCTTAATCCTGGAATAGGATGCATAATCCAGGCTCTAATATATTCATTACTTTCTTGTTCAGTTTCCCATAAGCTATAAACAAATGGAAAATTAGTTCCCGTGTAATGCTGTATCTCAGGAGTAAACAACCTGTGTCTCTGGGGCCCAACAGCCTTGGAGATGGGTATAATCTGCAATATCCCCATGCCTCCCATGGTTCCTGATACAGCCAGTGCCCAGTAAATATTGGTGGATTGATGAGTAGCACAGCACCAGGGTTACTTCACCGGCCACGCGGCAGATGGTGACGTGGACCTAAAATCAAATACAGATTTTCTGCCTGTGCTGCCACCATCCTAGATCTTGGGCTCCTTTCTTGCCCTCTTTTGAAGGTAAGAAATCTCCTTTATTGGGAGACTCTTGTCTGAAAACAACTCTATTTCTAGGATCAAGTAACAGAAAGTCATTAAATCTGGACACACAACAGGTCCCGTCCTTTTCATGCTGCAGAGATGAAACAGAAATGTGTAGGAGGACTTTTCTTCACAACAGGCTACCTTCTCTTTCAGTAATGTGAAAAGATTTTGTAATTCTAGTGTAACCACTGAGTCCCACCACGGATACTCAGACTTGGAAGTTGCTAGATCTTCGCCCCACTCTGTAGCACATCTGTTGTGTTTAAGGAGTCGGAGAAATTTTATTCACCAGCTCCCCTTTTAAAGAGAACAGTGTACCAGTTTGCAAGTAAACAAAAACCTAACCCAACCCAAGTTTGCTTAAGTAAATAAGGGATTTATCGGTTCAGGAAGTTTAAAATAGTAGGGGCATATTGTATTCAGCAGCAGCTTGATCAAGGGCTCAGGTGACACCACCAAGACTTGGCTTCTGTCTCTGTGCTTCTTGGTTTCAGCCTTCTCCCTCTGGACTTTACTCTCAAACATAAGGATCTTGCCTCCACTCATGGTTGCAAGATGGTCACAGCAGCCAGAACTACCATCATCTCACATGCAACAAAAATGGGGAAAAGATTGTCCACTTTTCAGACGGTACAAACAAAAGTCTTGGAATTGAATCTTGAGGTTTCCAATTGGCCTGAGATCACAGGTCTACTCTAAGCAGTTGCTGTTATAATGGCATGTAACTCAATGACCACAGGACCACTCCAGAGGTGCTGCAGAGCAGGGATCACAAACTGAGAGCCAGTGCACTGAATCCAACCCAAAGATGTGCTTTGCTAAGCCAGCATGGTGTTTTGAGATTTTTTATTTAAACACCTTTGGCTGATGTCTCCACTCTTCAGTTTCTTGAAGACCCTCCTACTCCATGCTCAGCCTAATTTACACATTGATATTACTGCCTGGTTCGGGAAAGTATTTAATTTTGCACACTATTACAGATATAACTTAAGAATTCTGTGCAGCTGAACTAAATGATCTTTGGGGATCAATTACCTCTGTGTTGCCAGTATCTAGCATAGTACCTGCACACACAGAGCTCATGCAAAGGTGCTTATAGAATTATACTCATTAATCTACTGATCACGGCGTCAGGTGCAATGACTCACACCCGTCATCCCAGCTACTCAGGAGGCTGAGGTGAGAGGATCACTTGAGCCCAGGCTGTAGTGGGCTGTAATCACACCACTGCACTCCAGCCTGGAAGACAGAGAAAAACCCCGCCTCCAAAAAAAAACTCTCTGTCAGAGATTCTATGGGACTGGAGGATTGGTTCCAGCTTAATCAAACATCAACCATAGGACTTGGGCAAATCTCTGTGCCTCAGAAGGACCCAGTGAAAATAAAAAGGATCATGTGCCCATGCAAGTGCCTGAAGGCTGTATCTGTAAGAGGGCAGGCTGGACTCTGACAAACAACCCTTATCTCTGAGAATTAATGCAAAAACAGTCTATTTCTTGCTCATGCCCAGTTGAATGTGGGCGTTCAGCAGGCAGCTATTCACTTGGGATTCAAGGGCCCAGTCTGCTCCATGCTGTATTTCTGGTATCCCCTGGACCTTAGAAACCCCTGTGAGATCATCTGTTGAGTCCAGCAGAGAAGGGAAAAGAGTGAGAGGCTGAGAGCTGGGGCTGGAAGTGACAGCTGTTACTTCCAACTACATTGCACTGGCCAGAACTCAGCCCCGTGGCCACACCTACCTTGAAGAGTGACTGGGAAATATCTGGCTGTGTGACCAGGAAGAAAAGAAAATGAGGTTCACGAACAACGACCCAGTCTCTACCTGAAGCTATAAGACAAAGGAAGGGCTTTATTCACCTTTGATTACAGCCTCCACACCTTTATTCTGGGGGGCTTGATATGACATTTAATGCGCTTCATGGAAAAATCAAAATAAGGAAAATTTCCCTTTTTCATTCTAAGATACAAAGAGTTCAGTTTTTCAGGCCAATCATGAAGAAAAAGAAGGGAAAGAAGAGAAGAAGAGAAGGAAAAGGAAAGGCCATGAGAAAAAGAAGTAGAAGTGAGTTTGTTCCACAACCACGTGTTTTCTGGAATTCTTGTTTACATTTGTATTAGCCAAATCTCCAGGCTAAAGTTATAATATTGGATGTTGCTTATGACGTGTCTTTAATTATAAGGAATCATTTTTACTTACAGGAAATAGAAGGCCGGGCACAGTGGCTCATGCCTGTAATCCCAGCACTTTGGGAAGCCGGGGCAGGTGGATCACCTGAGGTCAGGAGTTCAAGACCAGCCTGGCCAACATGGTGAAACCCCGTCTCTACTAAAAATACAAAAAATTAGCCAGACATGGTGGTGCACACCTGTAACTCCAGCTACTTGGGAGGTTGAGGCAAGAAAATTGCTTGAACCCGGAAGGCAGAGGTTGCAGTGAGCTGAGATCTTTCCACGGCACGCTAGCCTGGGGAACAGAGTGAAACTCCATCTCAAAAAAAAATAAAAATAAAAAATAATATAATAATAATAATAAAGTAGAACTTGCCAATGTACAACATTTAACAGAAAATAGGCAATTTGTATATTCCAAAATGCATTGAAAGAAAACACTATATGAATTAGTTCTTCATTGGTATGTGTAATGTTCAAAGCTTCCATACTCTCCCGATGATTTCCTAAGCTTTCCAGAGAGCTTTCCTTCTTTACTACTCTCCCCATACAACACATATGAACCAAAGGGCACACACACACCTTGGAGCCAGCTCTCTTCTCTTATCAACTTAGATTGTTCCAATTAATTTTCAAATGCTGTTAGTAATTGTACCAAAAGCTCTAGACTTCAGTTCACTTAATTCTCTAAATCACCCTATAGAGTTAGTATCATTATTCTGTTTCACAGATGAGGAAACTGAGGCTCAAAAATATAAAGTAACTTGCCCAAGTTTCAGCTTGCTAGCAAGTGTCAGAGCCAAAAATGGTGCCACAGTTTATCTGACACTCCACAACCCATGCTCTTAGTAACAAAAGTCAAGTTCCTGATTAGGACCAGGGGATGGCAGTGGCTGCTGTCATTGATGATTTGTTTATTCCTGTCATTTGTCTGAATGATTGTTTTGGGGAAGTGAATTCAGAATACTAGCTGAAATCTCCGTCCTTGCTTACAGAGTTCATTTCCTTGTGGCATCATATGTCTACAGTGTACCCAATGGCACCGTAGGTGGTTTTGGCTGTAAACTCACTCTCCTGCCAATCTGGACCCAGCTTCTGCTCCTGCAAGCTTCAGAAGCAAGGACATTCTGCTGAGGCTCTGTGGAAGCCACGTTCAGAACAGGAGGCAGCTGAAGTGTCCCTATGAGTGTTCCTGGTCATCCCAATCTTCTTCTTTGGTGTCACCATTTAAGGTTATAAAGTCAGGCAGAACCAGAAGATATAAAAGAAGCACTGAATCCCAAGCTTCTCAGATGCCCATATTGACAGAGAAGTTCTTCCACTGAAAGCAGTTAAAAGCAATTATTGAAAGCAATTTAAATTCTAAATACACTGAATTTTAGAGAAAAAAAAAACCTGCAATGAAACGTCACTGTTATGAAAAATATATGAGGTGGCTTCCAGTAATTATAGATCAGTGTGGATATGTTTCTTTCATCAGCCATTAATTTATATCAATTATTTATCGAGTCCTGTGATGTTGTGTGCTTAAAACCACTTAGGACTGGGTGCTCAAATGTGTTCTTTAAAGGGACAGATTATAGATTCCATTTCAAGATTTTTTTTTCTCCTGTGACTTACATGGAAAGAAAGAATAAGCAGTTGAGATCAAAATCAATCCAATCCTTAAAATGAAGCAATTTCCCCCACCCTTAAAGTTATGGTGAGAATTTTTACAACTTTCTTTTTCGCCAGTAGCTTCTCCAGTTCCATAGATGATGCTATTCTTAAGAACATTCTTGATGGTTGAAAATGATAGATACTTAGGAATTGTCCTGACTCAGATATCTGCATATTCCTGATTAGACGACCTCCTGGGTGTCCTAGCCATACCCACAATTATAAGATCAGACCCTTTCCAGGTTTCTTCATGACATCTGGTCACAAAAGCATGTGGAGGGTCTTCAGTTTCTAGGCAACATGAACTCAACACTCAGATCCAGCTGGTGACAGCTAACATACCGCTGTTTTATTCTCTTTTTACTTGTGTGCAGTTTTCTGTTCTTGAGTCTTTAATGAAAACAAAGGTGACTGCTCTACACAGAATGAAAACTTCCTAAGTGTCAAGGAAGAAGAACTGTAAAAAAATGATGAAGATGGCTCAATGACAGAAGTAGTAGCCTTAGCAACATTAGCAAAAATTGCTTTAACTTCAAGATGAGCTAAATTGCATGGACCCACTAATTGGGAAAACTATTTGCCAGGCTGGCTCAGAATGCTCAATTCCAACCCACCTGGCACACTCCCTTCAGCCTGCCTGGTGGAATCCAAGTGAGAATGATGGTGGCTCAGCCAAGGATGGAAAGGACAGGTGGTGAGAAGTGGTTCTTGTAACCAAATCTCTGTTCACATCTTTTATTACTTCCTGTTATGCATTGAATTCTGTCTCCCAAAACCCACATGTTAAAGTCTTAACCCCTAGTACCTTAGAATGTGATCTTATTTGGAAATAAGGTTGTTGCAGATGTAATTAGTTAAAATTGGGGTACACTAGAGTAAGGTGGGCCCTGATCCAATATGACTGGTAAACTTACAAAAAGGGGAAATTTGGAGACAGACAAATACACAGGGAAAACGTCTTGCACAGATGAAGGCAGAGATTAAATGATGCTTCTACAAGCCATGGAACACCAAAGACTGTGAGCAAACCACCAGAAGCTAAGGGAGAGGCAGGGGAATGGATTCATCCTCAAAGCCCACAAAAGGAACCGACTCTATTGACATCTTGATCTTGGACTTCTGGCCTCCAGAACTAAAGGCCAGTAAATTTCTGTTGTTTAAGCCACCACATTTGTGGTGTTTTGTTACAGCAGTTCTAGCAAACTAATACAGCCCCTAAGGTAAAATCCTGCAAGTAAAATTTCTACTTCAAAGGGAAACATGTACTAAACCTTTTGATACATATTTCCATCCACCAGGGTTGTACCTGTCTACATTCCCAGTAGCAGTATATACAAGTATTCATTTCATCATACTCTTACTAACACAAGAATTCAGGATTTGTTTCATAACATTTCATAGTTTAATAAGTGAAACTATCTATTTTCTTATATTTTAATGTTCATTATTTGATAATTAACACCTGGACATATTTATATGTTTATTGATTCTTTTGTGAATTGCCTGGTCTCCTCCTGTGCCCCTTTCTCTGCTGGCAAGCTTGCCTATCATTATTGATTCATAAAAATTCTTTATATATTAAAGCTACAAACCTCTTCACGAAGAGACACAGATACACATACACACACAAAGTAAACACTTTATCTATTCAAGTTTTCATTTGCCTTTTATTTTTGATTGTCTATATCTGTGCTAAGACAGCACCTCTAGCCACATGTGGCTACTGAGACTTGAAATATGGCTGATCTTACTTGAGATGAGCAGTAATAAATAAAATGCACATGAGATTCCAAAGACTTAGCATGAGAACAAAGAATGTAAAACATCCCATTAATAATTGTTAGTATTGATTTTATGTTGAAATGATAATGTTTTTGATGCATTTAATTAAATAAAACATTGCTGAAATTGATTTCATGAATTATAATTTTCAGTTTTTTAATGCATTTATAAAAATGTAATTACATATGTGGCTCCCATTTATTTCACACATCATATTTCTATTAAACAGTACTTTTCTGTATTATAAAATTATAATGTTTTGTATGTGTAAGTTCTCAATTTCTTTTAGTAAAGTAAAATCTATCTAATGTTTTCTTTATACTTTTGGCCTTCAGTGTCAGGCTTAGAAAGTGTTTCACACCCCAAAATTATATTAATGGTCACCTATAATTTGTCCTAATACATTTTACATTCACAAATTAATTATCTACTTAATTTGAAATTTATCTTTTGCTTATAATGAGAGATTGGAATCTACTTCACTTTTTTTCTAGTTATATTGCTTTGTTTTTGAAACTTGGTCTATTCATTTTCTAGTCATTACAGCTTCGTAAAGTATTTTGACATCTCATAGGACAAATATCTCACATTGTTCTTCTCTTTCAAAAATTTACCGCCTAATTTCATATATTTATACTTCCAGATGCACTTTAGAATTCCTTTTTTTAAGTTTTTTTAATTTCAGTAGGTTTTTGGGGAACTGGTGGTGTTTGATTACATGAATAAGTTTTTTGTGTGTGGTTTTTTTTCTTTTCTTTCCTTTTTTTTTTTGAGACACAGTCTCTCACTGTCACCCAGGCTGGAGTGCAATGGCGCGATCTCGGCTCACTGCAACCTCTGCCTCCTGGGTTAAAGCGGTTCTCCTGCCTCAGCCTCCCAAGTAGCTAGGACTATAGGCACCGGCCACCAGGCCCGGCTAATTTTTTTATTTTTAGTAAAGATGGGGTTTCACAATGTCGGCCAGGAGTTAATAAGTTCTTTAGTGGTGATTTCTGAGATTTTGGTGCACCCATCACTGGAGCAATGTACACTCTACCCAGTGTATAGTCTTTTATCCCTCACCCCACTCCCACACTTTGCCCCGAGTCCCCAAAGTCCATTATATCATTCTTATGCCTTTGTCCTCATAGCTTAGCTGCTGGTCCTCACAGCTTAGCTCCCACTTATGAGTGAGAACGTACAATGTTTGGTTTTCCTTTCCTGAGTTACTTCACTTAGAATCACTCCTACTGATGAGTGGGAGGGATTACTTCACTTACTCTCACTCCCACTTGTGAGTGAGAACATACAATGTTTGGTTTTCCATTCCTGAGTTACTTCACTTAGAATAATGGTCTCCAAATCCATCCAGGTTGCTGTGAATGCCATTATTTTGTCCTCTTTTATGGCTGAGTGATATTCCATTACATATATATGTGTGTATATATATATATATGTATATATACATATATATATACACACACACACATACACACACACACACACCAAATTATGGTGTGATTATGGTGTGTGTGTGTGTATATATATATATATATATATATATATACACAATTTGTATATATATATATATATACACACATATAAATATATATATATATATATATATATATATATATATATAACCACAACTTCTTTATCCACTCGTTGATTGATGGATGGGCATTTGGGCTGGTTCCATATTTTTGCAATTGCGAATTGTGCTGCTATAAACATGTGTGTGCTAGTATCTTTTTCATATAATGATGTCTTTTCCCCGGGGTAGATACCTAATAGTGGGATTGCTAGTGGGATGGATGCTGCCATTTGGTAGTTCTACTTCTAGTTCTTCAAGGAATCTCCACACTGTTTTCCATAGTGGTTGTACTAGTTTACATTCCCACCAACAGTGTAAAAGTGCTCGCTTTTCACCACATCCACACTAACATTTTTTATTTTTTTATCTTTTCATTATGGCCATTCTTGCAGGAATAAGGTGTAAATGAAAAAAAATCTGTTAGAAAATGTATTTGGATTATGTTAAATGTAGAAACTGTTCAGGATGTTTGCAGCTGTTTTAATAACGGAGAAGAAGGACAACAGTATCCCAGGGTTGGGACATGTTATGTAACAATGGGGATCAGTTATGTAAGTATTGGCACGTCCCAGGTGGATGCTCTATGAGGATGTGTATATATTTATTTGACCTGGAAAATGCCCAGATATTTGATTAAATGAAAAATATAAGTTCTGACACATGAAGTTTAGCATTATTCCCTTAATGTAAACTTGTGAACATAGATCTATGTGTGTTATTTCCAGACAGACTTACCCCGAAGGGTATAGTCATTTCTAAGTGGTACAATTCATATTGTCATTTCATTTTTCTTTGCATTTTTTCTACATTACTTGACTGATTTTTTACAATTAGTGACTCAGTTATTAAAAACCAAAGGCTATAGTTAAATATTTCATTGCCCAATTAATTCGGTAATCTTGAATTAGCCTTTTTGCAATACTATATTTTGTCTTGCCATTCAGAAACATGATATAGCTCTCTATTTTTCAAATCTTTTTCTTCCCCAAGAAAAAAGTTTGTAGTTACAATTATATACGCTGTCTATATTTCTTCTTATTTGTATTCCTATGTTTCTATTTTTCCACTGCTTATTATAGTCACTTTTGATAGGTGGGAATACTAGAAGGTTTGATTTATATATTTAATTTTTTCAATTCAGCCACCTAATAAAATTCCTTTATTAATTATAAATGTTTCTCAGTTGATTTATTCTCTTGAGTTTTCTCAGTAGACAATCTGCAGATCCTCTGTGTATTCTTTCTGAAGTTTAAACTCTTTTCTTCTTAGACACTTAGGACACTGGGCCGCTCTGAGGATAATGTCGAGTTAGAGTGTTATTAAGATACATCCTTGTCTCGTTCCCTAAATAGAAAGGCCCCTTTTATTTTGTCATCACAACTGACTGCTCTGGGCTCCTGCTGGAGCACGCTGCCTTGGTGTCGTGGGTGTGCAGCAGGCCCAGTGCACTGTCCCCCCCCACCCACTGCTGGCTGCTTGGCTGTAGATAGGGATAAGTTGAAACACCCCTAAGGTAACTTTGTGTGTGTATGTGTGTTTGTGTCTCTTTGTGAAAAGGGTTTTCAGCTTTAATATATAAAGAATTTTTATGAATCAGTAATGATAGGCAAGCTGGCCAGTGGAGAAATGGACAAAGGAGGAGACCAGAGACGTATCCCTATCTACAGTCAAGCAGCAAGCTGTGGGTGGGAGCAGATGCTGTGGGGAACGTGTGTTATTTTGTTTCTGAAGTCTCTGTATCATCCCCAAGTGGGGTGCAGGAAGCGATGCTAACTCCTAAGGAGGAATGGGCTATTGCTGAAGGTTCTGGGAACCCCAGGTTGCTGGAGATACCAATCTAGCCATCCTCATCTCATGTGTCAGAGTCCCATTCTTTCCCAATAAATACCCTGAACTTGGCATAAAAGATCTGCTTTGTTTGGAATCCTTCTTCTCAGGAGCTCAGCCATGCTGAGCATTCGGTCCTGGGCCTGTCCTCAGGCCTCTCTGCCTTCCTCCTGCAGAAGATGAAGCTCTTTCCATGCTTTCTATGCTCTGTCCTCATATTTTTATTTCCTATGTCCTGGAGCATCAATCAAGCTTAGCATAAGTCACCCAATTCAATTGTCCTTAGAGCTACTACTTCCCCCATATTTCACAACTGCCCGAAACATTGACCAGTTAATGCACTCCCTTCCACCGCTCTGCCATCCATCCATTCCCTACCAGACAACTGGCAACAACTGGACCTCCACTTCATGCCTGGTTCAGGACAGGGTCCTCACTGCCAGCCAGGACATAGGTGATTCAGCTTCAAAACCCCATCTTATCATCTGTGCAGTGAGTTGAATGGTAGCCCCCCCCGCCAAAAGATATGTCTCCAAGAGCCTGTAAATAACCTTATTTAGAAAAATAGTCGCTGCAGGTGTAATTAAAGATCTCAAGATGAGATCTTCCTGGATTAGGGTAGGCTCTCAATCCAATTACTGGTGTCCTTATAAGAAAAGAGAAGGGGAGACGACACAGAGGAGAAGGCTATGTGAACATGGATGCAGAGATTAGAGCGATGTGTCTACAGGCAAGGGAACACCACAAATTGCCCACTGTTACCAGAAGATAGGAGACAGACATGGGACAGATTCTCCCTCAGAGTCTGCAGAAGGAGCTTACCTTGCTGACACCTTGATTATAGTCTTCTGGCCACCAGAACTGTAAGAGATCAATTTATCTTGTTTTAAGCCACGCTGTGTGTGGCAATTTGTTACAGCAGCCTGAGGAACCTAATGCAACCTCCGTTTTAGAACCACTTCCAGAACCAACTATCCAAAGATGGGTTCACTAAGGATCCAGACTCTGAGGTGAAGTTTAGAGGACAGGATATTTATGAAGGACACCCCTGGGACAAACACCTGCGGAAGCTGGAGAGGAGGGGAAGGAGAAGGGTAGGAGAAAGAAGGAGTGGGCAACAGGAAAGGCTGAGCTGCAATTCAGGTCCAACCAGAGCCTCGGTTGATCTATGGCACCCTCCAGAATTGCCCTCACTTGGACCAAGATGGACACAGTGATGAGTCATGGGTGTGAGCCACCAGAGTATGAGTGTGACCTTGGGTGAGGCAGCTTTCTGTAACCAAAGCAATCCCTGGAGGGGCAGACAGCTGATGGCAGCTGCCAACAGCACTCCCAGCAGCTGCTGCAATGGAGCCCTTCCTTGAAGAGGAATCTGAGCGGCACATTGGTGCCCAACACAGCTTCCTTGGCTCAGTACTGTTTCTGTCAGATTCATTCATGTCCTTGCAGTACCTATAGTTCAGGTGTTTGCACTGCAATAGATTTCCATTGTATGAATTTATTTAAACATATAATGTATTTAACCATTCTCCTGTTGATTAACATTTGGTTTGTGTTATGAGCTGAACTGTGTTCCTCCTCCCCCTCTAAGAAAATTTGTTTCCATTTGTACCTCAGAACATGACTGTATTTGGAGATAGGATCTTTGAAGAGGTAATTGGTTAAAATGAGGTCACTGGAGTGGGCCTTAATCCAGTATGACTGGTGTCCTTATAAGAAGGACATTAGAACACAGACACACACAGATGGAAGACCACGTGAGGACACAGGGAGAAGACGGCCATCTGCAAGCCAAGGAGAGAGGACTTGGAAGAAACCAATCCTGCTGACACCTGGATCTCAGACTTCCAGCCTCTAGGACTGTGAGATAATAAATATCTCCAGTCTGGGGTACTTTGTTATGGCGGCCCCGGCAAACTAATAAAGTCTGATTCTGGTTTGGGGCTGCTATTAACATCCTCATATGTTGATACCCATGTTAGTATCCGTGTTCAAACACTTTTCTCTGGTACATCAGAATCTCTGGGGTATATACTTCTTAAATAGGAGTAAGTGGTTGGCTAAAAGTTTGTGGCTGAGCCACTTTATTAGATATTGCTCAAGTGTTTCCAAAGTAATTGAACTAATTTACATTATCTTCAGCAGGGTATTCAAATTCCAATTGTCCCATGTCCTTGTCAATACTTGGTGTTATTACCAGACGTTCAAATTTTTGCCAACCCAAGGGCACATAATTGTTTTATGTATATTTCCCTGCCTATTAATGATGTAGAACATTTTGTCACATGTTTCTTGTTCACTTAGAGTTCCGCTGTTGAGAAGGGTGTGTTCAAATAATTGCCCCATTTTTCTTTTGTGTTATCTGTCATATTCTTATCGATTGATTCATATTGGTCTGGAAGTTGCAAACGTCTTTCCTGACTCTCTCTGTTTGTTGTTGTTGTTGTTGTTTTACCTTATGGTATCTTTAAGGATAGTTCTTAATTTTTAATGTCTCAAACTTATCAATTTCTTTTTATGGGTAATGTTTTTATGCCTGGTTTAAGAAATCCTTCTGCCCTCTACCTCCCCTGTGTCACCCAGCTTTGCTTCTCTCTGAGTAATACCCTCCTTCTCCCCTACTGCACGTGATTTTCTAGATGCCATAGAGAGAGAGACCTGGGGTCATGTGAGCCACAAACAGCTTGAAGCTTTTGTCTTTGGGGCTGGCACCTTCAGAAGAAAGAGGGCTTCTCTCTCCCAGCATCTTTACATAAAATCCCTGGAAAGAGTCTCATTGACCCATCTTAGGTCACACCCTCACCTTTGGCAGAGGAGGTGTGGCCACATAATTGAAAGCCCCATCAGAATGACATTTCTTTCTTTAAAAGGAAGGAATGCTGAGCCTGTCCCCTGGAACCAGGGGAAGCAGTCAGACATTCAAGAAACTGGAAGAAGGGCAGTGTGGCTGGGATAGTCTAGAACAGGAGTGTCCAATCTTTCAGGTTCCTTGGGCCACATTGGAAGAATTGTCTTAGGCCACATGTGAAACACACTACCACTAATGATAGCTGATGAGCTAAACAATAAACAAATAAAATTAAAAAAAAAAAAAAGAAAAAGAAGGAGAAAAGAAAATTGCAAAAAAAATCATAATATTTTAAGAAAGTTTACAAATTTGTATTGGGCCACAATCAAAGCCATTCTGGACTGCATGTGGCCCGCAGGCTGTAAGTTGGACATGCTTGGTCTAGAAAGAGAAGAGAGCGTTGCAAGATGAGACAGGATGTGAGCAGATCCACATCACACACTATCTCTGAGGCCATGTTAAAGATTTTGGATTTTTTGTCATTCAAGCAATGAGCTATACCATGTTCTGATGCTGATAATGATGGCTTGGGTCAAGGTACATCAACAGAGCCTGCCATTTGTGCATTCATATTATTGTTTGAAGTTCTGTTGTCTCTGGTTCAAATGAGATGACCCTATTTCTGAACTCCAATATCCTGAAAACTAATTATTAGGGCACCAATTATGTTTCTAGTACATGTGTAGCCCTGGGGTTACAACCATGGGGCAGAGACACGGCCCCTGTCCTTAAAGCACTCACAGTCTCATGGGAAGATAAAGTTCACACCCCTGATGCATTTAGAAAACAAATTCTTACTGAGGCTGAATCCATCCACATCCAACATTGTTACGAAATTCAAAAGCACATCATCCGTTGCTGGATAAGCAATACTGCCTGCTTCTACCTGGAGTTCTCACTTCAGCACATGTCAATAAGTAAGGCAGAAATATTCGTTATAATGTAAGATCATTAACAGGTAAACTTCCAAGATAACTTTCTGGCTTAACATACAGATTCCTCTGCTACATGTCACAAACAACTGTCTAGAACAGTACTGTCCAGTAAAAAAAATAGATAACCTTCTGGTTTAAAATGTAGATTTCTCTGTTTCCTGTTGCAAACAACAGTCTAGAATAAAGCTGTCCAGTAGAACTTTCTATAACAATGATTTGTTTCCTATCTTCTCCTTCCAATATGGTAGCCACTGGCCACATTTGGCTACTGAGCATTTGAAATGTGGCTGGTGTGACCAAGTAACTGAAATTTTAATTGTATTTAATTTTAGTTGACTTTAATTTTAATGATATCATGGCTATTGGCAATAGTATCAGACAGCTCAGGTCTAGAACATGGCTGAGAACCTAGGAGGAGGCAAAAGTGATCTCTCAGTAGCCTAAATGAGAATTGCAATATGTACATATAGAACCCACCTTACTCCTGAAAAAAAACCCTCAGCTTTCATGGAGATTGTAAAGACACTATGTGTGATTATTTTTTACACACTTCTAACAAATATTGTTATATGGTTTCCAGCTCACCAAAAAAAAGTTGCAAATTAAAATTTTGAGGTGGAAGTCAGCATGTTGACAATAAGAAGAAGTGAAATTATAACACGATAGCTAAGAAAGAGACAGAAAAATGAATATTTTATAATATTCTTTAGATTGCATTCTGTAGGACACCAGGCTCTTACAAAGCTTAAGTGATATAAATATGTTAGTCCTTTTTGAAGAGGTTATTAGCATACAAATGCTCTGAGAGTCATGTAAAGAAAGTGATTTAACTTAGTTTAAACCAGACTTTTCGATCAGGGAAACTTTTTTTAAAAAATCTTGCAAAAATGTTTTCCATGAATCAGAGTTTGGGAAATGCTGAAGTGGACTTACAAACTTTGAAGGACAAGCTGGGAAGCATTGATTACATGATAAATATGTCTCAAATTTCACTGATGCTTTATCAGAAACTTTTGTCCATTTGCTAAACAAATTATTTTAATGATATTGAAACTGTTTCAAAACACACATACACACAAAATACATGGGAAGGTTTCCAATTCACTGTACCAACCAAGCAGTTGCTAAGACAATGAAAACCTGAACAGGATAAGGCAAAGAAAGAAAATCATGAATCAGCCTCACTTCAAATGAGCAATGAAAATAAAATCCAGTAGCAGGAAAAGGAATGAAGCTCTTTGACCAAGTGGAGCATATTCCAAGATTGTTTAGCACTGTGAAATTCACGAAGATAATTCGTAATACCAGACGAGCAAAGGTGAAAAACAATATCATCGTATTGACAAATGCCACAATGGCAGTTGATAAAATTAAAGATCAAAGTGTTTCATGAACCAGGAAGAGAAAAAGGAAATGTCTTAATACGATAAAAATAACAGTCTGGTCCCAAAGCAAATGCCACACCCAGTGATCGTGAAGGATGCTGTCCTTCAACAAAGCAACAAAGGACTCATCAGGGCTGCCTTAGGACTTCCATGAGCCCTGGGTACTTTTGCCTTCATGGGCCCCTAACTCCATGAAGAAATACAAATACATAGAAAATTATCATTTTATCCCTGCATTGTATAAAGACTAATATAATCCAGGTGGGGCTACATCCATTTTTTTCTTCTGATTCCAAAAGAAATTAAAATATTTCATGACCTCTAAAAGTATCATCAGCCTCAACCCTGCCTCCTTTGGCGATGGGAAGCCCATCTGGATGTGAAGCAGCTGTCCAGCTGCTGAGAGTGTAGATGCTGCCAGAGGGAGCCCCTTCAGGGATTGCTTCAGCTGAAGGGACCCCTGGCCTAAGGTGTGCCCCTTCACAGAGTGTCCCACAGCCAGTAACTGACCAATGGAAGCATCGAAAGGCCTGACCTTCTTGGTCCAATGCAAGGAGCTCTGAAGAACCATCTAACCTCAGAGTTCCCTGTTGTCCGAGGCTGTCACTGGGTCTCCATCCCAGCCTGACTTCTCCTTCTGCCTACTCCCATTTTCATCCTCTTCCTCAAGGTTTGATCCCAAGTGCATCCCCAAATAAACATCCTGTGTTAAACTCCAGCTCAGAGTTCTCTTAATGTTTTGTGTAGTCCTCTTTAATGATAAATCTTGCATTAAAGAGGGAAAATATTTAACCAAAATATTTATTGTCACCACTATAGTCACTATCATTTCTGTGGTAGTGCTGGCCATTGTTCTGTCCCCCTCAATAAGCAGGAAGAAGGAATGATCATCCATTCAGGCTTCCCTATAATCATAAACTCTGAGTGCCATTCAAAGATGCAGCCACACAACAATGGTGTTCTCAACTTTCTCATCCACATTTCCCAATATAATGGAATTGTAGATAAGATTAATGTGGGTAAATAGTGGTGAGGGTTGTTGCAGGTGGTCAAGCCAAGTCACTGGCTCCCCTCTGAACCTGCAACAGGTCTAATTTCTTGCATTAATGATGAAATGAGGTAATCCGTTACCTGCTCTTCCCAGCAATAGGATATATAAGCCCAACTTTCAGGATGTTAGTTTCACATCAAGTGACCCTCCCTGTGACTCTGATAGACATGCTCCCTTCCCTAAGACTTGTATTCAATTAAAGAACAAGTACACCTTGAAATGAATGTATAACCCCTGACATAAATGGGACTTAGAGCTGAACTTCAACTCTTCAACAGATAAGCTGCCTTAGGGAATTCAACCCAAGAAAACAGAGTGGTATAGAAGGTTCCTTGCCATAATCCTCAAACTTATCAGAAAGGTTAGTAAAAGCCTCACAGTACGGTAAAGAGGAAAGCCACAACCCTAAAGGCAATATTCCAAGTTCAGGGCCATTTCAAAGAAGTGTGATATTATTAGACCCTTCTGAGGCAGAATGGCCCATTAGGCTCCATCCACAACATGTTAGGTATGCTGTGAAAGCCAAGAGACAACTAAGCAGGCACCTGGAAAATGCAAAAGCATTGCCCTCCAAAAAGAAGAGAAGGAAAGTCATTTAGCTAAAGTCTGTTCCAGAGCCATTTAGAAATCTCTGCCCTCATATTTGCATTAATACTTATTTGGTTTTCATTTGGCCTTTTAAAACTATAAAGCTATTATAGATCCAAGAGTCATGCTCTGAAATAAGTTAATAGTTTTCTTCCAGACCTCAGAGAAACTATGAGATTTGGGATGTTAATTGAAAAATGTTGCTGTTGTCACCCAGCTTTCTTTCCTACCAACATATCCAGGAGGACATCTGTCACTCCTACTCACATCATTGCAATGTGATTTGGAAGTAGCCCTTCTCTTTTGTCTTTTCTTCAGCCTCATGCCAGCATGGTTAGGAAATCAACATTCCTTAGCACCCATTATACTTATGCCAAGCATGGCACCAGGTGTTTTTACCTAGTTTATTTTATTTAATCTCCATAACTCTATGAGGGAGGTATTATCCCCATTTTACAGATGACATAACTGAGGCTCAGATATATTGCCCAATGTAGACTTGGTTACAAATTGCAGAATTGGGACTTCAACACAGGTTGTCTCCCTCCTTTCATGGAGGGATACAATGTATGTAAACTACTAAGCACAGTCCCTGCTCAGTAAATGGGGTTTTTGTTATTACCTATTTTATTACCTGTTGCAGGAAGTGGATTACCCTGGGATTCAGCTCCCAATTCCATTACATTACCCAAGACAGAGTTGTTCAATCAAGGGCATCCATAAGGCCCATTAATACCCTGAGAAGAGCATGTAACAGTCAAAGGACAAAAAAGGATATTTTACAGAAAAAAGAAAAATAATGGCCATTAAACCTATAAAAATATGCTCAAGATGATAAGGAAAACTAAAATGATATAAGAGTTTACGTATCAGATTAGCAAAGATCAAAGATTGCGATAACATGAGAACATTGCTTACAGGACTGTAAATTGGTTTAACAACCTTTGTTAAACTCCATCTCGGAGTTCTCTTAATGTTTTGTGTAGTCCTCTTTAATGATAAATCTTGCATTAAACAGGGGAAAGATTTAACCAAATAAAAGTATATTTATTGTCACTACTATTGTCACTATCCTTTCTGTGGTAGTGCTGGCCATTGTTCTGTCCCCCTCAATAAGCAGGAAGAAGGAATGATCATCCATTCAGGTTCCCCTATAATCATAAGCGCTGAGTGCCCTTCAAAGATGAAGCTGCACAACAATGATGTTCCCAAACTTCAGGTTCCCAAATCCTCAAGGTGAGCAGTTTGGCAACGTCTATCAAATACTGTGGGGATATACCCTTTAACGCCACAATTTTCTATCTCTGAATTAATCCTACTCACCTATTCCTGTTGTGTGCATACACAGGGACACTGAGGACACACATTTTTCTTCAACTGTCAGAGATGAGAGATGAGAACCATCTACTCATCAGTAAGGAGTCAGTTAAAGAAAGAGGGCCCGGGTGCGGTGGCTCACGCCTGTAATCCCAGCACTTTGGGAAGCCGAGGTGGGCGGATCACGAGGTCAAGAGATCGAGACCATCCTGGCTAACACGGTGAAACCCCGTGTCTACTAAAAAATACAAAAAAATTAGCCAGGCAGGGTGGCGGGCGCCTGTAGTCCCAGCTACTCCGGAGGCTGAGGCAGGAGAATGGCGTGAACCCGGGAGGCGGAGCTTGCATTGAGCCGAGATCGTGCCACTGCACTCCAGCCTGGCGACAAAGCAAGACGCTGTCTAAAAAAAAAAAAAAAGAAAGAAAGAAAGAGTGGTATATGCATGCAATGGCATACTCAGCAACTAATAAGGAATTAATTTATTTAACAAATGCTTAAATCCTACTCACTATTTACTAGCTACTAAGCATCCTCATCACAACCCTATGAAAAGGACGTTAGTCGTCTTATCCACAGATGAGAAAGCAGAAGCAGAAAAAGGTTAGATGCTTCCCCAGGTTTACACGACCAGAACTTGGCGGAAGCAGCCTTGGAACCCAGGCATCCCAGCCGAGAGTCGTGCTCACACACGCTACACTGTGCTGCAGCTGCTCAGGACCACTTCAGTCTTAAACATTTCCATCCTGAAATAAGAAAGAGGGAAAATAATGAAGGAGGCAATCACATCAACAAGTTACATAGCAAAGGAAAATGTAACGCAGAAAGAATGGATTCCATGTAAAATGTGAAAGAAAATCAGTCACAAATTGTAGAAGATATAAAACATGAAAGCCTAATAAATAAATCTAAAAGCTGGTGCTTTGAAAAAGATACAAAGAAAATATAAACCACTAGATAACCTAACCAAGAAAAATAAACGAAGAGAGCATAACGTTTGAAACCTGACACAGACTGGCACTAACCCCTTCTCCTTCCTGGTATGAGCACAGCTGTGACACCTAAGGCAGAGATAACCTTGAGAGAAAGCAAGATACTGGCTAGTGTTTCCACAACAGACACTAAAATAGAAGAGACGTCTAAATAAACATACTCAATGATGTAAATCCACACAGAAACCTCAGGAGTACGTATGATTGTTCCCATTTTACAGATGAGAATACAGAGGCTGAAAGAGGTTAAATAGTTGAGAGCCCTTAGCCATTATGCTACATTCTATTCAGGTTACATGGGGTCTGAAGCTTATAAAACTATAAAGTCAGATATAATAGTGAACGTTCACTAGAACAGTTTCTCAATCTTGGCACTATGATATTTTGCACAGTTCTCATCAAAACATAAATAAATAGGACCAGGCGCCATGGTTCATGCCTGTAATCCCAGCACTTTGGGAGGCTGAGGCAGGTGGAATTGCTTGAGGTCAGGATTTCAAGACCAGCTTGGCCAACATGCTGAAACCCCATCTCTACTATAAATACAAAAAGTTAGCCAGGCGTGGTGGCAGGCTCCTATAATCCCAGCTACTGAGGCAGGAGAATAGCTTGAACCCAAGAAGTGAAGTTTGCAGTGAGCCAAGATTGCACCACTGCACTCCAGCCTGGACGACAGAGCAAGACTCCATCTCAATAAATAAATAAATAAGTAAATAAAACAAGTATGATATGTTTATAATGGAATATGTTGCCTCATCTAGTATATTCCTGACAGGAAAGAAATGCCTATTTTGACAAGGTATGGAGGAGAATTAAATTCTCAATGTTCAATTTTATGTCTCATAATCAGAAAAATTTTCCATAGACTAATTACAAAACCATATTTCTTCTTTCCTGCCCACATACTCAGGTACTAGGATTAATACAATCTCTGTTCCTTCAGTTTTGGCCCATGCCCCTGAGTGAATCAGGCAGTGGGTAGTGGGAATATTCTTGGAAAACATTCCTACACCAAGGTGGCTAACAATGCAACCACATAACATATCCCATTCTCAACTCTATTTTCCTTTAGTCAGACCCCCAAAAATTGCCATGGCCACCCTGAATTCAATCAACACACAGAGAGTTATGACAGAGGGGAATTTGGAATGGAAAGAGATGGATGTCCTAATTGATTACAGTTAAGATATCTTACTGATAGAGTTGTCATAAAAATTATGACCAAGTCAATGTACTATGCAGAAGCCTGTGCAAAGGAGTCTCTGAAGTTTGAGCTTTGTCAGTTTCACAGTAAATCAGTCTTTGGCTACTGTTTCTATTTAAGAAATAATGTTAGCCTAATTGTTTAGGTCTGAGTGGAAAAACAAAACTCACTTCTAAATCTTACCTGTCAACATAGACATGCATTCCAGACAAATCAACGAGTTAAGGGGAAAATCAAATTATTTTTTAGAAAACATGTAAGTGATGCATCTTGGACAAGAAATGGAGAGATTTTCTAGACTTAAAAGCAATAAGCAATATTACAAATAAAAAGATTGACAGAGTTTCTGTATTATTTAAGTTTTTTGCCCATTTAAAAAATTGCAAGCAATTTAAAAGAAACACAAGATGGGAGAGATACCTGCAACAATATGACAAAGATAGATGCATTAAATATAAAAATATATAAATGAATAGGAAAAACCCTAAGACTGCAGCAGACACCAAGGACTAATAAATGCATAAAAAGTGTTCAGTTCAACTAGTTTGCTCCCTAAAACTAGAACTGACCCACAACAAAGAATTCTCAGTGCAAAATTGGCAGAGAGTAACAAACAATAGTTGTATACTGTTCCAGAAGTCCTGGAAGAAGAGCTAGAGCATAGAATAAGATTACACACACACACACACACACACACACACACACACACACACACAAACACAATGTGACACAGGCATTCAGGAATACCAGAAAACTGAGGGTGGAGCAGGAACATTAAAAAAAATTCATGACAACACATCTATCACCTTGAACACAGGCAAAAGCATCTCACCATTGGGAAATATGAAGTGTATGGGTCAATGAATGTATCCAAAGCCACAACAAAACCCCAACCCAGATAGTCAGCTGACTAGACTGACCAGCTCCCTTCACTAATGGCCTTAGAGAAGAATTATGATGCACATTTCCAAGAAAACAAACTATTCACCTCAGCTTCTTTTACACATGATGTTCTAAATTCAATAAAACAAAAACAAAAAAAAAGCCAACCTATTATTAACAGATAAATCAACCAACTCAGAGATGGCCAAGATGTTGAAACTGTTAGATATGAATTTTAAAATAACTATAATTAATATGTTAAAGATTGTCGTGAAAAAGTTGGACAACATGCATGAACAGATGAAGAATTTAAGCACAGAGGCAAAAATGATAAGAAAAGGTCAAATGGAAATGTTAGAAATAAAAAAAACATGATATCAAGCATAAAGGATTCTATTAATGAGTTCATCCATATCTTTGGCACAGCTGAAGAAGAATCAGTAAAACTGAAGATAGGTCTGAAGAACAGAAGATCCAAGAACTGAGAAACAATACAAGATGGTCTAACATCTGTATAATTGGAGTCCCAAAACAAGACTACATAGGGAAGGGGGCAAAATAAGCATAAGAAGAATGAGAATTTTTAAAAAGGAATACAAGGCATCAAACCATGTATCTAAGGAGAACAAAGAACCATAAGCAGGAGTACATAAATACACACACCCCTAGACACATCACAGCAAACTTCTAAAACCCAAAGAAAAAATCTGGACAGCAGACAGAAAAAGATACATAATATACAAAGGAAAAAAATAAGAATCATGGCAGATATCTCATCATAAACCATACAACACAGAAGATAATGGAATGACATTTAAAGCAGTGCAGCAAAAGAGAACTGCAAAATGTCATAATTGTCAAAAACATTTTTTTAAATTGAAGACCAAATAAAAACTTTTTCGGACAAAAAGAAAAAGTTAAGAAAATTTACTTCCAGCAGACATACTACAAGAAATGTCTAAGGAAATTCTTCAGGAAGAAGGAATATGATAACAGACAAAATTGAAGATCTCCAGAAATGGTAAAAATCAAGATACATATAAAAAAACTTTTTCTATTTTAAGTGCTGGAAGAGATAATTGACCGTTTAAAACAAAAACAGAAATAATGTATCATGGGATCTATAACATATGTAAGAGTAAAATGTATGACAATAATAGCACAAAGAATGAAGTGGAGGAATTGAAAATATACAGGTATGAGGCTTTAATACTATATTTCAAGTTGTATAATATCATTGGAAGGTGGACAGTGATAAATCAAAAGCATATATTGTAAACAATAGGAAAATGACTTTAAAAATTCAAGCCAATAGTGGAAATAAGATTTAAATCATAAAAAATAATCTAAGAGTAGATCAAAATAGAGAAAAAGAAAACAAAGAATAAATGAAACAACAGAAAACGGCTAGAAAGAAGGTAGATAATATTTCAACCCTATCAATAATTACATTAAATGGCCTAAATTCACCAAATAAAAAGACAGAGATACCAAACTGGATTTTCTGAAAAGCAGTACTCAACTACATGCTGTGTATAAGAAATCCGCTTTAAACATAAAGACATAAATAAGTTAAAAAGAAAATGATTGAATAGGATATACCATTCAAACACTAATCAAAACTGAGATGAAGGGCTGGGCACAGTGGCTCACACCTGTAATCTCAGCACTTTGGGAGGCCGAGGTGGGCGGATCACCCAAGGTCAGAAGTTCAAGACCAGCCTGGCCAACATGGCAAGACCCTGTCTCTACTAAAAGTACAAAAATTAGCTGGGCATGGTGGCAGGTGCCTGTAATCCCAGCTACTTGGGAGGCTGAGGCGGGAGAATTGCTTGAACCCGGGAGGCAGAGGTTGCGGTGAGCCAAGATTGTGCCATTGAACTCCAGCCTGGTCAACAAGAGGGAAACTCCATCAAAAAAAAAAAAAACCTGAGATGAAATGGCTCTATTAATAACAGACACCTTAGACTTCAGAATGAGGAATTTTATCAGTGATAAAGAAGGACATTACAAAATGATGAAGTGGTCACTTCACCAAAAAGATATAACATATAAATCAAGTAGAAAGTAGTAAGGATATGGAAGAACTGAACAACACTGTCAAAGAACTTGACACACAAACAATGGGAGCGTATACATTCTTTTCAAGTGCACAGTCACCAATATTGACCATATTTGGATCATTTTAAGATCCTCCACAAATTAAAAAAAAACTGAAATCACACAAAGGATGTTCTCTGATTGTAACAGAATTGAGCTTGAAATCAATAACTATAGCATATTTGCCAAGCCATGGGGATGAGGAAGGGTTTGACAAAAGGTACAAGGGAATTTTGGGGGGTAATGAAATTACTCAATGTCTTTTTTTTTTTTTTTTTTTTTTTTTTTTTTGACAGAGTCTTGCTCCGTTGCCCGGGCTGGAGTGCAGTGGCGTAATCTCAGCTCACCTCCACCTCCCAGGTTCAAGCAATTCTCCAGCCTCTGGAGTAACTGGGATTACAGGCATGCCCCACCACCCTCAGCTAATTTTTGTACGGTTTTTTGTTTTTGTTTTTGTTTTTGTTTTTTGGAGATGGAGTCTCGCTCTGTTGCCAGGCTGGAGTGCAGTGGTACGATCTCGGCTCACTGCAACCTCTGCCTCCCGGGTTCAAGCGATTTTCCTGCCTTGGCCTCCCGACTAGCTGTAACTACAGGCATGAACCACCATGCCCAGCTAATTTTTGTATTTTTAGTAGAGACGGGGTTTCACCATGTTGGCCAGGATGGTCTCGATCTCCTGACCTCCTGATCCGCCTGACTCAGCCTCCCAAAATGCAGGGATTACAGGTGTGAGCCACTGCACCGGGCCAATTTTTGTATTTTTAGTAGAGATGGGGTTTCATCATGCTGGCCAGGCTGGTCTTGAACTCCTGACCTCAAATGATCTGCCCGTCTCCACCTCCCAAAGTGCAGGGATTACAGCCATGAGCCACTGTCCTTGGCCTATTCCATGTCTTAATTATGAGCATGATTACATGACTCAATGCATCTGTCAAAATTCATAGAACTATACACCAAATGGACAATGCCATTATATATAAATTATACATAAATACACCTGACTAAATAAATAAAAAAGGATAAGCTCTTGAAATATTAAGTAAAATGGGATATCATAATATTTTATATAAAAAAATTAAAATAAATAGAAAAACTAAAGAAAACTTCCAAATTAAAATACAGCATGTTGGGCGTCAGTATTTTCTTTCTGATCTTTAGTATTATTCTGCACATTCAGAATTTTTCAAAGTTAAGACAAAAATATCCTGTGTGGAAGTTAGATTATTTGAAATCAGGACTGTCCCTTTCGTGGTGTATGGTTGTCATCCCCTGAGGCAATACCTAAGAAAGCAGGTGTCTAGGATAATTAGCTAGAGTCTATGCCAGGAGACCTCTAGAAATCCTGCTTGGCAGGCCATTTGCCATATGACAATCCTTTCATTTGGAAAAAATGGGCAAGATAAACTGTCACTGGGAAACACGTACCAATGTTCCGGGCCTTCTCATTGCCAGTGGGTAATGACTGTGCTCCAATGAAGGAAGAATACCAAAGCTTGAGCTTTCCTGAAAAACCTCCACCTTGTATACTCTAAGAACCATGCAAGCGGATCACTTATAATATTCTATGAAGAAAAAGAGGCAACCAACCTCTCCAAACCCCAGTTTTAAAAAGTTATATTTTTATTTTTTGGGAGTCAATATTCTTTATGTTAAGTCATAGACAAAACTATAGAGATGGCTTAAAAAAAAATCCGTGGATGCCAGGAGTTTAGCAGGAGCTGAAAACAGTAAAGTGAAACAAAGGGAAATGAATTGTTTAGGGCAATGACACTCTTCTGTATGATGCTAAAATGATGAAAACATGACAATAAGCATTTGTTAAAACCCATAGAACTTTATAGCACAACGAATGAATCCTAGTGTATGCAAATATGGAAAAAAAATTAAGAAGTTGGAGAACACCTGGATAGAATGGATAACACAACAAAACAATCCCACTATTAAAAATGTATGAAAGAGCCTCACTGAAAGGGATAGAGGAGAAAGTGCTAACCTAAATAACTTTGTAAACGACTGGCATCTTGTTTTTTCTTTTTTCTTTTTTTTTTTTTTTTGTGAGACAGTCTCACTCTGTCGCCCAGGCTGGAGTGCGGTGGCGTGATCACGAGGTCAAGAGTGGCATCTTTAAGACTAAAGGCAAAAGGAGCTGTACATCAGCATTGTATTCTAGTTGATCACATTTTTTCTATGGAGGTATAGATTAATAATTCTTATTCTACTATATGTGTATACCAGAACTGAACAATTAAGTAGGCAGAGGATGGGTGCTGGGAGCCAGGTTTCTTATTATTGAAGTGGGAATTTACAGATCAGCAAAGGGAAGAAGCTAGAATGAGCCATGTGGTAATGGATTAGAATTGGAGACATCAGTAAGAACTCATGCTTAATATAGAAACAGATGGCTACATATATAAATATGTACAAATATAGATATTCATAGATATATATACATATCTACAATACATATACACATATATTTCATTGCTGTATTGTTTGAGAGGCCCTACAAGAATGACATCCCAACAGCAACAAGCACATCTAATGCCCAGATCTTGATTTCTAATGCCATTATGCAATAAAAGTAGCCAGAACTCCTTGGAGAAATGGTTGATTCTAAGACTGGGGCAGGAAATATACACAATGGGACTAAACATCTTGAAGTGCCAGAAAGTTAGGAAGTGTTCAAAAACAAAACCTGTGGATGGGGAGGTATGACAAAGGAACACAGGAGCCCACTGACAGAGCTCCCAGGGGCCAACACTGGAAAACTGTGAGCAACAAATAAAGTTGGACTATAACTCAAAGTATGAAACAAGTATCCATGAGTCCATACTGATATAAATATATGATCAACTAACTAAATAAATGGGGTTGAACAGCAAATCTCCCGTGCAGAAGAACTCCAAAGAATTTATGTGAATACCCCACCCTCGAGAAAGTGAAGGATAACTCCCCACTTCCTGAAGTGTAGGCTATGCATAGGAATGTCCTTCCAAAGGGTAGAGTAAGAAAAGGGAGGGGGGGAAAAGAGTACTTTCACAGCAGAGGAACTTGACAAACACTACCTTAACCAGGTGATCAAAGTCTACACCAATAGTGAGTGATTAATTAGGTTGATAGTGTGTACCCTTGATGTGACGTGATGAAAATGGCCATTTACCCCTGTGGTCCTCCTCTCAAAAGGTCACAACCCAAGTCTAATTGTGAGAAAAACATCAGACAAACCTTAATTAAGGAACGTTCTACAAAATATCTAACCAGCACTGTTCAAAACGATCAAGATCATCAAAAACAAGGGAAATCAGAAAAACTGTCACAGCCAAGAGGAGCCTAAAGAGACATGAGAAGTAAATTGATACCCAACTAATGTGATATCTTAGATGAGGAATCCAGAGATAGAAAAAGAACGGTAGGTAAAATCTAAGGATAACTGAATAAAGTATGGACTTTAAATTCTTTGAGTGAGGAGGATGTTTACTCCATCTCAAAGAGAAGAGCCCAGGAAGGACCCCAGGGAGCACCATGCTCTAAGGCGTGTGGCATGAGCCCTGCAGGCCATGCTGCTAGTGAGCAGGAATGAACACAGGATACTGGAGAGGAGGAACTTGAGGGGCTGTCAAGGGACACAGGAACCACCCAAGGAGCACACAGGGAAAGACAATGTCAGGGGCACAGAGAACCCAGCTCCTTAGATCATGAGGGTATACAATGAACACAATTTTCAACGCCATTTTGGAAAATATCCACCCTTTCTTGATTGAAATTTCCAGAATTGTTGAAAACTAACCTTTATATTTAATAAAGTGTTTTTGCTTGGTAATCTGAAGCATGCTTTTCCCTTTTGTTTCATCAATAAACAGCTTCAATTAAAATATGGGGGAAAAAAAAACAAATCATAGGTCTCTCCCATCCTGGAAGTAAACCAGATGATGCCTCGGAGACTGATCCCAATAAACAAAGCTCTCTATGCTCTTCCTTCCACAAAAAGCGGTCTTTGTTGTGTGGATTTTGAGACAAATAAAACTCTGCTCACTGGCTGAGGCCTGAGAAACTAGTACAGGCAATACCTGAATCTCGAGTAATATATTGAACAGAAAATAGATATAACTTTGTTCATAAAGATCATTTGATGAATGGCTACTTCTTACAATTCTAAATCTTTCAATGTTGAAAAAAAATTAGTGCGGAGCCAAAGGATCTCTCATTCATTGCTGGTGAAAATGTACAATGGTACAGCCACTTTGGAAGATAGTTTGGCAGTTTCTTACAAAACTAAGCATACTCTTACGATACAATCCAGGAATTCCACTCCTTGTCATATATCCAAAGAAGTTGAAAACTTATGTCCACACAAAAACCTGCACACAGAGGTTTACAGCAGTTTTATCTATAATTGCCAAAACTTGGAAGCAACTTAAGATATCCTTCAGTAGGTGAATGGATAGACTGTGGTACATCCAGGCAATGCAATATTATTCAGAGCTCAAAAGAAATGAACTATCAAGCCATGAGAAGACACAGGGGAAACTTAAATGCACATTACTTGTGAAATTAGTTGTGACAGAAGCCAATCTAAAAAGGCTACATGCTATATGATTCCATTTATGTGACATTCTGGAGAAGGCAAATCTATGAAGACAGTAAAGAGATCAGTGGTTGGCAGGGATTGAGGAGAACAGAGGGATGAATAGCTGGAGCACATAACATTTTTAGGGCAGTAAAACTACTCTATATGATACTACGATGGTAGACACACGTCATTATAAACGTGTCCAAACCCACAGAATGTACAACACCATTAGTGAACCCTAATGTAAACTATGGACATCGAGTGATAATGATGTGTCATGTAGGTTCATCGCTTGCAACAAATGTACCTTCTTGGGGATGTTGATAATGGAGGCTGTGCATGTGTGGGGACAGGGGCCTTATGGAAAATCTCTATACTTTCTGCTTATTTTTGCTGTAACCCAAAAATTGCTCTAAAAAATGCAATCTATTGCAGCACTACTTACAATAGCAAAGACTTGGAACCAACCCAAATGCCCATCAATGATAGACTGGATAAAGAAAATGTGGCACACATACACCATGGAATACTATGCAGCCATAAAAAAGAATGAGTTCACGTCCTTTGCAGGGACATGGATAAAGCTGAAAACCATCATTCTCAGCAAACTAACACAGAAACAGAAAACCAAACACCACTTATGTTCTCACTCATAAGTGGGAGTTGAACAATGAGAATACATGGAAACAGGGAGGGGAACATCACACACCGGGGCCTGTCAGGGGGTGGGGGGAAAGGGGAGGGAGAGCATTAGGAGAAATACCTAATGCATGTGGGGCTTAAAACCTAGATGACGGGTTGATAGGTGCAGCAAACCACCATGGCACATATATACCTATGTAACAAACCTGCACGTTCTGTATCCCAGAACTTAAAGTAAAATAAAAATTTTAAAAATTAAATTAAAAAATAATAAATGCAATCTATTAAAAAATTGACTCAGGGCCTGACAAGAAGAAGAGTCCTGCCTGATCTTTGGCCAACTTTCTTATTCTATTTGGTTTCAAATTCCAGCTGCACTAGTTATTTGGTGACCCTGGACAAGCTACCTCTCCACAACCCCACTTCCCCCAGCCTCAGTCTCCATTCTGTAAAATGTGGATAATAAGTGTTGACCTCACAGAACTGTGATGGGGATGAAGCAGCATGATGTACATGATATGCCAGCCTGGTGAACTGTAAGCCTGCAGTAAACATTAGTGGGAAGGGAAAAGCTATGGCCATCACCACTTCATGGTTGGCATTGGCTTAGTCTTAATTTACAAGTACATGTTCTCAAGCACACTAACTTAAACTCAGGACTCTCCTGACTAGAAAAAGGCCATGGTTCCTTCAGAGACTATCAGACTCAATGGTACTTACAGCAAACCACTACTCACTGCTCCGGGGACAGGAGACGTTGTTCATTGGTGTATTAGGGTTCTCTAGAGGGACAGAACTAATAGGATATATATATATATACACACACATATATGTGTATATATATGTATATATGTGTGTGTGTGTGTGTGTGTGTGTGTATATATATATGAGTTTATTAAGGAGTACTGACTCACACAATCACAAGGGCAGGTCCCACAATAGGCTGTGTGCAAGCTGAGGAGCAAGGAAGCCAGTCCAAGTCCCAAAACCTCAAAAGTAGGAAAGCTGACAGACAGTGCAGCCTTCAGTCTGTGGTCAAAGGTCCAAGAGCCCCAAAGCTGAAGAACTTGGAGTCCAATGTTTGAGGGCAGGAAGCATCCAGCACAGGAGGAAAATGTAGACTGGAAGACTAAACCAGTCAAGTCCTTCCACATTCTTCTGCCTGCTTTATTCTGGCCACGCTGGCAGCCGATTAGGTGGTGCCCACCCAGACTGAGGGTGGGTCTGCCTCTCCCAGTTCACTGACTCAAATGTTAGTCCCCTTTGGCAACACCCTCACAGACACACCCAGAAACAACACTTTGCATCCTTCAATCCAATCAAGATGACACTCCACATTAACCATTACAACTGGTTTCTGTAACTTCTCCTCAGAACACTAGCAAATTATATTAATTTCTGAGGAGTGGCTGCAAATGGAGAGCATAACATTTTCATACTAAATCCAAGAATGTGGTAAAAATACTACTTAGAAACAAGAGAAATGAGTAGGAATGGAAATGGCAGTTGTTACTTGCTTTCTGTCAAGTACTTCCAAAACTGTAAAATTAGGAAAATTCATCAAGAGTTCTAAAATACATATCCCCTTCAGCAATACAAAAAAAATCTGGGGTATAAGCTAAAAATTTAAATATAGAAGCTAAGAAAGCAAAAATTTCTAAAGAGCCTAAATTCTGTGCATTTTATAACAATTGAGAAATAATTTTGATAAAAGAGAGTGACATAAATAATTCTTGTTTCTTGCAAGAAATAAGAACATTAGATGCAATGGTGAAAACAGTTGAACATAAAGGGATGAAGATAGCTGAGAGAAGATGTAACACTACTGACTTAAAAGTTAATTCTAAGTAAGGAGTAGATGCCCCAAAACTTTTCAAGAAACAGAACACAATGTCTTCTGTACCTGTCAAACTTATCCCAGTAAACCATGGGAGGTAAAAAGAACAGCAAAGGGCCGATGAAAGAGGAAGGGGGCCTCCTGGAGCATTTCTAAGGTGGGTAATTTAAAAAGATTTCACAAGTTATCAATCAACCTCATGCCTCCTGTTTTAAAATTATTCACACATCATAACAGAGGACCGATCCTTGAATGCTCCAGAGAAAGATGTTCTGAGAGTTTTCAGATCCGTAAATAATGGGGTTGATTAAAAATAGGTCATCCAAATCAGTCTAATTGCCTTCTATTTTTAATGTAAATTCTTTTCATTGATTTTTAAGATGGATAGCCCATTAAAATACATTAATCGTGACCCTAAAAGTGTGCTTGTATTGCAAAAAGCATACGGTGAGAAATAAAAATCAATTCCCCACCACATGAAACTGGGGCAGGAACATCACCAAAGACAGCTGTGGCCCTACTTTTCCCAGGAAAAACAATTTCTGGGTAAGAGCTGGGAGGCGAGGGATAATGATGATAAAACACCCTCCAACTGTACGCCAGCGGTTTTAGAAGGTTTGGAGCTATGTGTGTCTTATTTGGCTAAAAGGGCTCTAATTTTGTCAAGCCAAGGCGAAAAACACATAATCAGTCTTCTGTGTTTTTTAATTATATAAGTAATGCACTCTCGTGATTGCATAATGCATGCTCATTCTAGAAAATGCAGCTAAGAACAACTAATATTAGAAATAACCCATCACACCATTATCCAGAGATAACCCTGGAAACTTCTTAATATATACACACTCAAACTTTTAAAACAAATAATGTATATTTTTTAAATGCATGTATGTAATACATATGTTTGGAATCTCCTTTTGTACTAAAAATTTTAAATACATTTTAGATGCCAATAAATACAGTTCTTCAAAAGCGTTGTTAGTGGAACACAAATCAGTATCTATCACCATTTACTCAGCCATCCCTGTAGTATAGGACATTATCAACAGTGTTTCACTAAAGGTCCTCCAGCTAAATCCTCATCAACATCCACAATTACCGTGAATACATTTCAAGAAGTAGACTTCGTTAAATCAAAGAACAGACATGTTTTAAAAGATCTTCACACATAGCACTAAATTGACCTCTGGAAAGTTTATACAAATTAATGCAAAGCATAAGAAAATATTCACTTCTTCACACCCTCGCTAATATTTGTTATTGTTCTTTGTGTTACTAATTTGATAGGTTTCAAATGATGATTCACGGTTTTTAATTTAGTTCGGGGGGCAGAAAGTTTCACACATTTATGAGCCATTGTATTCCATGTTGGTTGATGCTTTTAAACCAAACTAAACTTTGCCTGAGAAGGACTCCATACTTCTATATTTGAGTCCTTGTGGACAAACTGCAACCTAACTTAATAGGTAGACAAGATTGAAAACCTAACTTAGGAGTATGTGACTGTAACAATAATTGAGTCTTGGCCAATCCCAGCAGCCATACTTCAATCACTCATACACTTCTGAGTGTTCAGACTGCGTTCAAAGAAAGCAAATGCTGAGCTGTAACCAACCCAGTTGTTTCTCTACCTCACTTCCCTTTTTTTGTCTATAAATCTTCCACCATGTGGCTGTGCTGGAGTCTCTGAATCTGCTGTGATTCTGGGAGCTACCCAATTCATGAATCGTTCATTGCTCAATTAAACTCCATTAAATTTAATTCAGCTGAAGTTTTTCTTTTAACAATGCCAATTTATGAACTTTGTCCTTTCTCTTTTTGGAGTCTTCATGTTCTTATTTATACGTTCTTCCTATTAAACCTTTGTAATATAGAATGCAACTATTTTTTCCATTTTGTTGTTTATTAAATGTGTCTTATTTTGTCATAAAGAAATGTTTCATTTCTATGTATTCACATTTTTTAAACATATTTTCTTTCTATTTCTTGCCTTTGATGTCATTCTTAGAAAGACTTTCCTGACCCCCTTGCAATATTGAAATGATCATGAAAGTAAATATTTAAGCTCAGCTGCTATAAAAAATCATGAAAGAAAATTAAAAGCCATTCTGTATAAAAGATACAGAAAAATGAACGAAGTACTAATAAACACTAGAACCAAAAATTTGAAGTACTAATAAACACAAGAAGTTAAAGTTAGTGTTTAGTAATGGTAGATCATATTTATGTGAAGATACGAAAAAGGGGAAATAATTTTAATTGAAAGAAGAATAAGATGACAAGGCAAATTACAGAGTGTTAAAGTTGAAAATATTAGGAAGCTTTATATTTGTGCAAATTATTTAGGTCATCGTATGGGGTAATAACAATGGCACAGGCTTGAAATCTTACCAAATGCAAAGCATTTGTAATAGAAAGATCTCAGAGCCATATCCTTTAACAGGTGATAGGCACGGAGAACAGCCTGGAAAAAGAACTCAGAACCCAAGAGGACACAGAAAAGTTCTACTGTAGGTCACTGGGCAGTTGTTTCAAAGCTGTACAGTGGATTTGAACCAGCAATCCAAAAGTACATTATTTCAGCATTTAATTTTCACGATAAAAACTTCTCATTATATTACAAAACTGTTCTAGTTATTTCTAGTATGTAGATTGGAAATAGTATTAAATGTCTTAAAACAACTTTCATTAATAAAACTTAGTAAGATCCCTGCGTTTCATCTCTCCCAAGTCTCAAATCTGTTCTTTTATATATGAGCAATATTTTGCAGTAACTGAATTATTGCTCTGAACCCTTTCCACCTGACTGTGTAGCCAAAAATGCTATAATAAGCTACTTATGCTACACAGTAGACATGAAATTCTTAACTAGAATAAAAAGTTTCTGTAATTAGATTAAGTCAAGTTTGACCTCTAAGTCATTGTTTAGTAGCGCAACTAATTCCTCCTAGAAATGTGGGTTAATGCTGAGGTTAATTTGCCCAACCTGATCTGATCTCACATGATTATACAGATCTTTGAATGTAATCACCACATAATTTTTAATAAAACCTAAATTAGCATAACATGTTTCCAAATCAGCATCCTTAATCCTATCCTTATATGTCTGCCACAAAGATGAAACATTGAGAGTTATTTTTAAATTATGTAAGTTTCTTGATTAACCCCATAGTAATTCCCTTCACTTTGATCTCACTTTTTTAAAGATTAAGAAAGATCTCATTTAACTTTCAAATATAACTATATTTCTCAATATTTCAGTTGTTTAATTTGTCATTGATTATACATTTTTTACAATAGAAGCAAATATTCAACTGAATCTTCATCTGTTTTATTTGGAGAACCATCTTGCTACTATATATAGGACAAGACATCCAAACTCTTCATTTTTATTTGCCAAATAATATCTCAGTCAAAGGATACCACTGACAGCATTCAGTGACTTGTGGAGTCTTTTACTCCACCCAACAAGAGCAGGATATGCATTTTTTCAAGCACCCATGGAACGTACACCAAAATAGGCAGTATTCTGGGCCATGAAACAAGTCTCAACAAGTTTAAAAGTATTGAAATAATATAGATTATGTCTTTTGATGATAATAGAATCAAACTAGAAATCAATAACAGGAAGACAACAAGAAAATCTCTAAACACGTAAAAATTGAACAACGTACTTCTGAATAAGCCATGGATCAAAGAAGAAGTATAAAAGGAAACTTTTAAAAATACATAGAATTGAATGAAAATGAAAACATAATCGAAGTATATGGGATGCAGCTAAAGCAATTATGTGAGGGAAATTTATAGCACTAAATGCTATAAATCAACAACTTATATTCCTAGCTCAAAAAATTAGAAAAAGAAGAGCAAAATAAAGCCAACACAAGCAAAATGTTACCTTCAGAGAAACTATTTAAAGTATAAAAGAGGCATCTTGAATTATTTCTTACAACTACATGTGAATCTGTAATTATTTCATTAAATTCTAATTTTAAAATGTCAATTGCATTTTCATACATCAACAGTAGAAAAATGGAACTTTAAATCATATAATTTACAAAAGACTTCTAAAAATCCAACAAAATGTATCTGATAAAATTATAATTCATAAAATATATACTGCTAAAATTATAACTATAAAGAAAACTATAATTTATTCCATCTTTTGAAAGATATTAAAGAGGACCTAAATCACAGGAGGGATATTCCATGTTAACAGATTAGAAGATCCAATAGCATAAATATATCAATTATTCCCCCTAATTGATCTATAGATTCAAAGTAATTCTAATGAAAATGCCAAAAGAGTTTCTGTAAAACTAACAAACTGGTAATAAGATGTATATGGAAAAATCAAAGGTCAACCATAGCCATAACACAGCTAAGGAAAACGAACAAGGAGAGAAGAGTTACCCAGCTAGATAGTTATTATAACACTGTGATTAGGTGCAAAGGTAGAAAAAAAAGGACCAGTGAAATACAATATAGAATCTAGAGACAGGCCAATGTACACATAGAAGAGATACAGTTCAGGGGTGGCATTATAGAACAGTGAGGAAAGGATAAATTATTCAATAAATGTTACTAAGACAATTTGTTATCCACATTAAGGAAAAGAGAATTGGCCTTCTACCTTAAAGCAAATACAAAAATCAGTTCCAGTGGATTAAAAGTTTAAACGTGAGAGGTAAGTTTTATAACCACGGAACATAAAATGATTTCTTAAATAAGACACCAAAAGTGCCTATCATAAAGGAGAAAAATACAAATTTTACTTCAATTTTGCACTGGGAATATTAGCAAAAACACAATACTAAGTGTTGGCAAGAGCATAAGAACTCAAACACCAACATGAGTGACATTTTATTGTTATTCTTTATATGTTATGCATGCCACAAAAGGTTTTGTATGTATTGCATATTTAATTTTAAAATTAAATATAAAATGATTTTTTTCTTGACAAATGAAATGCTTCTAGTATTTATCATTAAGCAAAATGTTAGGACTATAAATTTTAATTATTTTAATATTCAATATCTCTTGGTAGTATACTTAGGATTTTTAAAGTAGGGAATAATATTAAATTTATCTTGCAAGTAGAAATAGTAATAAAAACTTCTAAATAATGCTTGTATCAAAGAAGGAAACAAAAGGAAAATCACGAACTGGTACTCAGAGAATAGACAGCCTTAAATGCATTTATTAGCAAACAAAAGTAAATGGAAGTAAATTCATTATGCTTTCAATTCAAGAAACGATTTTAGAACAGTTTAACCTAAGTTAAAAGGAACAAAATAATACAGTCAAGAAATTAAAGAAAATAAAAACAAAAACGTGATCAAGAAACATTAAGCGCTGGTTCCTTTAAAAGACCAGTAAAACAGATAAAGTTCAACAACATAATTAATTAAAGAGAGACAAGGGATACATAAATAAATAGCATTAGAAATCAAATGGGGCTTCCGCCCGGCATGCCGGACCGCGCATGCGCCGTCGGCAGCGTCGCGCGCGCCCTGTCGCGCAGCCGGCGCTACGTGTGCGCCCGGGACGCGGACGCAAGCCGCCGACGGAGGAGGCCTTTTAACTACGGTGGGTTTCTCTCTTCGCGTTAAATCTCCCCTGCCGTGCAGCCTGGTGCCGCGTAGGCTCCCGTGGGACGCTCCCGTCGGACGCCGTCCGACCTAGATTGTTAATGTTATTGTTGGGAAAGGCGAAAAAGGCAGAAAGATCCCAGAATAGCTGATCCGTTGTAACGGTTGGAACTGAAGCTGGGATAGATGGGTAGCCGAAGATCATGTGCTTCGTGAGCCCAGTGAAAATCGTAGATTGGCCAGGTGCGGTGCCTCACGCCTGTTTCCCAGCATTTTGGGAGGCGGAGGCGGGTGGATCACGAGGTCAGGAGTTTGAGACCAGCCTGGCCAACATGGCGAAACTCTGTCTCTACTAAAAATACAAAAAGTGGTTGGGCGTGGTGGCGGGCGCCTGTAATCCCAGCTATTTGTGAGGCTGAGGCAGGAGAATCGTTTCAACCCGGGAGGCGGAGGTTGCAGTGAGCCGAGATCGCCATTGCACTCTAGCCTGGGCGGCAGGGTGAGACTCTGTCTCAAAAAAAAAAAAAAAAAAAAATCGTAGATTAGGGTCTGGGCGCGGTGGCTCACTCCTGTAATCCCAGCACTTTAGGAGGCCGAGGTGGGCGGATCACTTGAGGTCAGGAGTTTGAGACCCGCCTGGCCAACATGGTGAAACCCCGTCTCTGCTAAAAATACAAAACAATTAGCAGGACATGGTGGTGGGCGCCTATAATCCCAGCTACTCTGGAGGCTGAGGCAGGAGAATCACTTGAACCCGGGAGGCGGAGGTTGCAGTGTGCTGAGACCGCGCCACCGCACTCCATCCTGGGCAACAATACCGAAACTCTTGTCACAAAAAAAAGAAAGAAAGAAAGAAAGAAATTCGTAGATTACAGCATAAATTGGCAAGAAATGCTGTAGCTCACCTGAGGAGCAAGAGAGAAAGAAGCAGCCGCTCCAGGTTGCTTGGTGCTGACTCTGTCTTTTTTTAAAAGGCCTCTCCATCGAAGAAAAAAATGAAAATGATGAAAACTCATTAAGCAGTTCCTCTGACAGTAGTGAAGACAAGGATGAAAAAATAAGTGAAGAATGTGATATTGAAGAAAAGACTGAAGTGAAAGAAGAACCGGAGCTTCAAACAAAAAGGGAAATGGAAGAAAGAACAGTAACTCTAGAAATCCCTGAAGTTCTGAAGAGGCAGCTGGAGGATGATTGTTACTACATTAATCGGAGGAAACGGTTAGTGCAACTTCCATGCCACACCAACATCATAACGATTTTGGAATCCTATGTGAAGCATTTTGCTATCAGTGCAGCCTTTTCAGCCAATGAGAGGCCTCGTCACCATCACGCTATGCCACATGCCAGCATGAACGTGCCTTATATCCCAGCAGAAAAGAATATTGACCTTTGTAAGGAGATGGTGGATGGATTAAGAATAACCTTTGATTACACTCTCCCGTTGGTTTTACTCTATCCCTATGAACAAGCTCAGTATAAAAAGGTGACTGCATCTAAGGTTTTTCTTGCAATTAAGGAAAGTGCCACAAATACTAATAGGAGCCAGGAGAAGCTCTCTCCCAGCTTACGTTTGTTGAATCCATCCAGGCCGCAGTCTACAGAGAGTCAGTCGACCAGCGGTGAACCAGCCACCCCTAAAAGGCGCAAAGCCGAGCCGCAAGCAGTGCAGTCTCTGAGGCGGTCCTCGCCCCACACCGCCAACTGTGACAGGCTTTCTAAGAGCAGCACCTCACCTCAGCCCAAGCGCTGGCAGCAGGACATGTCCACCAGTGTGCCCAAGCTGTTCCTGCACCTGGAAAAGAAGACACCTGTGCATAGCAGATCATCTTCACCTACTCTGACTCCTAGCCAGGAAGGGAGTCCTGTGTTTGCTGGCTTTGAAGGGAGAAGAACTAATGAAATAAATGAGGTCCTCTCCTGGAAGCTCGTACCTGACAATTACCCACCAGGTGACCAGCCACCTCCACCCTCTTACATTTACGGGGCGCAACATTTGCTGCGATTGTTTGTCAAACTTCCAGAAATTCTTGGAAAAATGTCCTTTACTGAGAAGAATCTGAAGGCTTTATTGAAGCACTTTGATCTCTTTGTGAGGTTTTTAGCAGAATACCACGATGACTTCTTCCCAGAGTCAGCTTACGTCGCTGCCTCTGAGGTGCATTACAGCACCAGGAACCCCCAGGCAGTCAATAAGTGTTGATGGTTCTGTAAGAACAACTGCTCCATCTAGCATGGTGTTCTGAGTTCCAGGTAAAAAATTAACAAGGTGGTGGGTTTTTATCCAGAGCACAAAACAAAGTGCCCACCAGGGGGCTTTGACAGAGGTGTGCCCTGTTGTTTGAGTTCCCCATGTACTGTAGTTACTCTGTTTAGAATTATTTCCTAGGTGCCTGAAAGTGTTCTGACATGACACTTGCTACTTTGTAGGCCATCTGTGATGGCAGGTAAAAAGCAACTGTTCACAGTGAAATGTTCATGGAAGTGTACATAGGTTAGGCCATTTCAGCAGACATTGCAGTTAGTCAGCAAGAACCACATTGTTTCGTTATTTGTTAGCATTAAACAAAATTTTTTTTGCAAATTGGTTTCATTCTCTTGATGAAGCTGAGCAACTGTCCAACAAGGTTTAGTTTGTACTTGAAAACTGCAAAGTAGTCTCAAAGTATTTTAGAGGGAATCCATATTGATGGCAAAAGAAAATTTGCAGCTATAATTTGCTTCTGACGGTTCCTTCTCTGTGAAACATTATTTTTGGTGATCTAAAGAAAGCATTGCCTTTCTTGTTTGCAATTTTACAGCTATACTTTTTTGTGTAATGTTACGGTTCCCTTTCTGTAAAATGTTCTTTTTGGTGATCTAAATAAAGCCTCTCTTGTTTGAAAAAAAAATTAACTTGGAGTCATAACTACAGATATAATGACGATTGGAATATAAGAGAATGCTACGTATTCATTTAAACCAGTAAATTTGAAAGTCTTGACAAAAATGATTACTTAGGAAAATATATATTATATAAACTGGCTCCCCCTGAAAAAGTAGGTATTCCTCATTGTGGCACCTGACAGCCCCAAAGGTAGAAATTAAAACTAACCCACATATTTATTGCACACTATGCTGACATTTTAATGTAAATTTTAGACCACATAAGATTTAGTCTTTAGAGTCAGAAATTCCTTAGGTGCTAGCCCACAAATTGCTACATAAGAGAAAACAGAAAAGATTTCACTTTCTGTGATCCTAATAGAAAGCCCACAGAGACATATCTTCCCACTGTGGCTTCAGTAGCATCAAATAGGAAAGTGATAATACTGTGAGAGAATGACGTGCCACCCACAATATCTGAAGTACAAAGACAAAGCTGGATGTATTTTTGGTTAGTTAATTTGAGCAAAACCCGTAAGTGTCCAGATGGATTCTTCCTAGATTATCATAATTCTCTTGCATGTCCATGAAAGGATAAGGTATGTCACAAGGCTAAGAGCTTGAACTGTGCTAGTCCAAATTGAGACGTGCTCTAAGTGTGAGGTTAGAGCACTGGAGTTTGAAGACTTAATATGTAAAAATAAATGTAACATATCTCATTAATAATTTTCAGCATTGGTTAAATGTCGAACTGACAATATTTTAGATACATTGGGTTAAATAAAATGTTTTTAAAATAACTTCACCTATTTCTTTTTACTTTTAAAAAATGTTAATATTTTAAAAACTTAAAATGACCAATGTGTCTCACATATTTTTAATGGACAGTGATGCTCTTAAAAGTATTACCTCTATGGCATGGCATATGTCAAAAACTCATGGTCTTTTTTAGCTATTCTTTGATCCAATATCCAAGGCTTAGCTTCATGTATCCAAGCAGTTACAGGCCTCTACTAAATTAGTCAAAGCATCTTTTGGTCTTGTACTAGGATTACCTTTAAATCTGATGTTAATATATGCAGCAAATCCCTACTGTTAATAGAAACCACCCAACATTTTTTCTGCCGTTTACTAATTTGATTGTTACTCTTTCCCTCACATATTACCATATTCCTATGTACACACTCAGTCTGGCAGCCTTCTGTTACTCTTATCCAATGAAGGAGAAGCTCGTACTTGTGTTCCATTCACTCAAAAAGTATCTATGCCCATAACCAATCTTTGGATAGTCTAAAACAAAATCCCAATTTAATGGTTTTTTCATGTTATCTTAAAAATGAATAAAAAGAGATGATACCAGGAAGTCTAGGTGATAATTACTTTTCTTGCCCAATACTAGGCTTTACTAGAGAGCTGAATTTTATAATACAACTCTCCTAAGCTTTTGCTTGTGCAGCCAATTTGAAGGACAATTTGAAGTGAACTTAAGGATGAGTTGCCTTCCCAACTCTTAGAAAGACCCAAATAATAGCCATTTCTATAATTAAGGCTACTAATGTGAATTTAATCAAGCTACATAAAGCCAGTTTAAATTCCTCAGCCCAAATAGTAGCTATGCATAATAGAATAAGCTTGGATTTTTTTTTTTTTTTTTTTTTTGAGAAGGAGTCTCGCTCTGTTGCCCAGGGTGGAGTGCAGTGGTGCCATCTCCGCTCACTACAAGCTCTGCCTCCTGGGTTCACGCCATTCTCCTGCCTCAGCCTCCCCAGTAGCTGGGACTACAGGCGCCCGCCACCGCGCCCAGCTAATTTTTTGTATTTTTAGTAGAGACGGGGTTTCACCATGCTAGCCAGGATGGTCTCGATCTCCTGACTTCGTGATTCACCCACCTCAGCCTCCCGAAGTGCTGGGATTACAGGCATGAGCCACCGCGCCCGGCCAGCTTGGATTTTATTTGGGCCAATTAAGAGAGAGTCTAGGCTGTCGCTAATAATACTTCCTGCTATCTGGAGTAATTCTATAATACTTCCTGTATAATACTTCCTGTATCTAGAGTAATTCTATGTGACTTGGTCCAATCTATGTCAAAGCTAAAAGAAAGGCAAGGTGAGCTTCTCACCAAGTTGTTGAAAATTCTTTTCTTAGGAAATCTCCCAATCCCTTCTTAAAATAATATTCCTAAGTTTGTTTGTTTTGTTTGTTTGTTTGTTTTGAGATGGAGTCTCACACTGTTGCCCAGGTTGGAGTGCAGTAGTGTGTTCTCAGCTCACTGCAACCTCCATCTCCCAGGTTCAAGCAATTCTCCTGCCTCAGCCTTCCCCAATGGCTGGGATTACAGGTGTGTGCCACCACGCCCAGCTAATTTTTTTGTATTTCTAATGGAGATGGGGTCACCATGTTGGCCTGGCTGGTCTTGAACTCCTGACCTCAAATGATCCACCCATCTTGGCCTCCCAAAGTGTTGGAATTACAGGCGTGAGCCACCACGCCCAGCCTATATGTTTTTTTTTTTTAATCTCACAATTGTTTGAGATCTGTTGTTAGAGTCTTAAATGATTTTGTGCAGCTACTGTCCTGACAGATGATTCAATGAAATATTCAAAGATGAAATAAGAATGAAATTCTGCTGATCAATGTTCAAACTGAAAATACGATCTTTGCAAATGAAACCTCCTCTTCAGAAAGAATCATTTATAGTGGTAAAGAGGTGAATAATTTTTTTGATTCTTTCTTGTAACTTTGGCTGAATGAGGACAAAAAGAGGAGACTGAGAAGAAAAAGGGTTCCATGGACCTCTCCAAGGACTCAGCAGTCTCACATGAGTACCCACACTTACACAGACTGCACCAGCCCCTGACACCACTGAAACTCCACGAATCCTGAACGCCACACTCTTCAAAACTCCACCTACTGTCAGCAGAACAGATTAGCATTTGAATAGGCAGGCCAAGGAAAGAAAATCACCCTCACCAATGTGGGGGGGGCATGGCCTAATCTGTTGAGAACCCCTGAATAGGACAAAAAGGTAGAGGAAGAGTGAGTTTGCTTTCTTCTTGAGCTGGGATATCCATCTTCTGCCTTCAGACATCAGAGGTCCTGGTTCTTGAACGGAACCACACCACCACCTTTCCTGGACCTCCAGCTTGCAGACGGCAGATGATGGGACTTCTTGGCCTCCATAAACACATGAACCCATCCCTCAAAATAAATGTCTTTCTATCTATCTATCTATCTATCTATCTATCTTCTATCTATCTATATCATATTGGTTTTGTTTCTCTAGAGAACTCTGGCTGATATGTAGAGATTGTTCCCTAAAGAAAAAAAAAAAGTATTCATCTGATGAAGACACCATGTTGGAATTTAGGAAAGGGCTTAGGATTGTTAGAAATTTCCACTACCTGGATGGTTTTAGTAAGTCGAGACAGACAAAGTTTATTTGCCCTCAAGGCTTCTACAATTTATTGCATACCTCAAGTTTGTCTCTTTGACAATCTGGCACAATAAGACATTTTTAGTTTAAAACCAAATTTCTCATTTTTCTCTTCTTGCTTTTGGTCAATGTGCCTTCCTTATTCTTTTCAGACAACTTTAAAATTTGATTCTGAAGGGGTGATGTTCTATGGAAGTAGGATTTATTGTAGATACAGGGCCATGCATATCAAAAGAGGAACTATGTCATTGTCCATCTGTAAACAATTCTCCTCAGAAGATTAGAGAAAGGACAAGGAACTTGGGGGTGCTAATAGCTCCCCAAGAGTAGCACCCTCAGTAGACGGCATTGGCTTTTCCAATGTCTTTCTCCTCAAAATCTACAGGTGTCCTTATTTATAACCTCATGATTCTTAGAGACTACAGAGGCTCTTAGAGTCTTGTTTTTATTTGGGGGACCAGTTGTTTCATTTATAGAGCTGTATATTTATTTTTATTTCTAGCTTCTTTTTTTCCTATGGCTCAGTTACTTATCAGAAAATGTTACCTTCTAAATTCATGATTTTCTATATATATATTTTCATTTATGGCTCCTAATTAAAATCAGAGTCCATTTTCAGCTGTTGATCCTACCCTAGAATAATGTTCAAAAGATTCCTGGAATCCAATTTTTAAATCTAGTGTTTATTTTATGAAAATTTTCATCTTTGTCCAATTTACTTTTTAAGAGACAGATTTCTAAAATGTGTTTAATGAGCTTCCTTCTTTTTGTCTCTAAGAATTAATTATTTTTTAATTTTCAGATGGATTATTTAAATCTTTTTCCTAACCCCTTGTTTTCAACTACTTTCCCCATTTGAGGGGCTAAAATGAAGTGAACTAGTCTGTACACATCTAGTCATTCATGAAAATAGTACATAACAAAGATCCTATTGCACATATCTGTCCATCTTCCTGAAGTATAAGAAAATATTTATAGCATTGCTATGGACTGAATTGTGTCCCCCCAAAATTTATATGTTGAAGCCCTAACGCACAAGTGACTATATTTGGAAGTAGGGCCTTTAAGTATATAATTAATGTAAAATAAGGTCATAAGGATGGAGCTCTGATCCAATAGGGTTAGTGTCCTTATAAGAAGAGATACCAGAGGGCTTGCTCTCTCTCACACAGTGTCTCCCCACATGCACAAAAAAGAGGTCATGTGAGCACATGGCCACCTGCAAGCCAAGACAAGAGGCTTCAGAATGAAACCTACCTTGCTAGCACCTTGATCTTGGACTTCCCAGCCTCCAGAACTGTAAGAAATAAATTTCTATTGTTTATAAGCTGGTTAGTCTATGGTATCCTGTTAATAGCAGCCTGTACAGATTGTCTTTGACTCAGCTCTAAATTAGGTTTTAAATTCAATGTCTATATATCTGCCTTCTGATCTTGCACATTTACATGAATGTTCCTTTCCTGAGAAATCCCAAGGCAATACTAACTCATTTAGAAGATTGGAGGAAGGAATAAAAAGACTAGAAGGGGTACAAGTTAAAAGTTGCTTAGATCCAAACAGGGTGGGTTTCAGAAGGTTAGTGTCCTTGGACAACTTGTGTTTTCAGCTCCACCACACCAAATAAAGAAGCTGACTATTGAAAGATTGGTGTGTTTGCCTCCCAGTTTTTCTAGAGTGCCTCCTAAAATATGATTTGATTTTGACACAGCAAACTTTCCTTAAAATGGCCATCTTTTTTGCCATCTTTTGCCTTTTACCTAAAAGAATGCAAGAGTAAGGATCATAATGAGACTATAGATAGAAAGAAGAATTTCTGCAGGAGTTTGAAAATTTGATACAGACAAATCCACGTAAGGAAGATGGGTCACTACAGTCGACTGTGCTACAGTGCGCGCTCATGAGTGGTGTCAGAAGTTAGACCAAGCAGAAGCTAGAAATCAACGAGGCTGCCAATGACCCAACAATTGTTTGACCTAAAATATAGACTGAGCAAAGAGGTCTTCTTCCACAAGTTGACAAAAGTATAAATGTCATTATGAAGGTTTTGTAGGGTGCCCAAGGCTAAGTTCGACTAATTGCCTTTTCACATAATTGTCACAGGTCTAAGGAACCTCTAACCATTTGTCTTCAAGACTGGATTAGATTGAAGCAGAAAATAATCAACATATATGCATCTGTCTTTCGTGGAACACTCCCTTATGCGATCAATAAACACAAGATAATCCAGGACAAAACAAAGACAGTTGAAATAAGACTGCCTACACACACACACACACACACACACACACACACACAGCAAGCAGCAGGAGAATAAGCAAAGGTATTTACTAAATCTTTTATCCCCAAACCATAAGGTCTAATGATCTTATAGAAATACCTAGATCTAATTACTTTGATTATAAATCCTAGGGTAACAAATTCAGCAATGAAAGCTCAATGAAACTATCAAGAACTCAGTGTTGAGGCTGGCTTACCTGGCAGCAGATATGAAGGATAAATGGAGTTTGGCAAAGAGGCCCAGTGAGTATACCTGTTGGCCTGAGAATGCCCTAGAATGCTTCTAAGGGAGAGTCCTTGAAACGACCTCAGTAGAAACTTTGGATTTGCCGTAGAATGATAAGACCACCCTTAATATCTGAACTGAAAAGACAAAGCTGAATATATTGCTACCAACTATGTGTTGTACCTGCTGTACAATAGCAGCTTTAGAATGTTTGGGGCCATTGTCTTATTTGGATAAATGGCCCCTGATTTTGCAAAGCCAAGGTAAAAACACATGAGGGGTGCTGTGGTTTAAATGTGTCCCCCAGAAACATGTATTGGAAATTTAATCTCCAATGCAACAGAGTTGGGAGGTGAGGCCTAATGAGAGGTGATTAGGCCATATGGCAGAGGGAATGGACTAATGCCATTATTATGGAAATGATCACAGGAGTGGGTTTCTCATAAAAGAATGAGTTTGAAGGCTGGGCACAGTGGCTGTAATCCCAGCACTTTGTGAGGCTGAGGTGGGTGGATTACTTGAGGTCAGGAGTTTGAGACCAGCCTGGCCAAACCCATCTCTACTAAAAATACAAAAAATTAGCTAGGTGTGGTGGCACGCACCAGTAATCTCAGCTACTCAGGAGGCTGAGGCAGGAGAATCACTTGAACCCAGGAGGCAGAGGTTGCAGTGAGCTGAGATCATGCCATTGTACTCCACCTGGGTCACAGGGCAAGACTGTCTCAAAAAAAAAAAAAAAGAATGAGTTTGGCTCCCTTTTGCTCTCTCTTGCCCTCTCTTGTTCTCCTACTTTACACCATGAGATGGCACAGCAAGAAGACCATCGCCAGAGGCCAATCACTCAGACCCTCACCACAGGCCAATCACTCAGTCTGGCTGGGACTCACCAGTCTTCAGATCTGTGAGAAATAAATTTCTGTTCATTATAAATTACAGGTTCATTACTCTCAGGTTTTATTATAGCAGCACAAAATGAACTAAGATAATTGGCCCCCTGTGTTTTCTAATTACATCAGTAATGCAAACTCATAATTGCACAGCAAACGCTCATTCTAGAAAATGCAGCTATGGAAAACTAATATTAAAAATAATTCATCACACCATCATCCAGAGACGGCCCTGGAAACATTCTGAGACGTATATACTCACACTTTTAAAACATGTATAATCATACTTTATATTATATAATATATACTTTTTAAATGCACACATAATACAGGTTTATAACCTTTTTGTATTAAACAGATCATATAGAATTTTGATATCAATAATTACACTTCTTCAAAATTCTTGCCAATAGAACACAAGTATCTATCATCATTTATTTTGCCATCCTTCTAGTATTGGACTTTATAAACTGCTTCACGAAAGATCCTCCAGCTAAATTCTTGCCAGCATCCTTAATTACTTCAGTTAGATGTGAGACTCATTCAATCAAACAACACATTTTGTGAGCTTTGGCTGACATCTCGTGGAAAGTCAGCTTGTTGCCTATTTCACAGCCTCTGTGTTTGCATCAGCTCTAGGGCAACAGAAAAAAGCAAACCCTTTTCTTAGCAGCCTAATAGGTGGGGTCTGATGTTTGCGATAATTTATCTTAGACTGACATTCTCACCGTTACACAGCAGTTTCTGTGTCAATGCTGGGACCAGCCAAAAGCTGCGCTTCTCCAACCACAGACTGGTGGTAACATTTCCACACCTTTCCAACAGAAACATATTTACATGACAACTCCATGCAGAATAAGTCTCCATCTCTTTTATTTGAAGCAAAATTCAGGCACATTTTATAAGAGCAGCCGTAATATAACTTTAAAGAGAACTATTTCCTAGGCATTTAAACAGCACTTGGAGGGTTGGAAATCCCAGCCCGGCCAGTAGAGGGCACTGTGCAGGGGCAGCCGGAGCCACCCGCCGTCATCTCTGGAAACCCTGTGAGATTCCAAGATGCTGCACCCAGAAACCTGCTGCTGGGGAAGGAGCTGACTTGTGATCCTTCCCTGTTATGTGGGAGTGGAAAGTGGTGGCAAAGGAGTTTGCTTAGCAGGTCTGGAGTAATATGGTTAGGCTGCCAAGGGTGGTAGGGTGAGGTGTTACAGAGAATGGCATTAAGGGAGGAGACCACTCCTCATATTGCCTTATGCTCAATTTCTGCCTCTAAAGAAAGAAGTAAAAACTAAAAGGCAGGAATGAAATCCACAAGCAGACAGCCTGGCGCCACACCCTGGGCCTGGTAGTTAAAGATCGACCCCTGACCTACTCGGTTATGTTATCTATAGATTACAGACATTGTATAGAAAAGCACTGTGAAAATCCCTGTCCCGTTCTGTTCCATTCTAATTACTGATGCATGCAGCCCCCAGTCACTTACCCCCTGCTTGCTCAATCGATCACGACCCTCTCACATGGACCTCCTTAGAGTTGTGAGCCCTTAAAAGGGACAGGAATTGCTCACTCGGGAGAGCTCGGTTGTTGGAGACGTGAGTCTTGCCGAAGCTCCCAGCTGAATAAAGCCCTTCCTTCTTTAACTCGGTGTCTGAGGGGTTTTGTCTGCGGCTTGTCCTGCTACAGCATCACATGAGAAGCATGATACAGGGTTCTTCTTTCTTTAGCTGGAGCACCACTTTAGACCATGGGATGGGGAAAGCCAGTCAGAGACGACTGGAAGACCACCAGGCCAGAACAATAAGGGTTAATGCATGGACTTTGGCTGGCTCAGAAGGAGTTTGGCTAAAGCAAGTATGTTTTGGACTTCAATTAAAGACTTGAACTTGAGATTGAGAAATCTTTCCACTGAAGCTGCCCCCAAACTCCTAGGACAGAGGCAGATGCTTGGATTGTCAGTGAAGCCAGCAAAGGAAATCTTGGAATGGTTTCCCAGGAATAGAGAATAAGCCCTGGGAGACGCCAGTTTTGAAAACTGGTACTATCGTGCTTGTTAGAGAGTCATGGTGAGGCAGGAGAATAGGGAACTGGGGTAGCAAAGGGTTGAGGCATAAGCAAAGGAACAGCAGATGCAGCCAGTTCGCATAAGCAAGAGAACAGCAGGTGCAGCCAGTTTTAAGCAAGATTGGGCAGGACATAGGCTACATCTTCACTCCCGTGATAACAAGAAAGAAGTTTCCACTTCAGCCCCTGAATGACTGCAGGCCAAGTTTCCACTTTAGGCTCTGATTGGTCACAGGCCAATCCTTCATAGGGTGTAACCAATTGGAGGCCTCTAAAGGGTACCCAGGGGTGTTGCCAAGTTCTTTTGGCTTTATAAAAACCCTAATTGAAGAGGCTCTTGAGCTGCGGGCTCCAGTCCGCTCGCACTCTGTGAATTGTCTTCAATGAATCTGTGCTTTCCTTACTCCGTTCTCCTGTTGCTTTGTTTTTCGTTGCTTCATTCCTTTGTTACTTTGTGTGTTTTGTTCAATTCTTTGTTCAACACACCAAGAACCTGGACAACTCTATCTGGTAACAATGGAAGAGTCAATCATCCAAAACTCAAAAAGAAAAAAGAAAATCTTATTCAAGGTCTCAAGTCTCTAAATGGGCCCAGTTAGATGTTTGAAAAGTAAATTATGTGTGGGAAGCACAGAGTCCAAGGAAGAGCATGTTAAGTTTCTGAACACTCCTAAGGAAGGAGGAGGAAGACACCTCGGTCTGTTTGTGAAAATTGGAAAAGGTACAAGTTAAATGTGTAGATCCTGCAACTGGAGAAGACTCAGAGAGGATGTTTATATAGGGAGGAAGGGAAGGAAAGAAACAGGATTGGTAGGTTACCCCATCCAATTCCGTGGAATTGAGAGCTCGGAAGATAAAGTGGCCCAGGGTTTTCTTCCATCAGACTGAAATGATACAGCCTTCCTGTTCCCACCTGGATCAGTCACTGGTGCTGGGCCACCCTGGGGCAGCAGGACCTTGGGTGAGGGAGTTCTCTGCAACTGAATCATCCCAGAATAGGCTGACAACTGAAGGCCCCTGCCAACTGCCCTCCTAGCAGCTGTGGCATCTTAAGGGGAATCAGGCCAGCACATCTCTGTGTCCAGCACAACGCAACACGTTTTGTGGACACACACACTACATGAGCCCTGAAGTTCTTACCCTCCACCCACTCCCACCTAAATTTCCGCAGGACATCATGATAGAATTGCCGTGCAGGCTGAAAGGAGGTGAAGAGCCCCCTCTAAGGGACCTCCTGGTGCTCAGTAATGCTTTTATTTTCAATCACATACTATGGTAATCATATCAGCACAAGCACACAAATGTGGTTAAGTGATGAAGCTGAATGAAACTTTCCTAAGATGTCAATCATAAATTCCATCAACCATACTAAAGACTGATTTATCTTGCTCTTCTCTCTGGAGAAAATATTACAAGATTAATATCAATGAAGAAGCAGAATATGCAATCAGAAATACATAGGGAAAAAGCTGGGTTAATAGAAGTATTTTCCTGGATTTTGTGATGTGTATCGCATTTGTCAGCATCTTTAAATGTGTCATTCGTTGAGACTTATTTTTTCCTTCTAGATGAATATTCGCTATCCTGCCTCCTTTTGGGTTGGTAATTTGGGGTTGTCTTTCTTAGGCCCCTGCCCTGGAAACTGCGCCGGGATCCCAGGCGGAGGGGTGAGGAAGGCGGACCTCGCCCAGCGGCGACACCCAGAGCAAGTCACGCAGAAATCTCCAGGCCGCACTTATCTCCGGTGCACAGCGCGGGAGATGACACGCATCCCACCGGATCTCGCACAGCACCGCTGATGAATAAGCACACAGCTGTTTGTACAACTACCACCGGCCGTGGCGGCCGGAGACCCTCCCTCCCTTCCGCCGGACATTGGGGCGTGGCTGGAAACTCGGGAGTGGATTGGCCGGAAGGTGGGACGCAAATTTGTTTGAAAGGCCCAATCAGTGCCCGGCTTCTCCGCTCTAGCCAATAGAAAACCGAGAGGAAGGCAGGGAGGGCGGAGTCTCCTATTTGAGTTTGTGGCGCGCGAGGCCCTGCAGTCCGGGTTGGCGCTTGGGTACTGGCTGGGTCCGATGCTGGGTACGCTGCGCGCCATGGAGGGCGAGGACGTGGAAGACGACCAGCTGCTGCAGAAGCTCAGGGCCAGTCGCCGCCGCTTCCAGAGGCGCATGCAGCGGCTGATAGAGAAGGTGCGGCCCCCGCCGGTCCGCCGGGAGGGGAGGCCTGCGTGTCGGAGTGAGGCTGGGAGGGGACGTAGGACGGGAAGGGAAGGGGCTCTGAGGACTCGGAGCGGGGGTTGGGGAAGCGGGACTGGGGCTTGGATGCGGAGAGAAGGTGGAGGCGGAGCTGGGGGCTCCGGAGAGGGAAAAAGGAGGCAGCGCCGAAGGCTTCGGTGCGGGGACGGGGAGGAAAGACTGGGGCCTCCGGAACGGGGAGTGGGGAAGCAGGCCTGGGGCTCGGGTGCAGAGAGGAGGGTTTGGTGGGGCTGGGGGTGCTCCTGAGTGGGACGAGAGAGGCGGAGTTGGGGGCTCCGCTGCAGAGACCGCGTTTGGGGCGCCCCAGGCCAGACTAACGGCCTCTCACGGGCTGGCGCCGCCTCCTCCCGGGTCTGGGGCCCCTCGTGGCCCTGGAACCTGACAGGAAGCCCCTTCCTCCTCCGCAGTACAACCAGCCCTTCGAGGACACCCCGGTGGTGCAAATGGCCACGCTGACCTACGAGACGCCACAGGGTAAGGGTCTTCCCCACCTTCTGAGTATTCGGGTGAAGAGTGTGAATGGAGTAGTTGAAATGCTGTCCCTGCTCTCTTAAGAAGTAAACATTGTTCACCTAACTAATAGGAACCAAAACATTGGTGCCCTTAAACCTGTAAATTACTTGAATTACTTATTAGAACAATTCCTGAAGAGACATAGGTGCCTCCTGGCTCACATGCCTCCGGCTTACCGGGTTGGCATCCCCGCTGGCCACCTCCCCACCATGGCAGCGTGGGGCAGTTGCTTAGCTGGACTGGTCTCAGTGTCTTCATCTGTGAAATGGGAAGGATGATGACAATAATGTCTCCTGGGCGTGGGTGTTGTAACAGTCACGTACAATCCCTATGAAACTGTGAACAGTACCCCGCCCCGCACTGTGAATACTCACATTGACTATTGTTTGCCCTGTTTAACTTGGAGTAGTAACTGTCTTCCTTGAGGCTCCAAGTACTTGAATAGGGAGGAGAAGGCATTCCGTTTAATAGTTAATGTAAACGGACTGAAATCTTGTGGATTCTTTTTGGTAAATAGCTGGTGACACTTTGCACTGGCTGGGGTCAATTC